>NC_000002.12:234156284-234459314 GCF_000001405.40 Homo sapiens | reverse complement strand
AGAATACAATTTATGAGCAGATTGTATTTTAGAAGTTTCTCTGAGTGGTGTAAAGGAGAAATTGACAAGCTCTAGAATGTATGGAATATGAGATATGTCTTTTAATTTTTAACAGCTTATTTGCCCTTTTCACTACACTTTTTCTGTGCTTCTATTTTTCTCCCTTTTTTGCCTTATCTTGAATTGCTGGTTTTCCTTATCTCTTTTTTCCTCCTCTCCACTGGTTTGGAAGTAATATTTTTATTCCTTCACTGGTTATTCTTAAAGCTTATATATACCTCTTGACTTAACAAATTTTAAAATAAATTGATATCTCTACCTTCATCAATAATACAAGGAATTTAGAACACACTGACTCTAGTCACTTGCAGTATCTCTCATGTTATATGATCCAGTGTTAGTCATTGCTATTGTTATTGTTTACGAGTATTTGTATCAGTTAGTTATTGCTGCATAATGATTACCCCAAAACTTAGCAGCTTATAACAACAAACAAGTCAGTTTATTTGTCATGTCATTTATTATGTCAGTTTCTGTGGATCAGAAACTTGGGAGCTGCTTATCTGGGTGTTTCTGGCTTAGAGCCTCACATGAGACTGTGGTCAAGCTGTTGGCCAGGGTTGCAGCCATCTCAAGGCTCAAGTGGAGCTGAGGAACCTGATTCCAAGCTCGTTCATGTGGTTTGGCAAAATCCAGTTCCTCGTGAGCAGTTGGACTGAGGGCACAGCTCCTGCTCATGTCATGTAGGCCTCACCACAGGGCTGATCACAACATGGCAGCTAACTTTCCCCAGCATGAGTGATTTGAGTGTTGGGGACCGGCGGGGGGAAGGAGAGAGAGGGGAGAGGGAGAAGAAAGAGAGCAAGCAGCCAAGATGGAAGCCATAGCCTTTTTATAACCTAACCTTAGAAGTGACCTCCCATTACTTCTGCTGCATTATATATGTTAGAAGCAAGTCCACACTCAAGGAGAGATTGTACACAGGCATGAATATCAAGGGGCTGACCGCACTGGGGAGCCTGCTATAAGACCACCTGCAACGATATTTAAACTTGACCACATGCTCAGCAATTTCTCTCCTTGCATTACTTCCTAGTATATGAATCAATAATCCTTCCAATCAAGGTCTGTGAATGGAAAATATTCTGCCTTTGTCATAATATTTTTTTTTTTTTGAGACAGAGTCTCTCTCTGTCACCCAGGCTAGAGTGCAGTGGCGCGATCTCGGCTCACTGCAACCTCTGCCTCCCAAGTTCAAGCGATTCTCCTGCCTCAGCCTCCCAAGTAGCTGGGACTACTGGTGTGCACCACCACGCCCGACTAATTTTTGTATTTTAGGTAGAGATGGGGTTTCACCATGGTGGCCAGGCTAGTCTTGAACTCTTGACCTCAAGCGATCCCCCTGCCTTGGCCTCCCAAAGTGCTGGGATTACAGGCATGAGCCACTGTGTCCAGCCATGTAATAAAACATTTTAGTTTGTCCTTACTCTTGAATGATAATGTATCTGAATGCATTTGACAGCTCTTCCTTGGCCCTTCGAGTTTCTAATTCCATTTCTCTTTGGTTTCTATTATCATTAAAGATAAATCTGCTGTTATCCATTGTTTTGGCTTCTGTGGTAGTTTTTAAAGGGTTTAAAGGCGGTTTTAAAGGTTTTTCTCTTTGTTATTATTGCTCAGCAGTTTCATGGTGATTCATTTAGGCATTTGTTTATTTTCATGTGTCCTGTTCAGGACTCTCTGATTGTCCAATTTGAGTAGGGTTGCCAGACAAATTATAGGCAGCTGAGTTAAATTTGAATTAGGTAATTATGACTCAAATATTGCATAGAACATACTTGTGTTAAAAATTATTTTGTGCTTATCTAAAATTCAAATGTGACTGGAAATTCTATATTTTTATTTGCTGAATTTGATGACTTGAAATTTGATGATTCTTGTCTTTTGTCTAATCTGGAAAATTCTCAGTTATATGTTCTTCAAATATTGCCTTGCTTGAAACCTCTGTTTCCTCCTTCTGAATTTTTATTGAATATATGTTTGTATTAGTTTTCTGGAACTGCCATAACAGAGTACCACAAACTGATTTGCTTATAGCAACAGACAGTTACTTCTCTCATTTTTGAAGGCTGAACGTCTAAACTCAAGGTGTCTGCAGGATCATGCTGCCTCTGAATCTCTAAGGAAGAATCCGAGCTTTTGGTGGTTGCCAGTGTGGGAGACCAAAATATGCTACCCCAAAATATACTTTTTTGGCATATATCGAGATAGCTATTCAGAGAAGCTGCAGACACAGAAATAGCTCTAAAAAGCTGTCCTTTTGTAAAAGAAATTTACATCTATCTACATCAGTAAACCAAATGGCAGATGCAAGCCGAAGCTTTCTCTGAGGCCTTCTTATCAGCCTAAAGACAGGTCTAGGAAAGATCATATTAGCAACCCAGACAGAGTCCAGAGATTGAAAGAGAGTGTCCCCTTTTTTTTTCAGGGCTGCCACCTGAGAGACAACCTGCCTAACAAGACAACCTTTCATTTACAATATATTAAATATTTCCTCTCCTCACCTTCCATAACCTGTTGCCAACTGCCCCCTGCCAGAAGCCCCAAGCCCCCATTTCTTTCTGTAGCTTAAAATGCTACCTAAGCTTCAACCACCTGGCCCTTCTTTGAGTCTCATATTTTGTGGAACCCCTTTGCTTTATGCATGTAATAAATTTGTGTGCCTTTTCTCCTGTTAATCTGTCTACTGTAATGTTTATTTCAGAGACTCAAATCATCACACCTTCAGAGAGTGGAAGGAGAGTTCCCTTGACCCCTATACCAGCAGTCCTTGGCATTTCTTGGCTTGCAGCTGTATTGCTCCCCTCTCTGCCTCTGTCATCACATGGCTTTCTGTTCCATATTTCTGTGTTTCTGCGTTTCTATGTGTGTCTTCACATGGCCTCCTTAGAAGGACACCAGTCATTTAGATGGGGATCCACCCCAATCCAGTATGACCTCATCTTTGCTTGATTACATCTGCAAAGACCCTGTGTGCAAAGGCCAATTTCGAGGTCCCAGGTGGACATAAATTTTGAAGGAACATTATTCAACCTCGTAAAATGTTCGACACTCTCATAAGTGGGAGTTGAACAATGAGAACACATGAACACAGAGAGGGGAACATCACACCCCGGGGCCTGTCGGGGGGTGGGGGGCAAAGGGTGGGAGAGCATTAGGACAAATACCTAATGCATGTGGGGCTTAAAACCTAGATGACAGGTTGATAGGCACAGCAAACCACAATGGCACATGTATACCTATGTAACAAACCTGCACATTCTGCACAGGTATCCTAGAACCTAAAGTAAAATTTTTTTAAAAAAAAGTTCAACATTTCACTGTTTTTTTCTTTTTGTTTTGTTTTTTTTTAATAAGAGCTTTTATGGAACCAAAAAACCAAAGGAGGATGTCATTATAAATTAAGAATAGAGGGATCTCTCCTTGTGGTGCTGCACGAGAGCGGAGTATGAGTCTGCGGTTGAGGAAGTCATGGCAGGACAAGCATTTAGAAAGTTTCTTCTACTCTTTGACAGAGTATTTGTTGAAAGGATTGCCACCACAACTGTAACCAAAGGAGGCATTATGCTTCCAGAAAAATCTCAAGGAAAAGTATTGCAAGCAAAAGGAGTAGCTGTTGGATCAGGTTCTAAAGGAAAGGGTGGAGAGATTCAACCAGTTAGCATGAGAGTTGGAGATAAATTTCTTCTCCTAGAATATGGAGGCACCAGAGTAGTTCTAGATGACAAGGATTATTTCTTATTTAGAGACGGTGACATTCTGACTGGGCACTGTGGCTCACGCCTGTCATCCCAGCACTTTGGGAGGCCAAGGTGGGCGGATCACCTGAAGTCAAGAGTTTGAGCCCAGCCTGGCCAACATGGTGAAACCCCATCTTTACTAAAAATACAAAAATTAGCCGGGCGTGGTGGTGTGTGCCTATAACCCCACTACCCGGGAGGCTGAGACAGGAGAATGGCTTGAACCCAGGAGACGGAGGTTACAGTGAGCCAAGATCATGCCATTGCACTCCAGCCTGGGCGACAGAGTGAGACTCTTTCTCAAAATAATAAATACATAAAAAAGAGATGGTGCATTCTTGGGAAGTATGTAGACTGAAATAAGTTACTATTGAAATGACATCAACTTGAAGCTGCCCATTCCACTGAAGTTCTGAAATCTTTCATCATGTAAATAATTTCCAGATCTGTCTTTTTTAATAAACTAATGATAACTAATGACAAAAAGTAGAGAGCGTAGCTAAATCTATTCAGTCCATCCTCAATTCAAACTATCCCTCGTGCTTCTAGTTGTTCCTTTTGTCAATCTGTCCTGTTTTCATTACGTGTTGTTCTTCCTTACATTTTCTATTTCTTCTTTGAAATCGCTTTCATAACTTCAAACATACTTATTTTTTAATCTTTTAAGATAATTTTGTTACCTCAATATCTTGAATTGCTACAGGGGTATTATCAACCCAGGGCCAATTCATATGTTACAAGCTTAACTTAGAGTTTCCTGCCCCACGCAAGTAATTTAAATTCAGACTTTTTTTTTTTTTTCTTTTCTGAGACCTGGGTAGCAGCACGTCGATGGGTTGGTTTTGTTTCCTCTTCATTGAAGGTGGTGAGTTTCAAAGATATCAGCTTTATATAAAGCTCTCCGTTCCAACCCTACCCCAAACTTCCTCTCCTGTCTTCATGTGGATGCTAACTTAAAACTCTTATTTCTGGGTCAGATAACTCCCTGCTCTCAGCCCTGATGACTACACCTTTGACACACACTATATTGGTATGGCTTTTAATTTTCTCTTTGTTTCTAGCATTTGAGAATCTCTGTCTTTGTTAATTCAACTATGTATTTTTAAATAAACTTCATATTTTAGCTAACACTTGTAGATATTTGTAGCTGGGGAAAACTAACTTTAGTTGATTCTACTGAGTAGACAGGACTGGAAATCCATTCTCTGGGGTTTGTTAAAACCAAAGTAACTGGCTCTCCTGGATGCTAGCTCACTGTCCAAGTTGAATTTAGTGTCAATCATCCAGAAAATGTCCCGTTTTTCATGTGCGAAGTCTGCTTATAGTTAATAGACCAGCTTAGGTTCTTCATTTAGTTCAGTGAACTCTTCAAAATGTGGTTTCAATATTGAAATAAATGCATATCATTCTAATTTTACTCTTTTCTCTCTCTGCTAGGAAACTGGAGGGAGTAAATCCTACAGACAATAGACAAATGTTTGAAATACTTAGAACATGGTTTGTTTTTCTTTTTGTTTTTGTTCTGAAATGGAGTATTGCTCTGTTGCCCAGGCTGGAGTGCAGTGGTACGATCTTGGGTCGCCACAACCTCCACCTCCCAGGTTTCAGCAATTCTCCTGCCTCAGCCTCCCGAGTAGCTGGGACTACAGACACGTGCCACCATGCCTGGCTAATTTTTTGTATTTTTAGTAGAGACAGAGTTTCACTGTGTTGGCCAAGACAGTCTTGATCTTTTGACCTCATGATCTTCCCATCTTGGCCTCCCAAAGTGCTGGGATTACAGGCATGAGCCACTGTGCCCGGCCAGTTGTTTTAATTCTAGGTTCTGGATACATGGGAAGTGGAGGAAATGCTGGACAAGAAGGCACAGTTAGATGGTAGACCCACCTCTGTCAATAACCAGGCCCAGTTTTAACTCATTGTTTTTCAATTGTAAAATAAGAGTGTTGGACAAAATACCTTATAGGCTCCTTCTAGCTCTTAGGTGATTTATAAAGGTTTGGGGTGAGGGTAAACTGGGCGGTTAAAGTCTGTGTAATCTGAAAGCCATGCAGGGGCTCTGACGGGCTTACCCCTGTCCCTGCAGCCAAGTCCTGACGTGCTACTTTCCCAGGGCTTGGTTCTTGCCTGTTTCTCTTGAGGCTGCCTTGGCATTCACCCACGCTCTTGGTTGTTATTTTTTACTCTCTGCCCCTGTGAAAATACACCTGCTCTCGTGGCTTCACTGGCCACTTTCTCAATCCTGGCTGTCTTCTTTATGTTCTTGTTCCCTGTATCCTATGGGTCTGTTTCTTTCTGACTACTCACCATGAGGGCAAGAGATTCCAAATATCTACAAAATTCCTCACATTCCTGAAGAAACCCTCCCAGTCTTTCCCTAGTGTCCTGTCTCTGAGGATACCACCTTGCTTGGTGAGAACTTTCATAGATCTAGCCTCTTCATTTACCAACTCCTACCAAGCCACTTTTCTTGTGAAATGTCCCATATGCACATTTTGTGCATTCAATAAATAGCTTTTGAGTTAGGCCAGGCACTGTATTGGACATGGATTAAACATAAAATAAAGAAAGCAGATCTCGGCCAGACACAATGGCACATGCCTGTAATCCTAGCAGGTGTATCACCTAAGGTCAGGAGTTCCAGACCAGCCTGGTCAACATGGTGAAACCCAGCCTCTACTAAAAATACAAAAAAATTAGCCAGGCATGGTGGTGGGTGACTGTAGTCTCAGCTACTCGGGAGGATGAGGCAGGAGAATTGCTTGAAACCCAGAAGGCAGGGGTTGCAGTGAGCCAAGATCGTGCCACTGCACTCCAGCCTGGGCGACAGAGCAAGACTCCGTCTCAAAAAGAAAAAAAAAAAAAAGAAAACAAATCTCTGTCTTCATGAAGGTTGAGGTAGAAAAGGAGCAGGCAAACAAGCTTATCATGGCTCACGATAAGAAAAAAAAAACAGGTGTGGTAGTGAGTAACAGGGCTGGTTATTTTTGGTCAGTTACTTAAGGGGTCTCTGCAGAGAGCTGAGGTCTAAGAGGTAAGAAGAGAGTTCCAGTTACAGGTGCATCAATAAAGCCTACACACACACACACACTCTCTCTCTCTCTCTCTCTCACACACACACACAAAGATATTTGCTGATTCATGAATTGAAATAAGCAGCAGTTGACATTGAGTCTACAGCCAAAAAAAGAAAAAAAAGTAACAGTAAGACTTTGCAACTAGCTTTGCCAAAGGTAGAGAACATTCTGATTCTAGGTGATGGATCAGACCTGGTTCTAGGAGTAGAAAAATTCTTCAAGAAGAATAAGAGCGATTGATCCATTATGGGGGATTAAATGCCCTCTTGGGAACATTAAGCACTATATGTCGTGATTTTATAATCATCCCCCAAGCTTCCATCTGTAGTTCAACCTTTGAGTGAGCTCCAGCTGAAGGGTGGTTCAGTTCTCAGGCAAATACTATGAATCATAAGAGATAAGTTCACCCTCATCCTGGTGCAAATAGTTTTCTTATGAGTTAGGATTTGAGGAGCTAGCTTTCTCAGGGCCTGCTTATCCTTGTATTTTGGGTTTGATTTGTAAATCCTGAGATTATATTTTTCAAGCGATCCCTTTGGAATGAACACTTGGGTCCCCTGGAAGCTGAAAAGCATAGCACAAAACTCAACATCACTTAACAGGCTGTTTGGTTCTCAATCCCCACCTTCACTCTCCTCCCAGTTGTGTTTACCTGAAGAACAACAGAGCCCAGGAGGAGGCGGCAGCCAAAGACCTTTCTTCCAGGATTTTTATCAGGTCCCAGAAATGTTCTAGAAACCAAGGACACCCAAATCCATGCAAGGAAGCCAATTATGCTCAAGGAAAACCAGAACAAGACAGGGACCCTGCTCTACAGGCCATTAGCAGGTCACAGCAAATATCAAGACAATAGCATGAAGTGATTCAAGAATTTCAACTGGCCTTCCCTGCAAGCCCTTAACAGGGAAACCCAATATAGGGACCACCAGAGCTCTGCCCTCTTGCTGTTGACTGCACCATGTAAGAGCTAATTAGATTCTGCTTCCTCTGTGGTTGGTGTTATCTGTAAAGAATGAGCAGAACATTGGCGCTAGTGCCATTCAATCCATTATGAGTTCCACAGTTTGGCCATGAACAATGGTGGCTGAAATGGCATGCAGATGCAAAAAGCTAGGACCTGGAGGCCGAGGCAGCCCTGTGAGACTGGGTGCTGCTGGGCCATCCCTAAGAAAGGCCATGTGGAGAACCTTTCTGAGGAAAGAAAAGCTAGAAATCCGAAGGCCATTAGGTGCCCAAGTCTTAGATAATGTGAAGGCATGAACATGGGGTTGCAGATGATGGCGCCATCAAAGTAAACTAGTCAGCCTCTTGGGTGGCGTAGTGAAGCTTTAAGACATCATGCAGCCAACAGCAGGTGCCTGAGTGCAGTGTTTACAGGAAGAAAATCCATTCACCTATTTTATTCAGACTCCAAAGACGAGTCTATGTAATTAAGAGACTGAGAATTACACTAGGGACCTCCTATAGACATGTTTGTGAGAGGCTGCCCAAAGCCAATTAGCATAATAAATCAGACGTGCAGGAACAGTGAGCTCACATGTGTACATGTTTGTCAAAGAGGATCATGGTGGTCTTTCATCTTTCAATCCTATTCAGATCTTGGGCAAGTAAAAAGTCAACTAGAATTTTTTTTCTTAAATATACGTGTACATATGCATTAGAAAGGTAAAAATAAATCCTATAAAATGTACTTTTTATTCTCTCTCTTTCAAGAATTAAACTTACCACATATAAAAACAAGTTTTGGGCAGGGGGGTGTGGGTTGTATCTTTTTGGTTTTTGTTCTCAAAACCCAAGCAAACATCAGACTATGAAAAAGGAATTCAAACAGAGTTAGTTTCCATTCCTTCACCCACAGTGCACCAACTTTCTCCCCCAAGACTCACCTCTCTCTTAGCCAGGCACTGAAAAGACAAGAACTCTGCCTTCAGGTCTTCTCTGGGGATATGGGAAATGGCAGCAGAGCACCCTGGGCTCAGAAATCAGTCATGGCACCCGGCACCTGCGTGCCCTCACCAAATTCAACCTGTCCTCCCCAGCTCCATTGTCAGCCACTCTCCCTCCCACTGCCCTGAAGATGGAAATGTACCCAACCTTCAAGCCCCTGTCGGTCCAGCTCGCGAAGTTTCCGGCTGAAGATTCATTATCAGATGGATGAGATGTTCATCTCCACTTACACAGCCTACGGCTTGTGTGTGGAGAAAGATGTTGAGCCAACAAAATGATCTGCAACACAAAATTCTACTCTCCTCTTCACTCTTTATTGCTAAAGCACTTATTTCACTGGTTTCAAGCTGCTTTAAAAGGAGTGAATATGCAGGTAAGGAGATTGGACCGGGTTGGAGTGTCTGTCCCTGCAGCTGGGTCCTCCAGGCATGGACACATGTTTGTAAGATTAAAAAGACCATTGCAAGGCCAGGCATGGTGGCTCATGCCTGAAATCACAGCACTTTGGGAGGCTGAGACAAATGGATCGCTTGAGGTCAGGAGTTCAAGACCAGCCTGGCCAACATGGTGAAACCCCACCTCTACTAAAATACAATAATTAGCTGGGCATGGTGGCAGGTGCCCGTAATCCCAGCTACTTGAGAGGCTGAGACAGGAGAATCGCTTGAACCAGGAGACGGAGGTTGCAGTGAGCCGGGATCGCACCACTACACTCCAGCCTGGGCCACAGAGCAAGACTCTGTCTCAAAAAAAAAAAAAAAAAATGATGATGTTGCAGTTCCCAGATATGAGTCCGCAACATGCTCTTGCTATAACCCATTGGATTAAAAAGAGTCCTTCCCTTTGGACTGTGGGTCCAAAGCTTTGCCCCATTTTTCTCTTTCCATTGCTACTATTCAAATCCTGAATGGCAGTTTCTTGAGAGGTTAATTGGTAGTAGGCCAGCATTAAAAAAGTCAGAGGGGGCAGGAGTCCTGTGGTCATGGATTTCTGAAAAGCCATATTAACATATTAACAAAGTTAGATGCCTGTCTTTATTGCAGAGCTCGGGAGCCTTTTCTACGCTCAGGTCTTTTCAAATCCCCAGTGGAACTCTGCTGCGGTTTTTCTCAGTTTGACCTCAGCGCCTTTTGTTTCCTGTGGAATGTCATGGGATTAGCATTCCTGGCGGTACTTAGGGAGACATGTTTTCTAGCAGTCTGGGTCCCAGAAGGGCAAGTCAAGTAATCAATCAACAAGAAAGTACACAAATATGTTGCATGTCAAGTTATCATCAATTTTAAAATATTATTGATGACATTTTTAATCAGTTTATTTATTTGTACTAAACCTATTTCTACTTACAGAACTCCTCAATTCCCACTAGCCCCATTTCAAGTGCTCAGGAGCTCCATGGAGCTCCCTCGCAGCTCGATTGGACGTGCAGAGCTTGATGAAGCGGATAAAAGACACTCAGGTTTAGACCCTTGGAGGGAGAGAACACAGAGGGCTTTGTGACCTTTTAATGAGGCACAAAAACACCCCTGAGACTTTCCTTTTCCCACCCCTTCTCTATTAATCCTCTTCAACAACATGAATTTCCACAGTGAGTTGAGGGTTTACCCCTACCTGCCTCAAAGGAATTTTGAAAAGATTAAAAAAAAAAAAAAAGAAAGAAAGGAAAACAGAGCTTTGGCTCAGCACTCAGGACCCATCCGAGGTGGTCGCAATTAAAAACAAAAGCAGCCACTGTGATTGGTCTCACTTGTACCGTAGTAACATGTGATCTATTTCAGCAGCAGCCATAGCGTTTGTTTTGGAGACTTCAGTCAGAAAATAAACGTAACGCATGTGTGAAAAGAAAGAAGTGTGTGGAACTCGGAGAAAGTCTTATCTTCTGAACACGAGTGCCCGAGGACAGAAGCCCCCATCTTTTAACAAAGAAAAGTCCATTGTTCATCATTTTGTGAAATGTGAAAACTAACATGATAAACAATGATTCATTTTAATGGACTGAAAAATAACTTGCATAGACACTGGAGGCCAAGAAAAGAAAAAAAAAAAAAGAAAGAAAAGAAAAAGCATTATCCTTTTATCCATTTAAAGAAAAAAAAGCAAAATACATCCTATTATCAGCTCTCAATAGATGAACAGGCACTAAGCAGAAGCTTCGGGAAGGCTGCTGTTTCAGAAAAACTTAACAGGTTTTTGAAAAGAAGAATTCCAACCCCCTGAACTCCCACCCTCTTGTGCACACAACTGGAAGAATGGCACACCCAGATCTGATGGTGATAACTTTTATTTGCAAAGAGATGGGTTAGGAACGGCCAGCGGTTGGGGGCAGATTGGAGATGGGAGGAGAGCTCATCAAAGGGCTTCAGTTAGTTGTAGGTAAACAGGCCTTGTCCCCTGACACTGTTCTTTTCCTTGCAACCCATCAAAAGATGTATCTGAATGGTGACTGGACCCAGGGGTGCTGGGGCGAGGGTGTCAGGAAGCCGCTTTCAGGAATCAGCCATCCTACTGCTCTTCCTGTAAGGATTTCTGTTGCTCTTTAAATCAGTAAGTGGAGACTAGGGCATTCTAATGTTGCAAACATTAAACAGTCAAGCTACCACTTAAATTTTCTGCTGCAAAAGAAATTTCAACCACTGACTAGTTAAGGGGAAGGATCTCCCCTACCCTATAATTCCCATGGCTAAAACGCTTGACATTTCTTATTTCAGACTGGAAGATTCTGTAGGCTGTCCGATTTAGGTAAATGGCGCTGTCTTTGGCTTTCGTTATGATGCTCAGAAGTGAGAGCTGCTGCAGTTTGACCCCCTCTCCCTGGCTGTGGGCTTTGCTGTGACACAAGGTAAAGTGAGGAGTCAGTGCTGCCCTGGGACCCAGCCCAAGCATATGGCTACACTGTGGCTTAGTGTCCGGGGGCTGCTTTAACAAATGACCGCAAACTGGGTGTCTTCAAACAACAGAAGCTCTTCTCCTGGAGTTCTGAAGGCCAGAAGTCCAAAATCAAGGTGTGGGCAGGCTAGGTTCCTTCCAAAAGCTCTGGGAGAATGTTCCGGCTCTCTCCTGGCTTCTGGCAGTGCCAGGATTCCTTGGCTGTCTTTGGTTCCTAGATGCTGCACTCCAGTCTCTGTCTCCGTGGTCACATGGTATCCTCTCCGTGCCTCCCTGCGGCTTCATGTGGTCTTCTTATAAGGACACCAGTCACTGGATTTAGGACCCACCCTAAATCCAGGAGGACTTCATCTATGAGAATGGCATACACAAAGAGCCTATTTCCAAATAAGTTCACATTCTGAGGTTCTGGGTGGACAGGTATTTGTTAGGACACTATTTAGCCTAGTCCATCCTCATTCTTCTACTCCAAGATGAAATTTTCCTAAACTTCTAATAGCTATTTTTATCACTGCAGATTTTATTACCTTGACAAAAAAAAAACAAAAAAAACTCCGCTAAACTTTTCACTGCTTTTGAAAAGCATTGCCTGTGGCTCAGGGAGAAAGCTAGAAGAACATGAAGCAAGCAGCTGCATGACACGTCCACGGGACAGGCCTGGGCATGGAGCGAGGGCTCCAGAGACAGGAGGGAAGGGAGAGCTGACCTCGCCTGCCTTCGGTGGAAGGAGGAGGTGGGAGGCACACAGGGAGTGCCCGGGAGCCAGGTAGGCCTGGACTTGGATCCTGGGGGGTGTGAGGAGACCGAGGCAACCAGAAGGCGTCTCAGAGACAAGACCAAGGGCAAACTACGTGGAAGCTCTCAAGGCCATGTGCCGCCAGGAGCGTCACCTTCCCAGGAGCGTCACTAGACTCTGCTCTGCAGGGCTTTGGTTTAGTGCAGGGGCAGAGGGCTGGGTGGAGACAGGAAGCTTCAGAGCCACTCCACACCCACAAGGCCAGCCTCACTTCCTCACTCCTGACCCGTAGCTTGAGGCTGCCGGATCATCAGCCCTTCTGGGCCAGCAGTGTGTCTTGCTCTGCCTTTGCAGCTGCGTAAAGAGCGTGAGAAGCCACAGTAAATGGTAACTTAAACAGAAAGAGGAAGTCCCGGAAGATGGGCATGCTCTTTAAAGGAACATGAAGGAAGAGCCCACATAACCCCTGACAAAGACTCTCTCCTTGACCAAACTTTAGTCAGACTCCTCCAAGCCCTCAACCTTGGTCCCTGTCCTTGCTGGGCCTGCAAAGCTCAGTTTCAACAGGGATCCTGCTGTCAGTTTATTGAGAACCCTTGATCCTCGATATCAGATCACCCTGGCCTACCTTCAACAAGAATCCTTGTTGAAACCTGGATCAGTTTAGCAAGAAGCCCGACCCTGAAATCATCTTCATCTGGTGAAACCCCTCAACCTGCTGTAAATATCCCCTTGTTCTTTTTTTTTCTTAATTTTAATTTTATAATTTTTTTGGTAAGGAGTCTCACTCTGTGACTAGGCTGGAGTGCAATGGTCCAATCTTGGCTCACTGCAACTTCCACTTCTTAGGTTCAAGTGATTCTTCTGCCTCAGCCTCCCTAGTAGCTGGGACTACTACAAGCACCTGCCACCACCCCTGGCTAATTTTGTATTTTTGGTAGAGACGGTGTTTTGCCATGTTGGCCAGGCTGGTCTTGAACTCCTGACCTCAAGTGATCCGCCCGCCTCAGCCTCCCAAAGTGCTGGGATTACAGGTTTCAGCCACCATGTCTGGTGCCTTGTTCTTGTATTGGGAGTTGAGCCTGATCTCTCTGCCCTGTTGTGACACTGTGGACACCAATTGCAATTGTCCTGAATAAAGTCTTACCATTTTAGAAAGTATCGACCGGGCGCGGTGGCTCATGCCTGTAATCCCAGCACTCTGGAAGGCCAAGGTGGGCGGATCACCTGAGGTCAGAAGTTCAAGACCAGCCTGGCCATGGTGAAACCCCATCTCTACTAAAAATACAAAAAATTAGCCGGGCGTGGTGGTGCGCACCTGTAATCTCAGCTACTTGGGAGGCTGAGGAGGCAGGAGAATTGCTTGAACCTGGGAGGTGGAGGTTGCAGTGAGCCAGGATCATGCCATTGCACTCCAGCCTGGGCAACAAGGGCAAAACTCCGTCTTGAAAAAATAAAAAATAAAAAATAAAAGTATCAGAATAATTTTTTGTTTTACACCCTCCCCAGCCCCACCCCCTGTCAGGGAACATTTAAGTACAGAACTTAGAACTCCATACTAGACAAGCCTTCTCTTCCGTATAGAGAACTTCTGTCCTTGGCCACACTCTGGTGAGGTCTGTAAGTCCTGCCCCCGTTCCCGGACCCGCAGCCTTCTGTGGAAAGCCCCCACTCGTAGGTCGCCACAGCAGAAGCAATGGAGGAAGGAAGCCTGGCTGGCTGGTTCAGCACGTGGTCGACTGAGGTCTCATTTCCTTTTCATTTTCTTTCCAGTGCTCCTTTCAAAATCATATCTCTCTCCTTTAGAACACAACTTCTTTTTTTAACCCTAAGTCTAACGTGGAAAGAATTTGTTTAGTTTGCAGTGGTGCTGTGGCATGAACCTTCTGTGGGGTGATTCACATACCCCGGGCTGCTGACTTGCATGGGGCAGGGACAGGGAATGTTAGCTGGGGGAGCTTGCTTGCATGTTTTCATCGTAATGAGATGTAATAAAAAGGCAATATATCAGAATGTAAACTCTCAATATCAGTCTTTAATTCAGCAGTTTTTTTCTATAATAAAGTATATCCATGTTTGTTAACAGGAGGAGGTGGAAAAACATAAAGCACGTGCAAGTAAATGTTTAAATTACAGGTGAAACCACCTAGAGAAGCACTGCCCTAACATGCTTAAGGATGCTTGAGAAAGCCCTGAGCCTACAAAAAGGCGTAAGACCGTGGCAAGAATGAAGGAGTCAAGCAATGTGAAAAGCTCCTGAAGCCCAAGGTTCTCTTCCCCAGTTTTGAGTCATCTTAATATAGAGGACTGGGCTTGAGGACATTCCGTGAAATCTTGACTTACTGTGTTCTGTGTCTCAAAGCTCAATGTGAAGCAGATCTTACTTGCACTTCTAAAAGGAGGCATGTTGATGCAATGGAAAAAGATCTGATGCAGTAAGACTCAGAGCCCTAAGATTCTCTCTGTCACTAACTGCCACTACAAGCTTTTGTGAGGATGGAAAGGTCTTTGCAGGGTGCCTGTACACAGAAAGTGTCTCTGATAGGAAAGAACATGTTGTTGGAGCTTACCATTCTAGTGCAGCTTCCCTAACAGCAGCACCAGTGGGACCATCTGTCCAGATGCCCGGCCCTGTCCTTCTGAACATCCTAGATTCTTTGCACCCTCCAATCAATGTCCCATGAGTTGCTTTCCTGCTAAAGTTAGCCCAAGATGATTTCCCTTGCTTGCAACCTAAGAGTCTTGCCTTGGTCAGTTGCTGTATTTGCTCCCTGTGGCTGCTGTAACAAATCACCATCAACTTGGCAGCTAAAAAGCAACAAAACTTTCTTCTCTCACAGTCTGGAGGCCAAATATCCAAAATCAGTTTCACTGGGCCAAAATTAAGGTGTGGGTTGGGCAGGGCTCCCTCCTGATGATCTAGGGGAGAATGCATCCCTTGCTTCCTTCAGGTCCCGGGGGCTGCTGCATCCCTTGGCTTGTGACAACATCACTCCAATCTCTGCCTGTGTGGTCACGTCACCTTCTCCTCTCCAGTATGTGTTGACTCTCCTTCTGTCACTCTTTTATAAGGCCCTCTGTGATTACATTTAGGGAGTACCAGGCTAACTCAGGATAATCTCCCCATCTCAAAATCCTTAACCTAATCACACCTGCAAAGACCCATTTTCCATATAAGGTAACATTTATGGGACACAGGAGTTAGTACCTGGTATCTCTGGAGGTCGTTATTCAGCCTACTATAGTTGTCAGTTATGGAGTTTGCTTTTACAGCCTATATTTGCTGTGTTTTTTGATGATGACGCTTACAAGGCTCACTGTCTCAATATGGTGGGACCTGCAGGTACTAATGGCTATGACATCTGGACAGGAGACAAACAACAACAAGAATAAGTTTGCAGGAACCTGGAGCCACTGGCATCTGCTTGTTCTTCCTCGCCTTTTGCTGCTTATGGGTTGTTGCCTTGGCAGAGCCATGGCTAGAGGTTTAGAGTAACTCGTACACTTTTGACAAGAAAAGGTTTTGACCCTCATAGGGGAAAAAACCACAGCTCTTGTGTAGTTATTCCCATAGCTAATTTGAATACAATACGTCAAGAAACATGGCCCAAAACCTTTCCTATCAAAAGCATTTAGGTTATTATTCTTAAATGGTTTTGATGATTGTATATTTTACCGTGGAATCGTAACTATGCATTATTTAGATACATATTTCTGCTAAATTCCATTCTCTCTCTCCCTTAAAACTGTGAATGCATTTGGTGTTTAAGAACACATGCGTGCTCCTTAACCACAGGGGCATACGCTCAAGCCGCCCCAACAAACGCTGCTATTATTGAAATGGGTGCTCCAGAGTTAGAAAGTAGTTTTTATTTCTTCTAGGTGTTATGCAGACTTATGGTAATCATACCTTGTACTGTTAACCTTTGTATGTAATAGTAGCATTTGTTCCTATCTATTGAAACACTACTATGTCTGTGTAACATGCATTAAATAAAAATGGAATGTTGGTAATTTTCAGCTCCTTTACTTCCTGCCAGCTCTCCCTTTAGAAAGCTAACTGGAAGATAAATATATTTTTTTCCAGTGAAATATAGAATTTGTTTTTCAAAGAATGAAACAAAAGTAGGAGTTTATCGTTTTGTTTGAATTCAAATAATCTCTTAAATCTATGGGAGTAAATAGCAAATTTGAGGGCAGGGGGAGAGGGGAAGATACCATACAAATAGCTAAATTTATACCGAAAGTTCAATGGAAACAAAAACAGCATAGACACATGACAGGGGACGCCATCAGTGGACACAAAATTGGAGCTTTAGATAAGGGATATTTTTATTACATGTACACTCAATATACATGAGTTCACATGTATATTAGGCAGCCTTCTCCATCACAGCAGAGACTGCAGGCCCAGGAAACCTGATGGATTCATTCATAGGTTCACTCATTTGGTGATTTAGCTGATACTGAATGAGCACTGGTACAGAGCAGATACTAAAGGTAACAGGGTGAGCAAATAGGGTCTGTGTCTTCACTGGGAGGCATCCTTGTGAAGGAAACAGATATTAAGACCTTTCAGGTTCTTCTAATTGTATCCTAAGAGCAAAGAGGTGTCTCGGAGGGTATTGAAAGTGGTGAAGTAGAAACTGTCATGATCATATTTACATCTGAAATGAACACTTGGTTGGAAACCGGTGCAAGCCTAGGTGGACATCAGTCCAGGAAAGAAATGATGGTTATTGGGATAGAGGTGGTGGCAGTGGAGAAAAAGGGATAGATTTGAGAGATTTTTCTAAGGTAAAGTTCAGAGATCCATGTGACGGTTTGGCTCTGATTTGGGCAACCTTGATTTGCTGAAACTGTCTATGGTTACCTGTCGCTACAATGTAACCATTTATTCGCCCGGGCACAGTGGCTCACGCCTATAATCCCAGGACTTTGGGAGGTCGAGGTGGGCAGATCACTTCAGGTCAGGAGTTTAAGACCAGCCTGGCCAACATGGTGAAACCCCCTCTCTACTAAACGATACAAAGAAATTAGCCGGGCGTGGTGGCGCATGCCTGTAATCCCAGCTACTCAGGAGGCTGAGGCAGGAGAATCACTTGAACCCGGGAGGGGGAGGTTGCAGTGAGCTGAGATGGTGCCACTGCACTCCAGCCTGGGTGACAGAGTGAGACTCCGTCTCAAAAAAACAAACAAACAACAACAAAAAAAACCATTTATTATTACTCTGCTATGGTCCAAATGTTTGTGTCCCCCCACAAAATTCATATGTTGAAACCTAATCAACAGTGAGATGTGTTTGGAAGTGAAGCCTTTGGAAGGTGATTAGGTCATGAGTGTAGAGCCCCCATGAAAAGAATTAGTGCCTTTAGAAAAGAGGCCAGAGAGAGACCTCTTGTTCCTTCTGCCATATGAGGTTACTATGAAAAGATGATTGTCTATGAACCAGGAGTGGCTCTCACCAGAAACAATATCAGCCAGTACCTTGATCTAGGTCTTCCCAGAGTCCAGAACTGGGAGAAATAAATGTCAGCTGGGCAAGGTGGCTTAACACCTGTCATCCCAGCACTTTAGGAGTCTGAGGTGAGAGGATCGCTTGAAACCAGGAGTTTGAGACCAGCCTGGGCAACACAGTGAGACTCCCGTCTCTACCAAAAACTAAAAAATTAGCTGGGCGTAGTGGCACGCACTTGCAGTCCCAGCTACTCAGGAGGCAGAGGTGGAAGGATCACTTGATTCTGGGAGGTTGAGGCTGCAGTGAGCTATAATCATGCCACTGCATGCCAGCCTGGACAACAGAGCAAGATGCTGAAAAGAAAAGAAAAGAAAGAGGAAGGAATGAAGGAAGGAAGGAAGGAGAAAGAAGAAAGAAAAGAAAGGAAGGAAGGGAGGGAGGAAGGAAGGAAGGAAGGGAGGGAGGAAGGAAGAAAGGAAGATGCCTGTTGCTCATGAGACACCCAGTTGAGGGCTTTTGTTATAGTAGCCTCCATGGACTATCATCCTCCTTTTTTTTTTTTTTTTTTTTTTTGAGACGGAGTCTCGCACTTGTTGCCCAGGCTGGAGTGCAGTGACGTGATCTCGGCTCACTGCAAGCTTCGCCTCCCAGGTTCACTCCATTCTCCTGCCCCAGCCTCCCGAGTAGCTGGGACTACAGGTGCCTGCCACCACGCCCAGCTAATTTTTTGTATTTTTAGTAGAGACGGGGTTCATCCTCCTTTTACTCTCCCAAGTGTCCAGTTTGGACAATAAACTCTGTGGTCACTCTGCCTCTGAGGCATAGGGAGAGGGTGGTGTCGAGGATAAATGTGGGCCTGTGACTTACACTCTGGAAAGACAGCAGTGCCATTGCTGAGATAGTATGCATGGGTGGATGCCATGATTCTACAGGTTGTCACGTCACAACCACTTTCGCTCAGAAATAAGCCGGGCAGTGCTGCAGGCTTAAGGGTGTTGGAATTTGTCTGGTTGGTCAACTAAGCAACGGGCTGCCCACCAGCATCAGTAAAGACAAGCACCATCTATAACCTTGGGCAGTCCTACCAGCCCTAGTGTGTCATGTGGTCACCCAGGCTCCCTGCCGACTATGGCCACCGTTCCCTGGCCACCTCCTCACATAGGAAACACATGTTGGTCTCATGAGAATTGTATCCCCAAGCACCATTTCCTCTTGGGCTCATGTGGCCTGCACACCCATCCCTCCTGTCCATGCTGATGGTGGGAAGACGCTAGCGAGGATAATCCCATAGCAAGAATCTGAGAGAGCCCAGGTGGGCACAGAGGGACAGTGACAGAGCCTCCGAAAAGGAGGAGAACAGGGGAAAGGGAATTATTTTTGCAGGCAAGGGAACAACAGCACAGATTTTGACCTACTCAATTACACTCCAGAGTGTGCACTTGCTTCCTGCCCAGCCACATTCTCCTGGTAGACACCTGATCCCCCTGTGACTTCGCTGCTGAAAACTTTTCTTTCAGATCCCCTTTGGCCATTGTCTGGGTGCTCCCAAGAGTCTTCCCTTCAATCCTACTGGGGGTCCCCAGCACCCTGGGCCAGGCCTCTCCCCATATTACCAAAAAGGGTTCAAACTGTTCCCATGAAGCCAACTCTTCATATGGATGGGATGGGATCCCTCGTTACTGAAGAATCACCAAGTCAAGTGAAGCATGAGCTGTTCCCCTTGACCTTGTCTTCTAATTGATCATCGGTTTTTCTTATCAGTTTGTGAGATCTCCTTGTACAATAGGCATATGAATATTTTTGTCTGACATGTGCTGAAAATATTTTTCCAATTTATCACTTTTCATTTGATTAGGTGTATGGTATCTTTCCCTAGGTTATATATATATATATATATATATGATAGATACAAATGACAAATACATGAATATAATTGCACATACACAGTGATTTCCTGTCAAGAGTAATATAGTCTCCCCATGTATAGTTTTCCTTGTCTCTAATTTTATTAAATTGTGTTTACATTTAGATCTTGGATTATTCAAAACATCGCACTATTTCTTCAATCACTCCCAAAGACAATTTATAAAAAACTTAACAGAATCTGATATTTCTAAAATAAATCACTCCAGACCAGTATCTTTTCTCTCCACCCCTCACCGAGACGGAGTTTTGCTCTTGTTGCCCAGGCTAGAGTACAATGGCACGATCTTGGCTCACCGCAACCTCCACCTCCCGGATTCAGGCGATTCTCCTGTCTCAGCCTCCTGAGCAGCTGGGACTACAGGCGCCCGCCACCCCACCCAGCTAATTTTTGCATTTTTAGTAGAGGCGGGGTTTCACCATTTTGGTCAAGCTGGTCTTGAACTCCTGACCTCAGGTGATCCACCCGCCTTGACCTCCCAAAGTGCTGGGATTACAGGCATGAGCCACCACGCCTGCCCTCCAGACCAGTATCTTATGTGAAAATATTTTATTGTATTCTAAGAAAACAAGATTGAGAGCAGAATTGAAATTCTACCCCGCCTGCCCCCGCCCCCCGCAGGCTGACTTCTCCAGCACAGCCCCTCACCTCCATTTCCTCTCCTACCAAAAACATTAGTCTTTCTTCTATCCCTAGACCAGCCCTGGGTGGAAAGACTTATTCGGATCTAAATTTTGAGCTTCCTGTTTCTTGCGGAGTTGATTTACGTTTCACTTTTCTGTTCTAAAAGCATTATCTATTCATTGTAGAAAACAAAAGTGTTATAAATAGTAAAGCCTCCACAAGCGGACATTGTTGGAGGTCTCAGCATCTGACTCTCGCCTCCATCTCCAGAGCCATGTCTTTCCCCGTAGCTGCTATCCAGGGATGGGCCCCCAGCCCGCCGAGAGCCAGGAGACCAACGGTAGCCTTACCTGTGGGGAGAGGCAGCCCACTATCCTTCCAGTCCCTGAAAGCTACTGAAGGGAACTCTGCTGCTCTGGCGGTGGGGGGTAGGCAGCCTTCAGCAGAGGAGGCAGGGCAGCACCCAAGGCCCTGGAGGGGGAACCCAGAGATGCCCTTCAGGACATGTTGTCCCAGACCTGAGTGTCTGATCTGCTAATGCTGTTATGCAGAAGGTTGGGATGAAACGCCCCACTTGCCCCACTCACTGGAGCCACATAAACCACCTGAGCTGGAGCGGGTGTCTTAGTCGGGCCTGCCAGGTGGCTGGAGGATGTGGGAGAGGAGGCCTGCTTCTCGTCCAATTCTCCTCTTCTTTGTCCAGAAATAGGCACACAATGAGGAAGGCGTCTGATTCCAGATGGCAATTGTCCCAGAAAAGCAGGTGCCCTGCACCAGTGTGGACATGCATGCGCATTAATCTAGCCATTTCCATTCAGGGTGCCCACGCCTTACTTCAGAAGGGGGCTCAGTTCATGAAAGGTGGAAGGAACCCAGGAGCGGGAGAAAAGAGTGCTGATGAAAATGGTCTTTGTTCTAAAGAAAATCCCCAAGGGAAGCATCGTTTGGTCGCTTGGTTTTGAATGGATGGAGCACAAAGCAAAGCCTCAGATGTGGTCAGTTGGGAAGGGAAGCACTCAAGCTGAGACAAGCCACTGCAAGAAAGCAAGTGGAGGGGCAGGTTTTCTTCTGCCCTCTCTTCTTCAACCCAAGAAGAGCTACCACATATTCACTGAGTACCACCCTGTGCAGGGAGCAAGGGCTGGGTGGTGGGAGCCTGCAGCCAAAGGACACGGGCATCCTAGGGACAGAGAAAACAGTGCCAACCAGGGATCCCTGTCTACAGCGTGGGAGATGAGGAGCAGAGCTGCTTATGGTCCTGAAAGAAATGGGTCTGAAGCAGAAGAAGAACACTTCTTAGGGTGGCCACTGCAGCCCGTTTGAGGGTCTTTCCCAGCCTGTGAATGCAGACAGATCAGGAGAATTTATAGGAACCAAATACGGGGGACACCACTCTCCCCTGCTCTCTCTTCCACCAAGAGAAGCAGTGCCATGGTGCCTGTGGTTATGCATGCTTGAAGGTCCTCACTTGGTCTGCTTCTTGCACTCTCTGCTGGTGGTGTTCCCTCGGGTACCATGAGCAGGGGCACCCACAGGGAGAAGAGGCCAGGGTGAGGCTCAGAGCCAAGGCTGATGCCTATGAAGGGAGGCAGCTGAGTTGGAGGCCACAGCGTGGATGGTCCCTGTCACTGGGGAGGGACAGCATGTGGAGCTTTCAGCTTCTCCCAGGGTGGGTGGTATCACTCAAGGAGGAACCAACAAACCCCACTCTTTCCCTTTCCCTCTCTCTTGACTTCCCTCCATCTTTCTTACCTTTCTTCCCCCCGCAAACCTTTATTGAGCACCTACTATATACCAGGGGTGATTCTAGGAGCCGGGGAAAAAGCAGTAAACAAAACAAATGCTTGTCTTTGTGGTACTTATACTCAGATGGAGGACAGGTCAAAGAAATACTTTGATGTTAGAGTTCAAGACAGTGCACTGCTTGACAAAGAAAGAAGCAAGTCAAGGAGAGAGAGGGCAGGTGGAACCCGCCACAAAGTGGCCTCTGTGTGGAGGGATGTGGAGCGACTGCACCGTCCCACTCGGTGTCCGTGTGGGGTCTGGGGCTCAGGACAGCCAGCACAGGGACTCCAGGGCTCCCCCATACACTGTGTGGTGCCTAAGGGTTCCAGTGGGGCAGCCCAAGTGTGTGCACTGACCTGGGCCAACATGCAGGGCCCTGTTATGCAAGGGAGAAGGAGCAGGGACTCGGGGGGAGCGGCGCCACAGGCATTCTGGTGTGGTTTCTCCAGACCCGCCTGCCTGGGAGGAACCTGATTCTGCAGCTCGTCACCCCTCAGCCCTCCCACAGCCCCTGCAGCAACTTCCAGGTCTCTGCTCTGCAACAGTGGTACCTCCCCTCAGCATCCCTCCCCACCAGTCTCCTGGAAGCTTCTCAGGCTTCTCCACCTTTGCTCCTCCATAAAAAAAAAAGTCCCACACCAAGCTCACTGGGGCCATGCTGGACTCCACCGGGCACCATGAACTGACCCAAAACTGGAGCACCAAGTCCTTCAGCGTTGGCATTGGGCAGGAAAACAGGAGACAGGCAGGTCACCAAACCACCAGAATGCAGAGTTTAAAAATAGCCTCTCGGCACTGCCCTACTTCTCCTGAAATGATTCCATTGGATCTGGTCACATTTTTATATTCTGGAAGCACTCGAGATGGATTTTCACAATACACATTAAAGCCATCTATGTGGTATTTAACCAAAGACAGGCAGATTCATAAGGAATCAAAAAGGATTTTAAGACCAAGGAGTGAAGCGTGGGGAGACCTGGAAAACCGTAGTTGGGCAAAGGAAATGGATTTTTGTACTCTGGGTGTGTGTCAGAGGGAGGGGTGGGGAGGCACTGTGTCAGGAAGTGGAAATGGCCCTGCTGGGGATAGAGATAACAGAGCTCTGAAATCTGGGAGGCGAATCCTCCAAAGGCTCAAGCCATTGATCTGCAGAGACCCTGCAAGGAATAGCAGGCCTCCCCCAGCCCATTCCAGGAAAACACCAACTCCACCAAAAACCAATGTAGGAAATCCACAGGGTTCAGCCTTCTGCCTGGCCAGCAGTGGCCACTCACCCCACTACCACCATCGGTTTCTCCTAGTCTTTGCCAGCAATCCTCTGGTTTGAATCCAATAGGGGAAGGAAAAGGAAAGAAAACACAAGCTTTTTTTTTTTTTTTTTTGAGACAGTCTCGCTCTGTCGCCCAGGCTGGAGTGCAGTGGCGTGATCTCGGCTTACTGCAAGCTCCACCTCCCGGGTTCACGCCATTCTCCTGCCTCAGCCTCCCAAGTAGCTGGGACTACAGGCACTCGCCACCATGCCCGGCTAATTTTTTGTATTTTTTTAAGTAGAGATGGGGTTTCACCGTGTTAGCCAGGATGGTCTCGATCTCCTGACCTCGTGATCCACCCGCCTTGGCCTCCCAAAGTGCTGGGATTACAGGCGTGAGCCACCATGCCCGGCCCACAAGCATTTTTATTCAACAGATTCTTACTGAGTGCTCCTGCGTGCCAGTGCTGTGGTGGACATGACAGCAGAGGATAGATGGACAATGCTGTCCTCTCTTGGACTTTGCACTCTGGGGCCACAAAGCAGAGCAAAACAGATAATACGTCTATAAAAAGTCAGGTGGGGATGAGTGCTACGAAGGGCAATGGGCCAGAGTGAAGGATAGGATAGACGGGAGCCCTCATGGAGGGTGCTCTTGGAAATCAGAGACAGGAGAGCCTGTGAAAATTGATGTCTGTTTTTCTTTAGTCTCTGCGGGGGAGGAAAATAAGCACTCTTTCTCCTGCATGGGTCATGGCTGATACTCTTACTGGAAAGGGGTCCGGATCCAGTCTTGGATCTCAAGAAAGAAATAATTCAGGGGAAGTCCACAGAGTAAAGTGAAAACAAGTTTATTAGGAAAGTAATGGAATAAAAGAATGGCCACTCCACAGACAGAGCAGCACCAAGGGCTGCTGGTTGTCCATTTTTATGGCTATTTCTTGATTATATGCTAAACAAGGGGTGGTTCATTCATATCTCCTCTTTTTAGGCCATATAGGGTGACTTTCTGATGTTGCCACGGCATTCGTAAACTGTCCTGGTGCTGGTAGCAGTGAGGACAACCAGAGGTCACTTTCGTCACCATTTTGATTTTGGTGGGATTTGGCCGGCTTCTTTACTGCAAACTGTTTTATCCACGAGGTCTTTATGACCTGTATCTTGTGCCGACCTCTCATCTCATCCTGCGACTTAGAATGATTTAACCATCTTTGAATGCAGCCCAGTAGGTCTCAGTCTCATTTTACCCAGCCCCTATTCAAGATGGAGTTACTCTGATTCCAATGACTCTGACAATACCTCCACAGGAAACCTTGATTCCACTTCTCATGTCCTATAGGGTGTACCTTCATCATCTTTCTCCCTTTAGCACTCTTTTTTTTTTTTTTTTTGAGACAGAGTTTCACTCTTATTGCCCAGGCCGGAGTGCAATGGTGTGATCTTAGCTCACCGCAACCTCCGCCTCCTGGGTTCAAGCGATTCTCCTGCCTCAGCCTCCCCAGTAGCTGGGATTACAGGCATGTGCCACCACGCCCGGCTAATTTTGTATTTTTAGTAGAGATGGGGTTTCTCCATGTTGGTCAGGCTGGTCTCGAACTCCCAACCTCAGGTGATCTGCCCGCCTCGTCCCCCCAAAGTGCTAGGATTACAGGCGTGAGCCACTGCGCCCGGCCTAGTACTCTTTTTCAACTTCTCCCTACCCAATGGAATCTTGCTCACTCCCAGTGAGCATGCTCAGATTTCTATCATCTTAAAATATTGAGTGCTCTGGTGCATCCGTGTGCACACGTGCACACACATGTGCACTCACATGCCCCACAATTGACTCCAGCTGTGACTCCATTCTTTGCTCAAGCAATTGTCTTGCGTTCTTGCCCCCATAATCTTCCAAACTTGATTACTTTTTTATACTTTATTGATTATTATAAAAGCAGTATATACTTAATTTTTGAAAAAAATGTGAAATTAGCAGTATACAGGAAGAGAAAAAGATGCATGCATTTCCACCATTGTCTCTGGGCCCAGCACACACAGGCACGAGCCATTCATACACATCACCCACCTCCACATCCTCCTATGCCTTTGTTCCTATGTGAAATCCCATTGTTACACAGTGTTGTCTTCTGTTCTACTTAAAATTGTATCATAAGCATTGTCACATTTCAGCAGCAATTTTTTGTATGAAAATGTAAGTGGCTTTAAAAAACTATTCCCTCTAGTGGATGTCTCATACTTGACTTAAACATTCCCTTGAAGGTCACTTAGTGTGGCTGCCATGTGTTCTACGTAAAAATATCAGCCATCAATGGGTGGGTGCGTAACCCCCGTCCTCATTTCAGCTTTCCTTAGGATATGTTTCCAGAGCAGGATTACTGAGTCAAAAGCTATGAGCTTGTTGAATGCTGTTGACACCAATTGCTGGATTTCTTTCCAGCAAAGTTGGCTGGTTCACATCCACATCAGCAGTTTCTGACTCTCAGAAGCCTCCCAACATAGCTGTGGACACCCTTTCCCATTGAGTTCATATCACTGCCCTTTCCTTATCCAGCCTATATTGGTCCTTTATTAGGGAAACTAACCCTTTGTCTTTCACATTTGTTACCAATATGCCCTCACTTTTGTTTTCTAATGAATTTTATTTACTGTAGATATATAATCAAGTCTATTATTTTTAAATATAAACTAGAAATATTTTTTCCTAATTTTCTGTGATTTTCTTGTTTTAAAATGCATTTGGGATTTAATTTTCCTGTGTCATGGGAGAAGAGCTAATTTTATCTCCCAAACAGTCAATTATCACACCCCACTTATAGAATAATCTGTTGTTTATTCATTGGTTTGTGATGACTGTTTTTAAAAATGATATGAGTTCTTACACATGGTTGGCCTGTGTCTGGCTTGTCTTTAGCTCTGTTGATTTGACTTTTCTTTTGTGAGAAACACGATGACTTTCTTTTCTTTTTATTAAGTTTTAAAATTTAGTAATATTTTTTACTTTGTTTTTAAAAACGTATTTGCCAGGCATGGTGGCTCATGCCTGTATTCCCAGCACTTTGGGAGGCTGAGGTTGGAGGATCCCTTGAGCCCAAGAGTTCAAGACCAGGCTGGGCAACATGGGAAGACCCTGTCTCTATGAAAAGCTTTTTAAAAAGTTAGGTGGGAGTGGTGGTGTGTACCCGTGGTTCCAGCTACTTGGGAGGCTGAGGTAAGAGAATTATTTGAGCCCAGGAGGCCGAGGCTGCAGTGAGCCATGCTCAAGCCACTGCACTCCAGCGTGGGTAAGAGTGAGACCCTGTCTCAGAAACAAACAAACAACAACAACAAAAAACCATTTGCAGTCATTTATTTTCTTTTTCTTCTTTTTTATTTTGCTTTAAGTCCCAGGATACTTGTGCACAATGTGCAGGTTTGTTACATAGGTATACATGTGCCATGGTGGTTTGCTGCACCTATCAACCTGTCATCTAGGTTTTAAGCCCCACACGCATTAGGTATTTGTCCTAATGTTCTCCCTCCCCTTGCCTCCCCACCCCCTAACAGGCCCTGGTGTGTGATGTTCCCCTCCTGTCGTCCACGTGTTCTCATTGTTCAACTGCCACTTATGAGTGAGAACATGCAGTGTTTGGTTTTCTGTTCCTGTGTTAGTTTGCTGAGGATGATGGCTTCCAGCTTCATCCATATTCCTCCAAAGGACATGATCTCATTCTTTTTTATGGCTGCATAGTATTCCATGGTATATATGTACCACATTTTCTTCATCCAGTCTATCATTGATGGGCATCTGGGTTGGTTCCATGTCTTTGCTATTGTCCTGCAATAAATGTACATGTGCATGTGTCTTTATAGTAGAATGATTTATAATACTTTGAGTATATACCCAGTAATGGGATTGCTGGGTCAAATGGTATTTCTGGTTCTAGTTCTTTGAGGAATCGCCACACTGTCTTCCACCATGGTCGAACTAATTTACATTCCCACCAACAGTGTCAAAGCGTTCCTATCTCTCCACAGCCTCACCAGCATCTGTTGTTTCTTGAGCCGTCATTTATTTGTCAAGCTTATAATAGAATGATTTTATCAAGATGAAGTGTTGGTTTGAGATTTTATTTGGATTTTGTTACTCATAAAGTAACTTGAGAAAAATTTATTTTGTTGCATCATCAGAAATGCGATACATTACTCCATTTATTCAAGTTTTATTCTTTATGTCTCATTATAATTCCTAGTTTTTCTTTTTTCCAATGTGCATCTTACTGATGTTATTCTCAGCTTCTGTACATTGGTGCTATTGAGAACAGTATTCCTCTCCCACATCCGTTCTATGCTGATCTGATGCAAAGCTGTTGTTTCCCATGTTTGTATTGTATTGATTGCCTCTTCTTAATTCTATAAGACTTTCAGTGGATTCTCTGAAGTTTTCTGGGTATATTATTACACATTAAAGGAAATCAGAATATTTTACCCCCAAATATATTGCTCTGACATATTTCGAGATGGCTGCCACAGGGCTGGCAGACTGAAGTGGCTCTACAAAGTGGTCTTTTGTGGGGAAAATTTGCATCTGGAGATCTTTAGTGAATCCCCAGAAATGCAACCAGTCCTGCCCTAGTCCTCATGTAGGAGAGATTAATTTGGGAGATTCTGACACCGTGAAAGATCTGAAAGAAACATTCATCATCTATTCTCTCTGAGAGCTGCTACCTGTGAGGTTTCATCTACATAACAAGACCACCTTTGTCAGCCAGTCCTCCTCTTCTCCTCCTCCCATCATCTGTCTTGCCAATAGAACATGATTGACTACCATAATTGTTTTTTGGCCATGCTCTGAGCCTCCATTCATTCTGTAACCTCAAGATGGTATATTTAAGCTTCTGTACTTTGTTGGGGGTGGGCTCTTTATTCTGAGGGCTCCTGTGTATACACACGTTGAATAACTTTGTATGCCTTTTCTCCTATTAATCTGCCTTTTTTTTCAGACAGAGTCTTGCTGTGTCGCCCAGGCTGGAGTGCGCTGGCCTGCTCTCGGCTCACTGCAACCTCTGAATCTGTCTCTCTGGTTCAAGGGATTCTCATGCCTCAGCCTCCTGAGTAGCTGAGATTACAGGCACACACCACCACGTCCAGCTAATTTTTGTATTTTTAGTAGAGACAGGGTTTTGCCATGTTGGCCAAGCTGGTCTTGAATTCCTTACCTCAACTGATCTGCCCACCCCAACCTCTCAAAGTGCTAGAATCACAGGTTTGAGCCACAGTGCCCGGCCTTAATCTGTCTTTTGCGAGTTGATTTTTCAGTGAAACTTCAGAGGGCCAAAGGTTTCGCTTTGGCCCCTACAACATATATGCAAGCAATAATTATTTTGCATCTTTAATCCAGATCATTATTAACTTTAATTTTTGGAGTCTGCTTAATAGTGATGAAAACTTCCAAGAAAATTCTGATGGTCAGAGTGAAAAAAGATTAATGTGGGATTTTACTGGATATTTTTCTAACATTCATGCATGATTATGACCAAGATTATGGTTTTCATAATGAGGTTACTATGCCACATGTATATACTTTTTTTTTGTTTGTTTGTTTGAGGCAGTGTCTCACTCTATTGCCCAGGCTGGAGTGCAATGGCATGAACTCAGCTCACTGCAGCCTCCACCTCCCAGGTTCCAGCAATTCTCCTGCCTCAGCCTCCTGAGTAGCTGGGATTACAGGCATGTGCCACCACACCCAGCTAATTTCGTATTTTTTGTAGAGATGGGGTTTCACCATGTTGATCAGGCTAGTCTCGAACTCCTCACCTCAGGTGATCCGCCCGCCTCGGCCTCCCAAAGTGCTGGGATTATAGGTGTGAGCCATCGTGCCCGGCCTATCTATATAATTTCTAATATTATCCTTCCTTCTCTGATGTAAACCAAGTAGAACAGTGGGCACCAAAGCACAGTGCATGGCCTAGCCCCTTCATTGACGGAGGGATGGAGAGCAAGTCACTTCTCTCCTGTAGCTGGGGAGATAAAACAGGGAAGACCAAGAGGACTCAGGGCAGGCAGGCCTGGAAGCCTACTGAGGAATAACAGTAATTATACTCAGCATTAATATTATGTATTGAGTTCTTCCTACACATAACGCTAAGTGCTTTACAGATCTGATCGCTGAAACAGCCCTGTGAGGTGGGCATCCTTATCTCCAGTGTACAGAGAAGAATCTGAGGCTCAAAGAGGCTGAATCATGGCCCCACGTTGGAACAGTCCTTGGAGGCAAGAGCACAGCTAAGTGCAGGCCTGCCTGGATCTCCAGCTCAGCTGTCAGACTATGCAAAAGGCCTCCAAAAGAGAACAGAGGCTTTGTGTTTGCACGTGGACTAGCACAGCTCACCAGGATCAAAGGCCAAGGAGTCTCTGGCAGGGATTAGGCCATCCCCCACCTACCAGCAGGTATTCCCAGGAAACCATTGAGGAAGCAGGAGACAGCCAGGCCAAGCCGGCCCATCGAAGGGCAGACATGCTAGAGTCTCTGTTCTTTGGAAGGCACAAGCAAAGCGAGCCTGTCACCTGCTGACTTGGAGGAGAAAGGGAGAGAGGAACCCAGATAGTGTGGAGGCTGCAGTGGATCCACTTAGTGGGCGATACGTGTCTCTCCAAGGGGGCTACATTTGGAAGGGGCCACAGTGCAGCGGGCGAGAGTGCTGCATTTCTGTGTGATGAGTTTGAGGCAGGCATCCACATAGACTTGTACCAGAGGCACCTGAAGATGCAGACAGGGAACTGGGACACAGGTTTCCATAAGGATGAGGATGGATGAGGATGTTTCTTCCCGCCCAAGTCTAGTCCCCTCCACCTCCCACCATTTGGCCTCAGAGGGCCAGCTTCCTGAAAATAATTTCCAAACGGACCCTGACCCACTCTTTCTTAGTCCTTGCCTTCAAGAATGTGGGGACCATCTGTGTCAGGCCAGAGTCTACAGTGACGGATGTTGTGATTTGTTGCTCCAGGAACGGGGCTGCATGTGGAAGCCCTTGCTGGTTTCTGTGTTGAGCGGTTTACTGCAAAGTTAGCTCTTACCTCCCATGCTCAAAGGCGATCGACCAGCTTGAAGTGGACTGATGACTATTTAACCTCTTAATAGACTTCAGACGGACAACGGGCTTTCCCTGAATACCTGGCACACGGGGAATATGCTGTGAAATTTGCTGAGTGAGTGAGTGGGCAAATGAAAACATGGTCTCCTTCTACTTCCAGTTTGAAAGGAAGTTAATCTAACTCGGGTGGTGTCCATGAGATGTGAGCATGCCTCTCTGTGCTTTCAAAAGTTCCACAAAACAGGTCAGGCACGGTGCTCACGCCTGTAATCCCAGCACTTTAGGAGGCCAAGGCGGGCGGATCACCTGAGTTCAGGAGTTCAAGACCAGCCTGGCCAACATGGCGAAACCCTGTTTGTACTAAAATTACAAAAATTAGCCGGGAGTGGTGGTGGGCGCCTGTAATCCCAGCTACTTGGGAGGCTGAGGCAGGAGAATCGCTTGAACCCGGGAGGCAGAGATTGCAGTGAGCCGAGATTGCGCCACTGCACTCCAGCTTGGGTGACGGAGCGAGACTCCGTCTCAAAAAACAGCAACAAAGAAACCTTCCACAAAACAAATCCTAAATTGGATTCTATGTCTCCAACAATAGGGAAATGATTAAGTAAATAACGGAAAGAGTTATACAACATTTTTTCAGGAATTTTTAGTGACAGTTAAAAACTTATTAAGTAAAAAAGTCAAGAAATAGATTTTAAATTACACTCTGATATCAAGTATGTAAAACACTTATGCTGAGAAAAAGACTGGATATAGCAGAAGGGTGGTCACCGATAAGGGGTGAGGCTTCCGGAGGATCGTGCGAAGTTTTCTGGGTACTTCCTGGTGTGACGCTGCATAGTGATGTGGTGAAAATGGCAAGTTCCTGGAGGGCTTGAGGTGGGTGGAAGTTTGCATTCTCAGGGAAATGCTTGGAATAGTCGTTGATTGGATGGTTCTCTACATTCTTCAGATTCCTCTGCAGAGTGCATTTCTTTCTCCCTCTCTCAAAGTGTGGATTAAATTGTTTTGAGCTGGTTTTGTCTGCAGCAATTAGTTATCTTAACTAAAGCTCATAAAAAAACAACAACAGAAAGGTAACATGAATGAAGGCCATGTCCTAAAGTTGTACAGGAAACAGACTAGGGAGCAGAGAAACGGGTGTGGGGCGGAGGGGAAAGGAAGGTGGGGGTGGAAGGTGGGGTGGAGGAGTCCAGCCTTCCCTTCCAGCAAACAGTAAGCAGCTTTGAGAAATGGGGAGGGGGCAAACTGATCTGAAATGAAGAGGATGGCCTCAAGGATGGCCCAGCTAGAGAGAGACCCACCATAAGTACTGCTCTAAAACCTTGGCCACTCCAGCTCTGGCCCCGCCATCAGCAACTGCTGGGTGTGTTAGAGACCCAGGCTCTCAAGCCCCAGCCCCAGGGCCCCAGAGCCTGCTTGTCAAAGGATTCTCCCTCGGTGAATTTGTGTGCATCAAATGAGTTTGATGCAACCCTTTCTGAGAGAGGGGGTTTCAGGCTCTGCCTGCCTGGAGGGTGAGAGGAAGTGGCAGCTCAGAAAAATCTAGAAGGGAGAGACGGGGGTCAGAGGATTTGCCGGACAGCCTGGCACCCAGAAGCAGCAGTGGCTGGCTCATGGTGCAACCCAGGGAGCCATGTGGACGATGGGGTCGATTGTTGACATCAGCACTGAGACGAACCCACCCAGCCTCATGTTAAACAATCAAATCTTAAATGATTGAGAGGTGCTTCACACTAATCTTGGCTCTTGAACAGTGGGGGCTGTTCCATAGGCTCAGTGTAATCAAGAATCATTCTTGCTCTGCTTCCGAGGGAGAAGGCGTTCACCTCTGCATTAATTTCAGCTGTGTGGGGAGACGTGCTCCCTGAATTTGGTTCCATCCTGAGTGGGAGGGTTGCTAGTCTCAGAAGCCTCTTCTAAGTTTCTCTTTTGACATCTGCTTTGGGCAACAACATGGCCACTGCTTCCTAGAGAAATGGGAAGAGAAACCCTCACAGTTCAGAGGGTGAGAGTGGCTGATCCCTCCCCCATCTGTTGACACTCCTGGAAACTTTTGGGGACTTCTGGGGATGGGGCAGAGGGGCCTATTGCAGAGGGTACATCTTCCCACAGGTTAGATGTTGACGCTCCAGCTGCCCCTGGCCACCGATGGCAGATGATTTCCTGAGCCAAGGATCCTTTCTTGGATTCTGGGTCTCCCTCACTTAGGAAGTAGAAGAGAAACTTTCATTTCCAAAGTGTTACTCTGCCATGAAATCCATCAATGTGGAGTGGCAGAACAGAGAGCTCAGCAGTTCCATTATCTGATGGAGCTCAGACAGTGCAGAAAAACAAAGTGTTTCCCTTCTCAGTGTGTGTGTGTGTGGCTTTTTTTTTTTGGGGGGGGGGTGGTCATTGTTAAACTGACACAAGGTGACCTGATAGGGGAAGGAAGATCTGTGATTCATTAACACTCTCTCCCTTCATCTTTGTAATCGTCATCATTTTCATTTCTTCCAGCAGTCTCAGGACCTGCCTCCAAAGGCAGGTCCTGAGGGTTCACAAGAAACCTAGAGCTGGGCGAGCTTGCTTCCCTCCTGCTGGGTTCAGCCCTAACTGCCTCTTCCTCAGCCCCGCCCTGCACACCTGCAGTTAGGGCACCGAGGCAGCCCTAACGCTTCTGAGGAAGTGGGTTTTGTGGGTAGGTGGAGTTCTATGTCCCAGAGGGTGAGGAACTGGGCACCACACCCATCCCTGTATGCAGTGGGTAGAGTGGCCTAGAGGGCCAAACCTGGGAGGAGGGTAGGGAGGACCCTCTCTGGCCCATCCTCTGCTTCTTCCCGCATGCCCCTGAGGGCTGCGTTGATGTCCTCATTTCCATATAACTCCAGTGACACAGAAGCTCCTTGTGAAGTGAGCTTTCCTGCCTAATTGAAAGACACCAGCAGAACATGACTCAGGGTGGCAGTCGTCCTGCCCTGGCACTAGGCAGGTCACCCAAACCTCCTTGTTCCTCCAGATGAAGATGCTAAAGCCTGGCCAGGTGAAAGAGGAAGAGGCAGGTCACCCAAACCTCCTCATTCCTCCAGAAGAAGATGCTAAATCCTGGCCAGGTGAAAGGGGAAACTCAACCCCAAGGAGTCAGGTCCAAAGGGACGGGTCCCCAGGGACTAACTGGGACAGGGGTCTGAAGGGACCACCAGCAGGTCAACCCACCCACCAGCCTCACCCGTGCTGTGTCCCCAGACATGAAGCCAAGAGAGCAAGTTCCCTAAATTCCCTTCCCACCTCTGCCACGACCAGCTGGGTCTTATAGTCACTCCCTGCCCGGCCTCATTCCCAATAAAACCCAACCACCAGGGGCCCCGCCACTGGCTACCACTTAGCTCGCTCTCACCCCCATCCCTGTGACCTCCCCCAGAATCTCCTATGGCTTTTCCCACCACCCTCCAACCATTACCAGTGAGGCTTGGGCCCAGGGTGTGTCCGGGCCTCTCTTGCCACCCACCACCCTTCATCTTTGTAGCCCGCTTTCCTGCAAGAGGGAATTCTCTCTTCCCATTACAACAGGGCCTGTGGCTTGAGCACCCAGGGTGCATGTGTACAGACTTGGGGAGCAGGGGCTCAGCTCCAGGCACTTCTAGGACCCTGGACCCTGAAATTTATATAGTGTTCCTTTATCTGGTAGCTCATGTCACTCATTAAGAGTTGTTCCATTTCTGGTGGGGTGCGGTGGTTCACGCCTGTCATCCCAGCACTTTGGGAAGCCGAGGCAGGCAGATCACCTGAGGTCAAGATGAGCCTGGCCAACATGGTGAAACCCATCTCTACAAAAATACAAAAATTAGCTGGGCATGATGGCAGGTGCCTGTAATCCCAGCTACTCAGGAGGCTGAGGCAGGAGAATCGCTTGAACCCGGGAGGCAGAGGTTGCAGTGAGCCGAGATCGCGCCATTGCACTGAGCAACATGACTAAGCAAGACTGTCTCAAAAAAAAAAAAAAAAAGAGTTGTTCCATTTCCTAATTTTGAAGGGTTTCATTTTACAAAGATTTGGAATGTGTATTTCTCCCAGAACAATAATTTCTTTTTATTTGTTGAAATGGTGTAAGCAGAAGTGTCATGCTAAATGTCTGTACATGGTTTCCATTCTCTTATGTAAACTCCATTTTTATAAATAGAGAATTCAATTTGATTCAACTTTAAACAGATGCTACAGTTAATTTTGAGCAATTGTTAATATGTGTGGGAACATGCTTTGAAAATAAGTCCGTGATCCCAATCTGTGCTCTGAGTGTTTTCATTGAATTGAGCACAGAAGTCCAATTCTGGAGAGATGAAAACACAACAAAGCCAAGATGATTTGAAACTGGCCTTATCTAAAGTTTTGTTCCTTTAAAAAATCAAAACGTCATTTATTTTCCTTCCACCCCAGCCCCCGTCTTCCCAGCTTTGATCTTTCTACTTGTCAGAATATTGCATCAATGACACTGGAAATATTTATTCAACAAATACCTATTAAGCCCCAATTAGAGGCTGGATGTTGCATTTGGTCCTGAAAATTAGACAAATACGTTCCCTGTTCTCAAGGAGCTTATAGGCCTGGGTAAGGTAATTGCAGACACCTGAAGTATAACATACACCTGAAGACTCTAACAGGGACACCTATCTCCCGAAAGGATCGAGGCATGGCCCTCCAATTAGGTTGACTTCAAAGTGTGAGGGGAGCCCAGGGGATTTCCAGTCCTAGGAAAAACCTTCACAGCCACCAAGAACTTTCATGTTTTAGTTTTCAATTAAGCCCTTTCCTTACATAAATTTTCTTCTGGATTCAAAGTCATTCAAAATGATGATTCACTCTACCTGGCAAAATATGCCGTCTTTAAAATTATTAATATAATTGTATCAGTTTTCTATTGCTGCTGTAGCAAATTACCACAAATGTGGTGCTTAAAACAAACCAAATTTATTATCTTAGAGTTCTGAAGGTCAGAAGTCTGGCATGAGCTAAAATCAAGGTGTTGGCAGGGCTGTGTGTCCTTTTAATATTTTTTATTTTTGGTGGCCTTAACAGAGGGTTGATATTTTGTCACATCTCATCGACCTGTCTATTATTATTATTATTTTTTGGTGGGGGATGGGGACAGGGTCTCGCTCTGCACTACAGGCTGCAGTGCAGACAAAATTGTGGCATGGCTCACTGCAACCTCAACCCCCCTGGGCCCAAGTGATCCTCCTACTTCGGCCTTCTGAGTAGCTGGGACCCCAGACATGCACCACCATGCCTGGTTAGTTTTTTATTTTTGTAGAGTCAAAGTCTTACTATCTTGCCCAGGCTGGTCTCAAACTGCTGGACTCAAACAATCCTCCACCTCAGCCTCCCAAAGTGCTGGGATTACAGGTGTGAGTCACCGCGCCCGCCCACCTGTCTCTTCTGCCTCCTTCCGCATTTAAGGGCCCTAGTGATGGTACACCTGCATAACCCAGGTGATTTCCCTATTTTAAGGTCAACTGATTGACAACCCTAATTCCAGCTACAAACTTAATTCTTTACCATGTCATATAACACATTCATAGGTTCCTGAAATTAGGACATGGACATCTTTTGGGGGCAGGGTGGGGGGATGCCATTATCCTGCCATCTACAAGAATATAGTTGTAATTATGTGACGTGCTGACCTCCTGTCTCAGCATCATGCTGTGCGGTGCAGACCTGAAGCTGTGAGCACACACCCTGTTGACGGAAGCAGCCGCTCTCCTATGTGATGAGGCTGTGGTTATCATTCTCCTCATCCTGATACCTCTTTTCTCTCACTGGGGATCCCTGCCAGCTTCTGCAACACAAAACTTCATTTTTATCTCCTAGTCTATTTGTTTTGTTCCCTAATAATGTCGGGTTTTTTTCTATGGTTTCTAAAATTCTTGCCACTGTTCAGCCATTTTTATACTTCTTGGAACTTTTTGAATTTTGAATAAGTAAATAAATGCTCAAATATGCATCAAACTCTGTAAATAAACAGAAGCAATTACAAGTTTTAGAAATAGTCTTATGCATTATGGTAAACTCAAACTCAGTGACGTGTTTGAAGTTACTTGTCATAGAATTCCTCAGCTCAGATTTAAGCTCAATTCACATATACAGTCCCTACCTTCTGGTTAATGTCAACATTCATGAATAGGCGTGGCCTTTGCAGGAGTGAGCTCAGGGAACCATGCTCCATGAAGCTCAGGGAAGCATACCTGAGTGTCCTATGCATGGATGACAAAAATCATTCCTTCCTTCCTAACATAATTGACCTTTACACTTTATGAGTAATGGTTACATGAAAAACACACCCAGCTGAAGCTTGGGGAAATATATCATGACTCACTCATCCATTCCACAAATACTAATGCAAGCTGTTGGCATGCTTGTATCTTAATATCAGGGCCACGTGCTTCTTTGCTGTCCGGGCTCTATCTGATCTCAAGGAACAGAGACAGCATGGCAGAGGTTACCATAGTTAATGGTGTTCAGCTTGTTTATCTTAAAGATATCTACAGGTAGAAAGAAAAAAAAAAAGGAAACCAGTATAAATGCTCCTGTAGAGGCTGCACACAGTAGAAATCAGTCCAACCTCATATAAACTGATTGACATATAGGCTTAAAGTTGGTCCTCATAACCCAGTTATCATGGGAAGCCACAGAAGTCCATGTCTCCTGCTTGCTATCTGAGCACACTTCCATTTAGATGAGTTGGTACTCGCCGGGTGCGGTGGCTCATGCCTGTAACCCCAGCACTTTGGGAGGCTGAGGCAGGTGGATCACGGGGTCAGGAGTTCGAGACCAGCCTGACCAACATGGTGAAACCCTGTCTCTACTAAAAATACAAAAATTAGCCAGGTGTGGTGGCGCTCACCTGTAATCCCAGCTACTCAGGAGGTTGAGGCAGGAGAATCCCTTGAACCTGGGAGGCAGAGGGTGCAGTGAGCACGGAGATCACACCACTGCACTCCAGCCTGGGCGACAGAGTGAGATTCCATCTCAAAAAAAAAAAAATGACTTGGCAATCCCCTATCTTCACTTCTGCATGTGCCACTACCCACTAAATACAAATACATTATTGCTCAAGCCATGTCAAGCGGATATTTGCTGTTATTTGCAATCATACTCATTCTGCTGGTACACTTCTATTTTTTTTTTTTTTTTAACGGTTAAACCGTCCCTATTTAGGACCACCTGAATGTGATAGTCCTGGGGCGATCATGTAAAAAGTAGAATGGAATCATGCTCATGGAAGCCATCTGAACGTTCAATATTAACGCAAGGCAGGGCAATTATTACTACTCAAGCATCCCCAGAGGGACAAAGGGAACCTCCAGGGACCACTCAGGAAATAATTAAGAAATGCTGGAGGAGTAGCTTTTTTTTTTTTTCAAGACAGAGTCTCATTCTGTTGCCCAGGATGGAGTGCAGTGGCGTGAAGTGATCTCGGCTCACTGCAACATCCGCCTCCCAGATTCAAGCAATTCTCCTGCCTCAGCCTCCCGAGTAGCTGGGATGATAGGCACATGCCACCACGCCTGGCTAATTTTTGTATTTTTAGTTGAGACGGGGTTTTGCCATGTTGGCCAGGCTGGTCTCGAACTCCTGACCTCAGGTGATCCGCCTGCCTCGGCCTCCCAAAGTGCTGGGATTACAGGCATGAGCCGCCTTGCCGGAACTGGAGGAGTAGCTTCTTAAGAAACCACATAACAGGCCGGGTGCAGTGGCTCATGCCTGTAATTCTAGCACTTTGGGAGGCTGAGGTGGGCAGAACAGTCCCAGAACCTGTAGCTGGAACTACAGGAGTGTGCCACCACACCTGGCTATTTTTTTTTGTATTGAGGAGGTTTCACCGTGTTTCCCAGGCTGTTCTTGAACTGCTGAGCTCAAGCAATCCACCCACTTCAACCTCCTAAAGTGCTGGGCTTACAGGCGTGAGCCAGTACGCCCGGCAAGAGTCTACATATTCTGAAGTTATATTCCCATCAATTCAGATTCTGACCTTTCTCCAGGAAATCAAAGAATTCTCTATAAATATTATCTCCTTGCAGCCTCTGCACTGCAAGCAGGCTGACGTCATGTTTGGTTTGCAGTTAGTAAGGAGCAGTTTAACTTGGGGGCTGCAGCCATGGAGTTCAGAGGTTAACAACCAGGCAGCAGCTTTTTGTTCCTGAACTGGGTGGTGCTGCTATTGACAGACCTTCCTTCCCACCCACAACCCCCGCTCTCCCCCTTGCTGCCTTGTTTAGAACCACACTTCTGGGGGCCACCCTTGACAGAGGTTAATTTGAAGTCTCCACTTGGCTGGGCTATGGTGCCCAGATGTTTGGTCAGAGACCAATCTGGATGCTGCTGGGAAGGTACTTTTTAGGTGTGATTAACATTTAAATCTTCTGACTTTGAGTACAGCCAATGATCCTCCATAATGTGGCTGAGCCTCATCCAATCCAAAGGTCTTAAGAGAAAAAGCCTGAGGGCCTGGCATGGTGGCTCACGCCTGTAATCCCAGCACTTTGGGAGGCCGAGGCGGGTGGATCATCTGAGGTCAGGAGTTCGAGACCAGCCTGGCCAACATGGTGAAAACCCATCTCTACCAAAAATACAAAAATTAGCCAGGAGTGGTGATGCATGCCTCTAATCCCAGCTACATGGGAGGCTGAGGTAGGAGAATCGCTTTTGAACACAGGAGGCAGAGGTTGCAGTGAGCCAAGATAACGCCACTGCACTCCAGCCTGGGTGAAAGAGTGAAACTCCGTAGAAGAAAAAAAAAAAGGAGAAAAAGGCTGAGATCCTCCTGAAGACCTGAAAAGCCAGTTCTGCCTCCAGACCCTGCCATTGGACGTGAGCTGCAGCATCCACTCTCTGAGGCCCCAGCCTGCCAGCCTACCCTGCAGATTTCAGACTTGTCAGCCCCCACAATTGAGGGAGCCAATCCCTTAAAATAAAGCTCGCTCTCTCTCTCCCCCACCTCTGTCTATAGATAGACATAGATATAGAGATATAGATGTACATAGATCCTGTTGGTTCTGTTTCTCTGAAGAATACTAATACACCATTCAAGGACATTGAGTTTTATATTAAAACTATATTTAACCCAAGTCTGTGAGGAAAACCCCAAACAAACCAAAACTGACGGACATCCTATAAAACTCCTAACCAACACTCCTCAAAGGAGTCAAGGTCATCAAAAACAAGAAAAGGCCGGGTGCAGTGGCTCATGCCTCTAATCCCAGCACTTTGGGAGGCCAAGGTGGGCAGATTACTTGACGTCAGGAGTTCGAGACCAGCCTGGCCAATATGGTGAAACCCATCTCTACTAAAATTACAAAAATTAGCTGGGTCTGGTAACATGTGCCTGTAGTCCCAGCTACTCGGGCAGGAGTATCGCTTGAACCTGGGAAGCGGAGGCTGCGGTAAGCCGAGGTCATGCTACTGCACTCCAGCTTGGGCGACAGAGCAAGACTATGTCTCAAAAGAAAAGAAAAGAAAAGAAAAGAAAAGTTGGAGCAACTGTCACAGCCCAGAGAACCCTGCAGAGCTAGGACAATTGAATGTCATGTGGGATCCTAGATGGGATCCTGGTACAAAAAAGGCAGGGGAAAAACTAAGGAAGCATCAATAAAGTATGGTCTTTAGTGAGTAATAATGTATCAATATTAGTTCATTAGTTGTGATAAATCATATTAATGTAAAATGTTAATGATAGAGAAAAAACAGATGTGAGTATATGAGAACTCTGTATTTTCTCTGCAATTTTTCTGTAAATCAAAAACTGTTCGAAAATATAGTTGATTTTAAAGTATATTGCTTTCCTTGTCATACGTGTAATTTGTTCAACAAATGTGTGTTGAACACTTGCTGTTTGCTGCCTGCTACCATAGTGGTGGGAAAAATGAGCAAAGAGCCTACAAGTCAGCAAGAGACAAGGACCAAGGGAGCACACAGGCGGAGCTGGGCTTGTGCTGCGGAAGACGTGGGGCAAAGGACAGGTGTTCTTTCAGATGAGGAGGCAGAGAAAAGATCCTCCAAGGAATTTAATGATGAGAGGGAGCCACCAGCCAAAGATGAGGAGCAGGGCAGAGGAGCTTAGGGACACTGGTCTGGGCAGAGATAACAGCAGGTGTGTGGCCTTCTTGGTACAGAGCTTCCCTCATGGGGAGAAATGGAAAGGAGGCCCAGACTTGTGGGAAGGGGAGGGCGGAATGAGATGAAGAAAGAAGCAGGCAGGGGTGGGTATGCAGATCCCGTTCCGAGCTTGGGATGTTTTTCCCCTACAACAAGAAGCCATCTGTATTAGTCTGTTCTCACGCTGCTAATAAAGACATACCTGAGAGTGGGTAATTTATAAAGGAAAGAGGTTTAATGAACTCGTAGTTCCACATGGCTGGAGAGGCCTCACAATCATGGCAGAAGGTGAAAGAGAAGCAAAGGCACATCTTACATGGCAGCAGGCAAGAGAGCGTGTGCAGAGGAACTCCCATTTATAAAACCATCAGATCTCATGAGACTTATTCACTACCATGAGAACAGTATGGGAAAAAACCCACCTCCATGATTCAATTACCTCCCACCAGGTCCCTCCCACAACACATGGGGATTACGGGAACTACATTTCAAGATGAGATTTGGGTGGGGACATAGCCAAACCATATCACCATCCTAAGATGGCATCATCTGATTTATAAAACATACATTCATTCTTGACACTTTAGGAAATACAGAAAAGAGTAAAAAACCATCATCCATGTTCCCTTCATTTTGCAATAATATTTGTTAACCTGTTGGTATATTTCCTGCCATCTTTTATGCTGTTGTTTCTTGCTTTAAAAAAAAAAAATCTATTATCCTCCAGGTGCGGTTGCTCATGCCTGTAATCCTGGCACTTTGGGAGACTGAGATGGGCGGATCACCTGCGGTCAGGAGTTTGAGACCAGCCTGGCCACCATGGAGAAACCCTGTCTGTACTAAAAATACAGAAATTAGCCAGGCATGGTGGTGGGTGCCTGTAATCCCAGCTACTTGGGAGGCTGAGGCAGGAGAATAGCTTGAACCCAGTAGGGCAGAGGATTCAGTGAGCCAAGATTGTGCCACTGCACTCCAGCCTGGACAAAAGAGTGAGACTCCATCTCAAAAAGAAAAGTATGATTATACAATGAATATTTTCCCATAACCTGAAATAGTCCACAAAAACCCTCTGTCTGCATAATATTCCAATACTATGCCATAATTTATTATTTCCCCTGTTTTTATTGTTTTCTTTTGTTTTTGCCATTATAGATGACATAATGATGGGCCTTCTCGCATGTAAAGCTTTTCTATCTATATTAATGCCATTATGGTCACCGTTAGCTCCGCTAGATGCAATTCTGGAAACACATTTTTCTATGCATAATTAGATATGCCACTAAGTAGCCCTTAATAACTTGACTGGCTTCAGGTTTAGACCTCAAATCTCATTCCTGCAGCCAAATGCACACGGCTGGAGCTAAGTCAATGTGGGCAATTTTTATATGGCCAGGAGCTTAATTACTTTGTGGATGCTGTAAACATCACAAACATATTTTCTAATGCTGGCAAAAGACATTAACATTTTCCACAGAAGAGGAATGCCTGAGGTTTACTTATAACTGTCTTCACTTCTATTTCCCTAGCTCTTAATGATGCCATTTCTCTCCTTCTCAGGTTATTATTTCATTTATGAAGAAACAATTTTGTCATTTTGGTACATCTGATATAAATAAATGAACTCAAATGTTCTACTGACAGGATGCATCTTTCTGCCCATGCTGTGTGGTGAATGATGGTGGACGAGAGGGCAGGCTGGGGCAGAAGTTATGGCGCTGCCAGCCCATTGGCAGCCCACAGGGGTGGTTGGCCATACTACTATCACTCTCCGTCTGATGTTAATATCGTGATGATGATGTGCTTGATGCAGAAACTAGAGAAATTCCTCACGGAGCTTACCTGTTGTCTAAAAGCGAAAACTGGTCAAACTGGTAAGAAAAAAAAAATCATGGTAAAACCGTCAGCTCCAGAGGTGAGGCTGGCCTCCCACTTGAGACTCCACTCAGCTCACAGCACAGAGTGGCTGGCCAGGACACAGAGGGCTCCAGGGCCACACCTGGACACCACCCCAGAGTGGCTGTCTCAGTCTCTGCTGCCGCAGTACACTGAGGGATGACAGCCACATGTGGGACACGGGGACACACCCTCATGCATCTGGTCAGATTCTTATAACATCCTTTCCAAATTTGCATGCAGGTAAATCACACCATGCAGATGTTATCAAGATATGAAGTGCCTTATAAATATGTGAGTATTAAAACCCCAATTTAAAAATCTCTGTGCACGTGTGTATGTCTGTGTGTGTGTGTGTGTGTGTGTGTGTGTGTGTGTGTGTTTTAATTATAAGGGGGAAAGATTTGGCTTTTCCAACTTTTTAATGTGAACTTTTAAATGAAGTATTTTTCTTTCAACTTGGAGCACTTGCCTACTTTTTCTAAATCCCCTTATACAATTCATAAAGGAACCAAGTATATTTTCCTTCGAAGACTAAGTGGATATCAACCTCACGTTGCAATCAAATGTCAACTTTGCATGTTTTTATCTCATTCAAATGAGTGGTGATACTGTCCATTTTACTGGTATCATCACTTCAGCTTCTTAGCACACCACAGACAGATGCCTTCCCTTCTGGAAACGCCTCCCTGTCTTGGCATCTTCATTACCATGTTCTCCTGGTCTCCCTCTCTCCTCCCTGCTGTTCCTTCTTGGTTTCTGCCCTGGGTGCCACCTCCTGGCTCTCCCCTGACTGTTCCCCTTGATGTGGTTCTCTGTCCTGGACTCATCTCTCTTCTCTGACCACACTGTAATCCTTGACTAGTGCCAGGACTTTTAAAAGCATCTATTGGCAAATGACTTCCACATCGTTTGTCTCCACCTCCCCACAACTCCCGACACTGTGTCTACTATATAATTGGCATCTCCCATGGATGCCTGATTGCCCTCTCTAGCTCAACATGGCCAAAACAATTCCGATCCCACAAACCTGCTCCTTCTGCAGATTCTATCACCTTTCTTTTCTCACTCCCTGTGTCTGGTTCTTCAACAAGTCTTATTATCTTTGCCTCCAAAACATGCTCCCAATTCATCTACTTCTATCTCCACCCCTACCATCCTGGTGTAAGGCACAATCTTTCACACCTCAACTACTGAAGTGGCTTCCTACCCGGCCTTCTGGATTCTGCTACTGTCTCCCAGAGCCCACTAAAGTGTGGTCTCCACGTTTTCATGATTTTTTACAACATTGGAATGAGATCATGGCAGTCTCTGCATAAACCTTACTGATGGACCTACAAAACACAAACACAATCTAAAGTCCCATCCTGGCTCACCAAGGTAAGCCTGACTTCAGCTTCCATCACTGAACACATTCTGTTCTCCTCTCCAGCCATGCTCTGTGTTGTCTCTGGCCCTCCACACTTTCCATGGTTCTTCTTTGATGGCAGGATATTTCCTTGCCTGTTACCTTTGTGTCAGCTCTTCCCTCTGCCTGGAATGCTCTTCCTTGCATTTCTACCTGGCTGGCACTTGTTCTTTGGAATTCTGCCAGTTGCCATCTCTTAGAGTGTCACCTTCACCACCCAGCTAGGATAGCACTCTATTACATCACCTCATTGCAGTTCTCTTTATAGCTCCTGTCACCAATGGATGTTTTTATTGTTAGGTTGGTTGCTTGTTTATTGGTTGTCTTATGGCAAACAATGCTGGTTCAAATGGAGCAAGGGTCTTTCTCTCGAAAACCCAATGTCATTGCTCAAAAGTAATGGTGAAATAAAGAAATGACGTGGTATCTGTGGATGCTATTTCCCTGCTTACAGAAATGTTCATAACTTGTATTGCATGCATCAGCCCTTGCCTTCTTCCTCATCAAAAGATGTATCCATGGGTGAGATTACAGAAGCATGGTATCTTTCACTTCCTGTGGGCATTAGCATAGATAAGATGGGTGAGGGTGCGGTCAGCTTCAGCACGGCATGCTAGCTGTAGCTCCAAATGCCAGGCGGAGCTCTTATCAGAAGCGTAAGCATAAATCTATGCTGGCTTAGAAAACATCTTAATTATAACACTCCTCATTTATAATGTCAGAGCTCATGTTACTGGGTGTTTCACATGCACCACCATTTTGTCTGTTCCTCTACATTTTAAGAGGCCTTTTGCCACGGTCACCATACATGCTGGATTTTCTTAGCCATTACACTCTATAGTACAATGGAAAGTCATACATTCCTTTAAATTCTATCAGAGGGAACAAAACCTTTCAAAGCCATTCTTAAGCCCATACATTTCTATTTATGCTGTAAAATAATAAATTGAACTGTTTTACAGAATATAAGAAATTAGGTGACAACTTCACCCCATTATTGTTATTGGGATTATAGCCTGCTTTTTTTTTTTTGAGATAGAGTCTCACTCTGTCACCCAGGCTGGAGTGCGGTGGCACGATCTCAGCTCACTGCAACCTCTGCCTCCTAGGTTCAAGCAATTCTCATGCCTCAGCCTCCCAAGTAGCTGGGACTACAGGCACGAGCTACCATGCCAGGCTAATTTTTGTAATTTTAGTAGAGATGGGGTTTCACCATGTTGGCCAGGCTGGTTTCAAACTCCTGACCTCAGATGATCTGCTCCACTCGGCCTCCCAAATTGCTGGGATTGTAGACGTGAGCCACTGAGCCCGGCCTATAGCCTGTTTTTAAAAATTGTTTTTATGGCTGGGTGCAGTGTCCCACGCCTGTAATCCCAGCACTTTGGGAGGCTGAGGCAGGCGGATCACGAGGTCAGGAGTTCAAGACCATCCTGGCTAACACAGTGAAACCCTGTCTCTACTAAAAATACAAAATTAGCCGGGTGTGGTGGCATATGCCTGTAGTCCCAGCTACTTAGAAGGCTGAGGTAAGAGAATTGCCTGAACCCAGGAGGCAGAGGTTGCAGTGAGCTGAGATCGCGCAATTGCACTCCAGCCTGAGCGACAGAGCGAGACTCCGCCTAAAAAAAAAAAAATTGTTTTTATTTGTCGTTTGCTTGTTTCAAGTTTTGTTCTTTTTTTTAATAATACAGATAAGCTACGACAAAGACTGTTTCTAGTTTAGTACATTTTGTAATCAAAGTACAGTGATTACACTTGTTTACTTAATCTCAACGCACACTGTCAGTCTTTTAACAACAGCTCTACCAATCTCTCATTTTTATCTTTGTGTCATCTTTAATAGTTCATTCAGGAAGTTATCCATAGGTTTGTTACTTGAGACCTTGCACACCTGAGACTATTTCAACAAAGGACTACTTGGTAGGATGAACAATTTTCAATCCATTGCAAAATCAAATTGTATTTTGATTTCAAATGTGTCATTCTTGTAAAGCTAGAGCTTGGTGATTCTTTGATTGTGTTTCTTTTTTCTTTTATCCTGATCTTAAATTACATAATTCCAGGGATAACTGGACAGGGATAAAACACGCTGGCCATTTATGTCTATGTTAGCATGCTTGGCGTGCCGTCTAAATCATGTATCACATTAGCTGCACAATACCATTGGGATACCTGGGCAACCTTCCATTTGACTGGGCTCTAGTGGATGGCACTAATTAATCCATAGATGATGCTGACCACTTTCCATCTGCCTCCTTTACTGGCATTGTCTCTCTGAGCCAGAAGACTCTGCCAAAGGGTTAGGTTACATCCTTCTCTGTCTACTCTGACACATGGACTTTTGGCCCTGCAGATTTGGGTGTGTCTCCGGCAGCCTGAGGATAAGCTGGGATAGTACTCTATGGGTCAGTATTACACTCTGTGGCCCCATCGCATGTTTCTCTCTCCACACTGTGCATATCCGTGCATGATGCCAGAGAGATGGTGTAGGAGTCATCCTCAAACTTGGCACTGGATCTAAGTACACGACAGGAAGCTAGCAATTTAGACGGAGTTCACACCCAGCGACTGCTCTGGCTAATGTCTAGGATTTTGAGGTACGCCTCCCCTCCGGGACAAGATCCTCTCCCATCAGATGGTCATGAACTGGTTCCCTTCCTACCATTTCCTGGAATGTGCCCCACCTTAGAGAACAGAAGCTTTTAAAGTTATTATCATTTTTATATGGTACTATGTTCTCTCTGCCTTTCCTTCTTAATGTGAAAATATGAGACATCGAAGCTATCCAACCCCCAAAAAAGTGATGACAACAGGAAAATCTCCCACCAGATTTGTTTAGGGGACATCACAAAGAAAATGAATTTGAGAAGACTACAGTTTTCTCCTCCTACAGACACGGCCCATTCAGTCTGTCTTGAGAAACAACTGCATACTTTCTCAGCTTAACAGAGATTTCTTCTTGGCTTTATTTATGTCCATCTCTCCATGCAGAATCAAAATCAGTTCAGGATTTATCATCCAAGGGGTCCACTGCGGAATGGCTGATGGCCCACACCTCTGCCTCCAGAACTCCCTAATAGCAGCATCTGGGGACTTCCTACAGATGCAGCTCCTGGACCCTCCCCCAGAGACACAAATTCAGTGGGTTATGTCAGGTCCAGAAATCTGTCCTATTTGAAAGCTTCCAATCATCAGTCCCAGTGGAGGAACCTCAGAGAATCTCAGCATCTGAGGTCTGTAAGGGCCATAGAGAGTAGTTCATTTAAGGCTCTGAGGGAAAACAGAAGGCTGAGACCACACAGCTCGTCAATGGCTTTGCTAAGCCACATGCAAAGTAGTTCAGTTTTATGTCCTGATGACTTATTTAAGAAAGGGACGCTTCTGTTACAGCTTATGAAAATTTGCGTCAACACAGCTTGCGTTTTCTAATAACTGTGCTGCAAGAGAAAAACCCTTTCCCACCATGAAAATGAAGCTCAACAAATGATGGCTTCTTGGGGACTCCAAGGAGCCCAGGTTTCCCTGAAAAGTAGATGGGATATTTAAGTCAGTTACTTTGCTGCCCCAATATATTGCAACATAATTATTTGCATTGTGGTCCAGAATTTCAATTTAGAAGCCCAACTTAGGGGTGAGCAGTGGGCAGTGAAATCTGTTTGAAATACAACATGAAGTCTTAGAAAAAAATGACTTACTAAACGAGTTATCCTAGTTAGAGCTTCTACACACATTAGACACTTGTTGTATGGTTTTTGTTTGATTTTTTGAGATAGAGTCTTGCACTGATGCCCAGGCTGGAGTGCAGTGGTACGATCTCGGCCCACTGCAACCTCCACCTCCTGAGTTCAGGCAATTCTCTTGCCTCAGCCTCCCGAGTAGCTGGGACTACAGGTGCCCGCCATGACGCCCGGCTAATTTTTGTATTTTTAGTAGAGACGGGGTTTCACCATGTTGGTCAGGCTGGTCTTGAACTCCTGACCTTGTGATCCGCCCACTTCGGCCTCCCGAAGTGCTGGGATTACAGGCGTGAGCCACAGCACCCGGAGCACTTGTTTGCTTTTAGACTAGCTGGAAAGTCATTTAAATAAGAGGGGAAAGAGTGACCTCTTCTTTGTTTCTATTCTGCTGTGTGATTGAAACCCTACCTGTTTATTATAGTTGACATGTAATCTTTTTTTGAAATGCATTTTACTGTTTTGAGACAATAGTTTTAACCATGATTTGGGATGAGTGGATTTCTCACATTGCTTACATTAGATTCTTAATTCTTCTTGGAGTCAGTGTGAGCTACACACAAATATAAGAGTTGAGCCAGCTATGAGAAAGCTTATCATCAGTCTTCATTGGAAAGTAGAAGGTTACTAATATTTAGAACACATCTGAGAATGTGTGAGTTAAACCCTTACGTTTATCCATCAGCCAGAGTGATGAAAGCGACAGAGTCAATTTTTAAGATCGAGTTTTCCTGGGCGCTCTCGCCAGGCTAAGTCTCTGACAATAGTGATTATATCCTTTCTAGGACAGGGGCTTCAGAGAAAGAATGTGAGCTATGCAGAGAAGCGAATGAGGAATGTGTTCACCTCTTAGCCTCAACCCATGGGTCAGAAAAAGACATCCCTGGAACTGGAGCTTTGAAAGCAGAAGATAAACATGATGGATATCAGAGAACTTAAAAGAGAGCAAGGGCCAGGGTCCAGGAGACCAGGATTGTTAGGCTGAGCAGCTGGAGAGCCCTGCAGGGCTGGTGGACTCTGAGGGTGGTGGAGGGGACTCACATACTGAGCACCTTTCCTGTGCTTCTCACTCACTTGCTCAGGTTTTCACAACAGTGGAAAGAGATGCTTAGAAGGGGAATTACCTGCCCAAGGATGCAGAGTGGGTGGCTGAGCAGGAGCCCAGCCCTGGCAGGACGGACTTCCCACTCTACCAGGAAATACGCCAGAGGAGTCTGAACTCCGCCATCTTGAAATCTTAAAGCAACTGAAATCTAAAAGTGACTGAAATCTTAAAGCAACTGAAATCTAAAAGTGACTGAAATCTTGGAAGATCTGTTCGTGCTGAGTGTCTCCTGTGGGAACAAATCAAAGGCTGAGGCAGGGAGAAGCTCTCGCTGCAGCCCTGCGGATCACTTCTCCAGGCCTAGGGCTGAGGGATCTCTGGGGACTGCACTGAGCCCCGCCACCTCACACCACCATCCCGGGCTCTTCATGCTGTGGGTTCCGCTGTTTGCCCTAAAATTCCCTGCAGGTCCACTGAATTCTAGAGAACCGGACTCTGTGCTGGGGCCATTACAAGTTCTCCTGCCTCTGACATTTGAATGCTCTGCCCTGGACCCATGGACTCTGCCCCAAGCCCTCATGAGGAATTTGACCCCATCCTTTAGTGCCCAGCTCAAAAGCCAGCTCCGTTAGCAGACCCGGTGACTCTCGGGTACCCCGGCCATGTTGTTTGTGCCTCTTTCTACTCCCTGCCGTCTAAGTTTAATCCATCCAATTAATTTCACATATATTTATTTACTTAAAAATTATTACGTAATATTCACTACATCCTCCTCTAATGTGGATCAATTAGGTTTTTGATGGGGATCAATTATGTTTTTTGGGCATCACGAGGAAGTCATGGATTGAAATGTTTGCTGAGTTTTTAATCTATCGTGGTATTGTTTTTATTAAAGCACAGATGGTTGCATTGCAGGCAGGTAGGAGCCCCTACAAGTTGATGGCTGAGTCCTTAAGGCTCTACTGTGGTTTTTATTTTATCTTACTTTTTATTTTGTGTTATTTTATTTTATTTTGAGATGGAGTCTTGCTTTGTCACCCAGGCTGGAGTGTAGTGGTGCAATCTTGGCTCACTGCAACCTCTGCCTCCCAGGTTGAAGAGATTCTCCTACCTCAGCCTCCCAAGTAGCTGAGATTACAGGCGCCCACGACCACGCCTGGCTAATTTTTGTATTTTCGGTAGAGACGGGGTTTCACTATGTTGGCCAGGCTGGTCTCGAACTCCTAACCTCAAGTGATCTGCCTGTCTTGGCCTCCCAAAGTGCGGGGATTACAGGCATGAGCTACTGTGCCCAGTACTGTGGTCTTTACTAACCGCCTTGCCCTTTGGTACAAGATACCCAGGCTCATTCACCTGCCTGGATCAGCCACTTCTCCAGGCTGCTCTGTTTTCCTTTGTCACCAGAACTTTGAATTTGGCCAGTCTAGGAAGAGTAAAATGGCATCTCCCCTCAATTATAATTTGTATTTCTTGGACTTTTAATAATACTGTACATGGTTTCATATATTTATTTGGTAGGTATCTTTCCTGTTCTGTGATGACTGCCCAGGATTTTGTCTAATTTATATATATGAATGTATATATAGGTATGTGCATATATGCATGTACACAAATGTATATATTCATGTCAGTATGTACATCCATGTACATACATGTGTGTATGTATGTATGTGTATACACAGTCATGTGTTGCTTAATGTCCAAGATGCATTCTGAGAAATGCGTTGTTAGGCGACTTTGTCATTGTGTGAACATCATAGCATGTGCTCACACAAACCTAGATGGCCTAGCATACTCCACACCTAGGCTATATGGGATAGCCTATTATTCCTAGGCTTCAAACCTGCACAGAATGTGACTGTACTAGTGTACTGAATACTGTAAGCAATTATAATGCAATGGTTAGTATGTAGAAAAGGTACAGTAGAAATAGGGTATAAAAGATAAAAATGGTGGCTGGGTGCGGTGGCTCACACCAGTAATCCCAGCACTTTGGGAGGCTGAGGTGGGCAGATCACGAAGTCAAGAGATCGAGACCGTCCCGACCAACATGGTGAAACCCCATAAAAATACAAAAATTAGCTGGGCATGGTGGCGAGCCCCTGTAGTCCCAGCTACTCAGGAGGCTGAGGCAGGAGAATAGCTTGAACCTGGGAGGTGGAGCTTGCAGTAAGCTGAGATCATGCCACTGTACTCCAGCCTGTTGACAGAGCAAGACTCTGTCTCAAAAAAAAAAAAAAAAAAAAAAAAGATACGGTACTTACCATGAATGGAGCCTGAGCGACTGGAAGTTGCTCTGAGTGGGTGAATGAGTGACTGGTGGGTGAGTGTGAAGGCCTAGGACAGTACTGTACTGTGAAGAGTTTATAAACATTGGACACTGAGACTGAGACTATACTACATTTATAAAAACATTTTCCTGGCTGGGTGCAGTGGCTCACACCTGTAATCCCAGCACTTTGGAAGACCGAGGCGGGCAGATCACTTGAGGCCAGGAGTTCGAGACCAGCCTAGCCAACATGGTGAATCCCCATCTCTACTAAAAATAGAAAAAATTAAAAAAAAAAATTAGCTGAGTGTGGTGGCGCATGCCTGTAATCCCAGCTACTCGGGTGGCTGAGGCATGAGAATTGCTTGAACCCGAGAGGCAGAGGTTGTAGTGAGCAGAGATTGCACCACTGCACTCCAGCCTGGGCAACAGAATGAGACTCTGTCTCGAAAAAACAAAAACAAACAAACAAAAACACCTTTTTTCAATAATAAATTTATCTTACTTTAACTTTTTTACTTTATAAACATTTTAATTTTTAAAAAGTTGACTCTTGTAATAATACTTAACTTAGAACACAAACACATTGTACAGCTGTACCAAATATTTTTGTCTTTATATTCTCATTCTATATGCTTTTTTCTATTTTAAAATTTTCAATTTTTTTAACTTTTTAAACTTTTTTATTAAAAACTAAGACATAAACACACACATTAGCCTAGGCCTACACAGGGTCAGAATCATCTATATCACTGTCTTCCACCTCCACATAACTGTCCCACTGGAAGGTTTTCAGGGGCAATTACATGCATAGAGCTGTCATCTCCTATGATGACAGTGCCTTCTTCTGGAATACCTCCTGAGGGAGCTGCCTGAGGCTGTTTTACAATTAACTTTAAATATATATATATATATATATATATATATATATATATATATATATATGTATATATATATATATGTATATATATATATATATGTATATATACACATATGTGTGTGTGTGTGTGTGTGTAGAAGGAGTGCATTCTGAAATAATGATTAAAAGCAGGGTGTTATAAATATATAAGCCAGTACCATGTACTGTACGTAATTGTATGTGCTACTCTTTTATACAACAGGCAGCATGGTAGGTTGCTTACACCAGCACCACCACGATGTCTTATGCCACGTGAAGATGGCTATGGCGTCACTGCTAGGTGATAGGAATTTTCCAGCTCCATTATAATCCTATGGGATTATCATCATATATGTGGTTCATCCTTGACCCTGACTGTATATTGCTAATCGATTTATAGGCATTCATTATTTATTCTGCACAATAATCATTTATCAGTTTTATGTTTTACAAATATCTTCCCTGTCTTACATGTCATCTTATCACTTTATGATGTCTCTTTTAGGACAAAACTTTTAAATTTTATATCCACAGATTAAAAACATTATTGTCAAATAAAGCACATTTAGAGGAAAAAAAAAACCCCATGAAACCAAATGTACAGCTTAGTGAACTATCGCAGAGCGAATACTTGCAACCTCTCTTCATGTCAGGAGAAAAGTCACAGCCAGCAGCCAGCATCAGTCACTGCTTCCCCTCCCTTCTAGATCCCACGTTCAAGGCAACAGCATCCTCACCTTTCTTTGTGGTTATTTCTGTGAACTTGTATCTCTAAACATTATTAGTCTAGTTCTTCCTATTTGAGGGGCCATTTATATAAATGAAGATACACAGAATGATCTTTTTGTGTGTGTTCTTTCACTTAAGTTTTTGGGAAATTCACAAAATGATTCTAAAATTACTGCGAAAATGGACGTGCCAAGAATAACAAAACAAACTTGAAGAACAACATTGGAGGACTTCATGTTACTGGATAGAAAGACTTCTCATAGAGCTTTGGCAATAAAGACTGCGCGTGCTGTCTTCCATTGTAGGGATACGCTGCGATGTATTCATCCATCGTGGAGTTGGTGGACATTTGTGTTGTTGCCAGCTGGTGGCGGTCATGAATAATGCTGCTACATGCATGCCTGTGTCCATCTCTTGTAACATCTGTGCAAGCATTTCTGTGGGGTATATGCCTAAGAGGGAAATTATAGGTAGGTGGTTGCAGGTAGAGTGACCACACCTTCTCTTTGATTCAGATAGCCCAAGTTTGTGTTTTCGATCATGTCCTAGCTTAATATATTGTCTTATATGAATATCCAATTGTTTTGGAATAATTTACTGTAAAGATGACCATTTTCCCAGTGCTCTAGAACGCCATCTTTGTCATAAGTTAAGTGTTCATATACACTGCTTCTCTTATCGTCTCCACCTGAAAAAACTCTGAATTCATTTGCCAGGTTGAGTGACCCCACCTTATGGAAATGTTTACTCTCTTCCTTCTAGGTGCCTCTCTAGGAGTGCACACCCCCCATCACTCATCATAGGAAGGGGACTCTTGTTTTGGCCAGACTGTAAGGTCTTTGAGTTATGCCTTATTTATTCTTCCTTCTGCCCCAGCCCCTCTGCTAATTACTGAATGGAATGAGTGTATTACCAGCAGTCCTCATCATAACCATGCTGACATTTACCCAGCACTAAGTGCTATATTCATTTGTGATTCATCCTTTGTACACTCTATATGAAGTAGGCACTTCTAGTATCCCACCCTATGAAAGAGGAAACTAGTGCTTTGAAGGAAAGCACCTTGTCCGGGTAACAGAGCTAGGGAGTGGTCAAGCCAGGACTGACAACTGACAACTGTCAGTCTGGCTCCAAGTACTGTCAGTCTGGCTGTGATGAGAGTCATACATTCCATTTACGGAGGTGTCCTTGGTGGAGCTGGACCTTAGAGCTGTAAGTTCAGGCCTGCCAGGTGCTCGCTCTTCTGGCATATCAGCTTCACGTTGAACTGACTGACCATGCTTTCAGGTCATTCCCCAGCCTGACGACAGGCACTAGCCTCACCTGCAGCTGGCTGGAGGTTGCACAGATTTCTCCTACTGTTGGGGGAAAATCCAGAGCAGTTTTTTTTTTCTCTCTCTAGGCTCTATATCAACACAGCAGAGCTCCTGTTTCCTTTCCGTGGAACTCATTTCATTTCTTATTGTGTTCAAACTTCCTTCTTTTGTGTAGGGATTCCCCTATTTCCGGTCAAGCTCTTAATTTTTCTTTGCCTCCATTGCTGTTCAGCCTGAGTATCAGGAAGGATCCCGCCCTCCTTGGAGCTGAGCCCTGGAGCCTCACGGAAGTCTTGCGATGGGACAGGTGCTGCTGAAGGGCATCCGCAGGCTGATAGCAAAGACCCCATCCGGATGCCATCTCTTGCAATCTACCATAGTGATTATGAAGATGATCCCTGGTTATTTTTCTTATAAGAAATCACCTCAAGCCAGCCAGTTGATTAGAAATATTGACAGGTATTCACAGAATAAATTTAATTTGAATTCCTTACACAAGCAAGTTTTCAGAAGGTTCATTTGTTAATCGATTTATCTGGAAATGAGAAAGCCCCTTTTCCATAGAAGTGTAGGTCCACACAGGCTCGTCTAATATAATCTCAAATAATAGATCATTTTAATGAGAAAGGTAGTAAGCAATGCAGTGACATCACTAGTAATGATGCAGTTTTATAATCATACCTCCGTGAAACTCAATATAAAACCTGTCCAAATGTAGAATGCAATGAAAAGTCAATAGGCGGCCGGGCACGGTGGCTCACGCCTGTAATCCCAGCACTTTGGGAGGCCAAGGAGGGCAGATCACCTGAGGTCAGGAGTTCAAGACCAGCCTGGCCAACATGGTGAAACCCCGTCTCTACTAAAAATACAAAAATTAGCTGGGCATGGTGGCAGGCACCTGTAATCCCAGCTACTCAGGAAGCTAAGAAGAATTGCTTGAACCTGGGAGGCAGAGGTTGCAGTGAGCTGAGATCATGCCATTGCACTCCAGCCTGGGGGACAAGAGTGAGACTTCATGTCAAAAAAAAAAAAAAGAAAAGTCAATAAGCAATAGGCTTTTGTGGAGATGTTACATGGAATTTAGAGTTTTTAAGAGCTTTAAAAAAGCCTAACATTATACTTAATTTCACCTTAAAAGTGGGGCTTTATTTTTCCTGGAGCAACTGAATTGATTGTACTACCCAGCGCATATTGATTGTACACTCTTGTTGCCCAGGCTGGAGTGCAATGGTGCTAATCATGGTCAGGTATTACCATGATTAACACCATGGTGAGGACTGGTATTTGTTGAACTGAACATGTCTTTTAACATAAGAATCAGTAAAAGCCATGGGAGCTATTCAAAAACTGTTCCCTCATTCTGTTTTCCCAACAACTATGAGAGAAGGATTATTCCCATTGTAGGAAACTGAAGTCCAGAAAGGATTAAGTTACCCATTAGTAAACTGGATAGATCAGACCCAAGCTATACTCATTCCAATATCCCACATTGCTTCACAAAGAGAGGGAACTGAACAGAGAAGAAAGAGAAGTGTGTGCGCCCCAGCACAAGGGAGGGAGAAAGGAATATTCTCCTGAACTCCCATTCTTGGATGTTCACCCTCTGGCCAGTGCTTCTTGGGTATTATTCCACCTAATCCTCACAATAACCCCAAATGAGGTGACTCATCACTCCCATGTTGCATGTAGGGAAACTGAGGCATGGAAGGGTGAAGTTGCTTGTCTAAAGACACATCTCGAGCAAGCAGGGCAAGCTGGGCTTTGCACTCAGACAGGATGCCTCTGAGCCAGCTGGCTCGCCTGTTCCTTATGCTGCACTGGCCCCCTGAAGATGGCAAGAGGCACCCAGTGACCAGTTATAAGACAGGCAGACAGGGTGATGGGATGGCCGCTGGGAGCCGGGAGACTTCAGCTGAGAAGGCTGCTCCAGGGAGACAACCTGCCAGAATGAAAAGGAGGAACTCATGTGCAGCCCTGGGACAGGGACAGCCAGACCTAACTGGCATCACATATGGTGATGATGCAGCGTGGGTCCAGTCACTGGGCAGTGAGCAAGCTGGGTCGACCACAGGGAATGCGGCCTCCAGCCAACTCAGACTTTCTTGACTCCAGTCGGCCTCTCACACTCTGGAGCTCGTGCAGAAGGACACGATGGGCATGCACATTTGGGGACTTCCAAGAAGATCTTGGGCAACATCTCTGGCCAAGGTCCACTGTGATGGAAAAGGCAGAGACAGACTTTCCCAGAGAGATGCAGAGGCCCCCACAGCTGGAAGGAGCTCTGCAAGTTTGGGGATTTGAAACATCAGAGAAAGTGTGAATAGTGAAGGAGGTGGAAAGGGAGATAGAGAAAGACACTGAGAGACAGACAGGCAGACAGAAAGAGGGGTGGGCAGAACCCGGACGTGCAATTATTTCTCATTGCCCTGGAGTGCCACGAGGTGATTGGTGCCGGGAAGTAACAGGATCGTGCTCTGAATAACATATTAAAGAGGTCCTAGATGACGAGTTAGTGGGTGCAGCACACCAGCATGGCACATGTATACATATGTAACTAACCTGCACAATGTGCACATGTACCCTAAAACTTAAAGTATAATAATAAAAAAAAAAAGAGGTCCTGGGGACTGCAGTGAGTCCTCCAGCAGTGGACTTGTCTTCCATGGTCCTTGTCCTTCCTGGCTAGGCACTCTCAGTAACCCCACCCCCTCCATATCTCACACCCAGATTTTTAGCTCAAGAAGGGAGAAGACAAGTAAATGGGTGAGTCGTTTCTTTCTTTCTTCTTTGTTTCTTTCTTTCTTCCTTTCTTTCTTTCTCTTTCTTTCTCTTTCTTTCTTTCTCTTTCTCTCTTTCTTTCTTTTGATGGAGTTTTGCTCTTGTTGCCCAGGCTGGAGTGCAATGGTGCGATCTCAGCTCACCGCAACCTCAAGCAATTCTCCTGCCTCAGCCTCCCTAGTAGCTGGGATTACAGGCGCCCACCACCACGCCCGGCTAAGTTTTTGTATTTTTAGTAGAGACAAGGTTTCACCATGTTGGCCAGACTGGTCTCAAACTCCTGACCTTGGCCTCCCAAAGTGCTGGGATTACAAGTGTGAGCCACTGTGCCCAGCCATGGGTGAGTCTTTCATTATGAGTAAATCAAATTTAATCAATGACCTCTTGGGAAGCCTGGGATTGTTTCACCACTTTTACTCCATAGTCACTCCTTTAAAAGAGCACCTTTGATGCCGTGCCATACTGGAAATGTGGAAAAACATCTATTCATACCCTAGTTTCCCAATAAATACTTGTGCATTCAATTGGATTTTTTTTCTACAGTTGGAAGCCAAATTGTGAGTTCTTCGTATATTTCAAATTAGCGAAGAAAACAATGAATGCAAACTACAAAATGAGAAAACAGTTAACTACGGCAGGAAAAGGAGGCCACTCTGGCTGTAGTCTCCACATGTAGTTTTAATTTTAACATTATCAATGTTCGGTTCCAGCATTATGAAATCAGTCACTGAGGTGTTTCTTGGAACAATAAAATGGCCCCAAATGTTTGCCTTCTGGTTGTAATTGTTCTGCATGCAAAATGTGCCATCCTCTCAACATACGTTCCAAATGGACTTTATCAAACATAAAAAGGAAGGAAGGAATGTCAAGCTAAAGAGTTCCCAATATCCGCCTAAGCACCCTGGGGATGGCTCAGTCCCTAATGATGGCCTTGGATCACAGAGTGCATGGTTGTCATCACATTTAAACACCTGCATTTTCCACTCAGCAATCAGATTACTCACAGTGATCTTAAATTCTGAGAATGTTGAAAGCCTGAGGATGTGGGCCAGAGCATGCTACAGATACTTGTAATTTTCACTGGGAAGACCATTTTTATGAACTTATTCTAAGAAATTACATCATAAAATTTCTTATGCTCAGTTTCTCTTAACTCTAACTCCAGAAAGAAAGGCAAGACTTAAGAGTGCTTTCTAATATATTAGGCACTGGACTGACATAATCTCACTTAAAGCTAAGAAAATCAAATAATTTTATTTTTGTTACTCCGTCTTCCCCAATTTCGTAGATAAGGAAGTGAAGGATTAGAACCAGCCTAAGGCCACACAACAATTAAGCCATTAAACAGAAGACCTGGGATTAGAACCCATTCACACCTCCTTCAGAGCCTGGATCCCTAACTCCTATTTTACTCTGCGTCCCTGACTCCTTTCTAACAGGAAGGTTATTTTTCCACAAGAGAGATCCTAAGATAGCTCACAGGCCTGCACTGATTCATCCATTCTCTCTCTTTTTGTTTTTTTAACTTTTAAGTTCAGGGGTACTTGTGCACATGCACGTGTATGTTCACTGCAGCACTATTCACAATCGCAAAGATATGGAATCAACCTAAATACCCAACAATGATAGACTGGATCAAGAAAATGTGGTACATACACAGCCTGGAATACTATGCAGCCATAAAAAAGAATGAGATCATGTCCTTTGCAGAAACACAGATGGAGCTGGAAGCCGTTATCCCTAGCAAACTGACACACGAACAGAAAACTATCCATGGCAGGAGTGGCTAAGTGCTTTGGAAGCTGTGAAGAATGCTACTTTGGTTATCAAGAACACTGGTGGTTAGTTCCCCCCACCACCATTTTCCATTTATCAGTGGATATTTGGTGTGACCTGGAGCATGTTAGAACTTCAGGTTCTTCAGCTACAGACTAGGATAAGAAAACTGGGAGGATCAAGTGGATAAAGTAGGCGAAATCCTTGTCCTGAATCTCAGGAAACACTCAACCACCTTAGTTTATCAGTTTAATTCTTACTATTGTCATCTGTAGTTGGGTTTAGGAAAACATCTCAGAGAATGTTTGGTTTTAACCCTGAGATGGATGACGATCAAGGACCCTCGACAGTTGTCCAGGTAGGGGGCCCTGATACAGGGCAGACCACGTGCGTCCCATACGAATAATAACTCCAGGGTTCTGGCTGCCTCCCTCTCTGACCGGTGCCTCTCTGCTGCCCCAACATTATCTGGGGACACTGGGACTATCATGCCTGCACCATTTTTGTGTCAGGGAAATGTAAAAAACCTTATTCATTTTTCCATCTTTGCTTTGAATAGAGAGAGGAATGCTGCATTCTTCCAGAGGTTCTCACATGTTAATATTCATCAGATTCTCTTAGGAGGTTATTTGGGGATGCAGATTCCTGTCTTACCACAGAGATTCCAATTTAGCTGGCCGAGGGTAGTGGTTAGACCCCAGAATCTGCATTTAACCAAGCACATCAGTCATTCTGAGATCCCCTGAAAACTTGGGCCTCAAGAACTGAAACCTCAGGGGCACCCTTGGCCAGGCCAGATGTAAACAGAAATTAGGACTCACAGAGGGTTGCATTCCTGAGTGGTTCCTGGTGCCAGCTCTGCCTTAAGCAGGGTTTTCTACGCACTGTCTTATTCAACCCCTATGATATACCCCCGATGGGCGCTGTTCCAATCATTCCCACCCTGGGTGAGATGAGAAGGCCCAAGCTTGTGAGCACAGCAGGTTTGGAGTCTGCATCTGGGGCAGATCCTAACCCCGCTGCACCCATCTGCCCTCGTGCTCACGTGCCTCTTAACTGTCTCCACGGTTTTCAAATTCATCTTCTTCCCTCACTGGTCCCTGGTGTCCTGGGGTTCCTCTGACCAAGGTGCATGTTTGTGGCCATGCTCCCAGGAGGATGCAGCCCACCCACCATTGTATTCAAGCCTCAGATGTTTTGTGACCAAGCTCTCCAAACGCCAGCCTTACATTCTGCCTTGGGTCACTGGACTCTCTCCAGGTTTGCTGTAGCACCCTGTGCAATTTAACGGGATGCAGGCATGTTGCATGGGAAGTGGCAATAGAAATGACGTATTGGGCCGGGCACAGTGGCTCATGCCTGTAATCCCAGCACTTTGGGAGGCCAAGGCGGGTGGATCATCTGAGGTCGGGAGTTTGAGACCAGCCTGACCAACATGGAGAAACCCCGTCTCTACTAAAAATACAAAATTAGCCGGGCATGATGGCGCATGCCTGTAATCCCAGCTACTCAGGAAGGCTGAGGCAAGAGAATCGCTTGAACCCGGGAGGCAGAGGTTGCAGTGAGCCGAGATCGCACCATTGCACTCCAGCCCTGGGCAACAAGAGTGAAACTCCATCTCAAAAAAAAAAAAAAAAGAAAAGAAAAGAAAAAGAAAGAAATGACGTATAGGTGCTGAGCTGTAAGGCTTGCGTTGGTGCCTGTGGTAGAGGTTGGCTGTCCGAATCCCTTGCCAATACCCTCGGAGCACTGAGGCAGAGGAAATTATACCCTGGGACTGCTTAAGGATGCTGATGATATGCAGCAGGATTTCCATTTTTTTCCCCCCACAGGGAAAGCACCTAGTAATTACACTTGAAGTTGGGACTTTGAAGGACAGAGGATGGGTCTTTTTTGACCTTTTGATGGTGAGGCCAAGCTGTGATTAGAGACCTGGCCTCCTGGCCCAGCAGTTGATGGGTGGGTGGGGCAGCCCACGCACTCCTAGCTGCCAACCCAGAGAATCTGTTGAGCAGCTTCTCCCTGGGCTGCAGCTGCCTGCACCCCACCACAGGAGTAAGAGCACCCAGAGTGGAAGGATGAGGGTGGGAATGGAGACTGAGCAGACAACACTTAGGAAATGAGACAGGGCTGGTCTGGCCACGGATTCCACAGGGAGCAGCCATAGAGAGAGAGCAGAAACTCCGGAAGTGAGTGGTGAACCAATGTGCTCAGATTTCTTGGGAATGGTCTGATTTAACATATTGTGCCTCTCTTCCTTTAAACCATTAAAACTCTCAGATGTTTTGATGCTTCAGAATACAAACTCCATTTGCCAGACCCACGTTTAACATTAAGAAATAGCATTGGCCGGGCGTGGTGGCTCATGTCTGTAATCCCAGCACTTTGGGAGGCCGAGGCGGGCGGATCACGAGGTCAAGAGATCGAGACCATCCTGGCCAACATGGTGAAACCCCACCCCATCTCTACTAAAAATACAAAAATTGGCCGGGCATGGTAGTGCACGCCTGTAGTCACAGCTACTCAGGAGGCTGAGAGAGGAGAATCACTTGAACCCAGGAGGCGGAGGTTGAAGTGAGCCGAGATCACGCCACTGCACTCCAGCCTGGTGACAGAGTGAGGCTCCGTCTCAACAACAACAACAACAAGAAATAGCATTGCAGCTTTTGTCATTTATTTAGAAAAACACTGAGTTTGCTCTAACTGAATTGGGAAATACCCATATCCAATAACACGCAGATTCTTAGGGAACATTAGCAAATCCTCTGAGTTTTTAAGACATCAACAGTGGATGGGTATGCTTACATAGCAAGACTCAGGGAAGGCCTGTGCTGCTCCCAACTCCTGGGGCCCCCGCTTGCCAAATAAATATAAGTCATCCAACATCTCCTGCTGCCGACCGTGAGCTTGACGCTGCATCCCACAGTGGACTGAGATGGGGAAGATGGGCCTCTGCCACCTTGGAGCTCTCAGGATGGTCAGATCCCCTGAGAGTAACGGAGAGCACAGACCCTTGGAGATGGCGAAGCCCTCACCATTCCCTCTCTGACCCTGCATCCACTCACAAAGTTCATCCGATTCAGGGGCAACCAGAGCTTCGTGCCCTGCCGCTCTCTGCTCCCACCTAAGAGATTGAGCATCCATCCTGTAAAGCTCACTGCAGGTTTTCCTTGAGCAAGGGGTCAGCCAGTGGGGATTATTTTGGGGATTCTGGGAAGGTTCCTGCCTTGAAATGTTCTCCTTCATGGTGCTATGCTGCTTAAACCCTCTTTTGAGTAAATGCTGCTCTCCACAGCAATGTTTTTCAAAAAGTGAGTACCAAGCCCAGTGCGGTGGCTCACACCTGTGAGTTTGAGACCAGCCTGGGCCACATCACAAGACCTCGTCTGTAAAAAAATTAGCCTGGCATAGTGGCGTGTGCCTGTAGTTCCAGTTACTTGGGAGGCTGAGGCAGGAGGATCACTTAAGCCCAGGAGTTCAAGAGTGCAGTGAGCTGTGATCGCACCACCGCACTCAAGCCTGGGCGACAGAGTGAGACCCCATCTCTGAAAAAGAAAAAACAAAAAGCAAGTGCTGATGGAGAGAGTTTTAGGACAGATTTCTGCATATTTACCTTATATATTTATATATTTGTATATTTTCCTTACACTCCCTTAGGATACTTTTCTATATATGCCTAGGAATGGAAGTGCTAGTAGACCAGCCTGAGAGCGGATTAGTTAACTAAACTATATCTTAGATAATAGAAAATAAATTTGTATTGCCCAGTAAGTTATAATGAAGGAAATGAAATACTGAAGGTCCATGTACCCATCCCAGCTCCAACCTAGTGTGCTGATCCTGGCCATCAGAGAGGACATGACTTTCCCATTTGCTGGTGGAACAAATCACCACAAATGTAATGAGCTGAGAGCTTGTCGCCAAGGGGTTCTGCCGTGCAGTGAGCTGGAGCTCTGTGGCAGGGTGTGCAAGCAGCCCACGGTGCTGGCTCGTGTTGGTGGCATTCTGAGCGTGGGGAAAGCATGTGTTAACAATGCACCATAACATGTTCCATTAGTTATGTGTGTATGTGTGTTTCGAGGTAAATATTTCGGAGTTAAAAACCATTTTAGCAAATTATGCTAAAATGATGAGCATGTGTGAGGTAGCATTCCACAGTGTTTCCAGTTACTTCTGAACAACTCTTCTGTTTTATTTGAATGTTTTACTAAGGAGGTATTTTCTTCTGCAGCCACATATCACGAACACAGTAGCTTTCTACAGTTTACATGCAGCCAGTATGGAGTGGAGTTTGGCCTTAAACTCAGGCAGTTTGGCTCCAGAAACTATGCGTTTAATTCTGTCCCTATTCTGATAGAGTCAAGGTCTCACTTACTGCAGAGGACAGAGCTGTCAGGGTGTAGGGAGATCACACTGAGAAGCACCAGTCTTGGGTGTTTCCAGCACCTGGTGTGGTAAAGCGATCCCTGGCTGCACAGCTGTGGTCATTAAGATGTTCTGGAAATGGCAGGCTCAGCCCAACGCATTAGCCCTTCTCACCAGCAGCAGGACAGGGACTACAGAGGGGTCCGCCTCCTCCAGCTGTCAGTTCACATGTCAGGTCTGGAGGCCATGATCTGACCCTCTGTGCTTGGCGTGAGGCTGGGTGACAGCCAGCCCACCAGGCTGCAACCTTCTCCTGCCCTGGCATTTCAGATGGGTTCTTATGCCCAGAATTGTGTCTCTGCCCTTTTGAGGCCCTGAAGGTAATCAGGCTCTCTGCACACACAGGCGGTTTGCACAGGCCTGGCACCCTGTGGTGCACGTCAGCCCATCTCTCACAGCACAGCTGCTCCACTTACCCTGGCTGGGGGCCAGCTCAGAATCCCAAACACTACCACCTGTCTCTCATTGAGTCCAGCTACTTCCTAAACCTCCTCCCGCCTGATTAGATCCCTTTGCTCATGCTGCAAGAGGTGGTAGGTGACCCTCTTCCCCCAGCATTGTCAGAAAAGCTGCTTCCTTTCTCCTGGGACCAAGGGAGCTGCCTCCTCATCCTCCAAACCAGGCTTGTCTTTCCCCAAATCCCAAACACGTGCAAAACTTACTGGATCCAGTGGAGGAAGCGCCTCCACCTCAACCCCAGAGATCAGCGTGCCAAGGAGGGAGTGACTACCCTGTAGGGACTGCTCCATCAATGGGAAAGCCAGCATCAACTTCTAATGAACCAGACAATGGATGCCAACCTGCTGGAGGGCCGAAGGGGCCAAACTTGCACAATCTGCAATGTTATCGGCTGCTCCTGGGAACACCAGGCACAGTCCTTCCATCTCCAGGTTCCAGTTCTTCATTCCTCAAGAGTCCTTCTGGAGAGCTTCCATGAAGAAGTGGGGAGCGGTTCCCAGCTTGTGGTAGCGAAATATCTTTCACTGACAGATGGTTCCCTAACTGGAAAGGAGAAGCCTCTGGATAGAATGTTGGAAGGGCCACTGAAGGAGAAAGAAGTTAGCACAAAGAGCATTCCCTCTACCCCAAAGGCTGGGCTCGGGGGCTCACACCTATAATCCCAGCACTTTGGGAGGCTGAGGCAGATGGATCACATGAGGTCAGGAGTTCGAGACCAGCTGACCAACAGGGTGAAACCCAGGTCTCTACTAAAAAAAAAAAAAAAAAATTAGCCAGGCATGGTGGTGCACAGCTGTGGTCCCACTTACTTGGGAGGCTGAGGCATGAGAATCACTTGAACCTGGGAGACGGAGGTTGTAGTGAGCTGAGATCGCACCATTGTACTCCAGCCTGGGCAACAGAGCAAGACTCTGTCTCAAAAAAAAAAAAAAAAAGAGCATTTCTTCCACCCCAAAAAATCAATGGATGACATAGGAGACCCTGACCCAACGCAAGCCCTATCATGCCTCCTGGGCCATAGTTAAGCTGTGTGAGAAGACAAGGGTCTTTCTAAGTTACTTCTACTTGTAATAAACACTGGATGTATTTATTCCGTGAAAGAAACTGTGCCTCACTGGCAAGATGTAACACAGGATACAAAATCATGTCTCTACCACTCGTTGTGTGCTAAGCCACCGCTACCTGTACTCATGCTCCCCACTCTGTCCTTAAGACCACAAAATTTGAAATGAACATATTTATATGCAGATGTTGAGGCACGAAGCAGCAGGATGCCTGGGTTCCTGCATGGTGTGACATTAGAAATGTGACCTTCATATTCAGTGTCTTGTGAACTGCATACTGTTAAGATAGAATTTTAGAGTTGGCTCACACTGAGCAATGCCAGAAATAAACTCCCTCCCATCTTCCATTTCACTTTAAATTTTTACCTCCAAAATTAAGGGAAAGCAAAAAAGGAACTGCAGTGATATCATGTTGTGATGGTTAAACATACTAGAAATTACAGAAGTGCAAGAAGATAATTTTTCAAGATTTTAAATCTACAAACTTTAGTGATAATTTTGTTAGGTAAGATCATGGAAATGTAAGAAAATGTCTGCATCTTTGCAAGAGGCATGCTAAAGTATTTAGGTGTAAAGTATCATGATGCCTGACTTTAAAATACTTCAGCTGAAACGAAAGATTTTTAAAAGTGGCAAAATGTCAACAATTGTTAAACCAAGACTTACAGGTGATGAGTATACTAGTCTCTCTACTTTTCTGCATATCTGAAAAATTCTCAGGGAAAGGCAGGAAAAAGCAGTTCTTCGTTTTAAGAGCAGATTTTTGGGAGGAGGGCAGGCATTGGTCTTGTTTTTCTTCCTCTGATTACTAAATCATACGGTTTATTATAAACGTTAGATTAGACTGAAAAACCACAGATAGGAAGATTAAAGTCATCTATCATGTTAACACTCAGAGACAACTCAGGAGTGACCACTGTCAATATTCAAATGCATTTCCTTCCATGCATATTACAAACTGTTGAGACCTGCACCGTATAAAGATGAAACATATGAATTTGCCAATATTTGACCATCTTAACTGACAAAACAGAAATTCATGCAATTCTTCTCTCTCTGTTGCCCTTTCACCATGGGATGTTGCAGAAAGAAGGCCCTTGCCAGATGCTGGCACCTCGATCTTGGACTTTCCAGCCTCCAGAACTATGAGCCAGTAAAGTTCTATTCATTATAAATTACCCAGTCTCGGCTATTCTGATACAGCATCATAAAACAGACTGAAACAGGGGGTTATCTAGATTCATAATATACCAGCAGGAACACAGGGGTGTGGCACATTTCCTGAGCAGGCTTTGCAGATCATGAGCAGAAGGTAAATGCTGCAGGTTCCCTTGTATGTGCCACATTGGGGTAGACTGAATAATGGCCCCCAGAGATATCTATGTCCTATTCCTAGAACCTCTGAATGTTACCTTACGTGACAAAAGAGACTTTGCAGATGTGACTAATTAAGTTCAGGAATTTTTGATGGGAAGATTATCTGGGTAGGTCCTAAATGTATTCACACGTGACCTTGTAAGAGGGAGGAAGAGGGAAATTTGACACAGAAGAAGTGGGAAATAGGATGCTGAAGCAAGATGTTACCCTGCTGGCTTTGAAGCTGGAAGAAGGGGCTGTGAGCCAAGGAATGTGAGGGGCACAGCTCTAGAACCTGGAGAAGACAAGAAAATTATTCTCCCCTAAAGCCTCCAGAGGGAGTGCAGCCTCGCTGACACCTTGGTCTTGGCCTAATGAAACTGATTTTAGATTCTGACCTCTTCCAGAACTACAGAAGAATAAGTGTATTTTTAAAAATTTTTAACTTTTAAAATTATTTTGTTATATTATTTATTAATTTGAGACAGGGTCTTGTGCTGTCTCCCAGGCTGGAGTGCAGTGCTGTGATCATAGCTCACTGCAGCCCTGACTTCCTGAGCTTAAGTAATCCTTCTGCCTCAGTCTCCTGAGCAGCTGGGTTTACAAGTGTGCACCAGCAGGTCTATTAATTTTTGTTTGTTTTTTTTTTTGAAACCGATTCTCGCTCTGTTGCCCAGACTGGAGTGCACTGGTGCGACCTCGGGTCACTGCAACCTCCACCTCCAGGGCTCAAGCAATTCTCCCGCCTCAGCCTCATGAGTAGGTGGGATTACAGGCACATGCCACCAAGCCTGGCTGATTTTTGTATTTTTAGTAGAGATGGAGTTTCACCATGTTGGCCAGGTTGGTCTCGAACTCCTGACCTCAGGTGATCCACCCATCTCAACCCCACAAAGTGCTGGGATTGCAGGCACGAGTCACTGTGCCTGGCCTGTATTTTTTACAGAGATGAGGGTCTCACTATATTGCCAGGCTTGATCTTGAACTCCTGGCCCCAAGTGATCCTCCTGACTCAGCATCCCAAAGTGCTGGGTGTGAGCCATCACTTCCTGCTGTGTGTGATTTTAAGCCATCAGATTTGTGGTAATTTGTCAGCTCATCCATAGGAAACTAACACACACAGCAAACACTGAAGCTCCTTCTTTCAATCCGAATTAGAAGTCTGGGATTTCTGTGTGTGTGCAACCACTACCAGTTTTCTAGACACTCTTCAGAAGCAAAATATTGTGGGAGGGCAACGCAAGTGAGAATGAGGAAGAGAATAACCTAGACCCAAAGCAGGCTTCCAAAGCTATGTGGGAGGCTGGGTTCCAGCTGATACACTACTTAAGAACAAAAGGATAAAAAAGAAAAAAAAAAGAAATTCATACAATGCAACCGAATCCATAAATATCCCATGCCACTAACACTGACCTTCAACCTAACTTTACTGGCTGCAGAATACTCAGGAGGTGAATATACTTTAGTTTTTTTTTACAAACATTTAACTATTTTGAAAGTTACTGGGCATTTGTATGACTCCTAAGTTTTTGCTCTATAATGATGTGATTTGCATTTTGGTGCATACATCAGTATTTGATTCTCAGATTATTTCTTTAGGTAGCTTCCCACAAGTGAAAGGTCATGAAGGTGTTTAAGGTTCCTGACGCATATTGCCAAATTATTTTTCAAAGATTCTGTTCTGCCCACGACAGGTAATGAAAGTGACTTTTGATACAGTCACAGCAGCATTAGAGACCCCTTTTATGAATACATTTACTAACACAATGGAAGAAAACGTGCATGCCAAGTTGTATTGATTTACTTTTCTTTGGTTTGGGGAAGATTTTCAATAGTTCTTTCTCTATCTCTTTGTGCATTATTTGCCCACGTGTCTCTGAGAGTTGTAATATTTTTTATCTTCCAGTATCAACATCTTTTCATGAAGTTTTCCCCTCTGATTATAACACTAGTACATTGTCACTGCAGAAAATGTAAAAGGTGTAAAAAATAAAGTTACTAAATCACTCCATAATCTCATCACGCAGACTTAACCACTGTTATTATTCTGGTATAATAATTTTCTTCATGATGTTTTTTGTTTTGCTTTTCTGAGGTACACATACACACACACTCACATGCACACACGGGTGCATACACATGTACACACATGCACACCCACCCACATACATGCAAACATACCACATACACAAACACTCATGAACAAAACACACATACATACACACACAGGCATACATGCACACACAGTTGAGTGTGTTGTACATAAATTCCTCCTTCCTTTTCTAGTTGCCATTGGTCTTAGTCTGCTTTGCACTGCTAGGATAGAACACCTAAGATCAGGTAACTTATAAAGAACAGAGGTTTATTTCTTACAGTTCTGGAGCTGAGAAGTTCAAGGTCAAGGTGGCTACCTTTGCTGAGGGCCTGCTTGCTGTATCATCCCATGGCAGCAGGCAGAAGGGCAAGAAAGGGCCAAGCCCACTTTCATAGCAAACCCACTCTCACAATAAAGACCTTAATCCATTCATAAAAGCAGAGCCCTCATGACCTAAACACCTCCTAAAGGCCTCACACTTCTCAACACTATTACACTGGGGATTAAGTTTCCAACACATGAACTTCGAGACACATTCAAACCGTAGTACCATTATATTATGGGAATTTTAACATGTCGTTAAATGTTCCTCATAAGCCTTTATACTCCAGCATGTCATCTTATACACGTAGAAAAATTTAATTTTCTTGTCATTGGATATTTTAATTGTTTTACATTGTTGTAATATTTAACAAGCCTATAATTAACATGTTTTTCTATAAGTACTTGGTGTAGATGAATAATATTAATCTTTTATCCCCATTTATTTGTGGTAAGCATTTTTCCAAGAGTTTTGATCTTTGGTTTTGGCTTCTTATCTTTTTTTTGCCTTTTGTCCCATTTTTTTCATTTTATTTTATTTTACTTATTTTTATTTATTAATTTTTTTTACTTTAAGTTCGGGATACACGCGCAGAACGTTCAGGTTTGTTACATAGGTATACATGTGCCATGGTGGTTTGCTGCACCTATCAACCAGTCATCTAGATTTTAAGCCCTGCATGCATTAGGTATTTGTCCTAATGCTCTCCCTCCCCTTGCCCCGCAACCCCTGACAGGCCCCGGTGTGTGACGTTCACTTCCCTGTGTTCATGTGTTCTCGTTGTTCAACTCCCACTTAGAGTCGAGAACATGCGGTATTTGGTTTTCTGTTCCTGTGTTAGTTTGCTAAGAATGATGGCTCCCACCTTCATCCATGTCCCTGCAAAGGACATGAACTCATTCTTTTGTGTGGCTGCATAGTATTCCATGGTGTATATGTGCCACATTTTATTTATCCAGTCTATCATTGATGGGCATTTGGCTTGGTTCCAAGTCTTTGCTATTGTAAATAGTGCTGCAATAAACAGATGTGTGCATGTGTCTTTATAGTAGAATGATTTACAATCCTTTGGGTAATGGGATTGCTGGGTCAAATGGTATTTTGGTTCTAGATCCTTGAGGAATTGCCACACTGTCTTCCACAATGGTTGGACTAATTTACACAACAGTGTAAAAGCATTCCTATTTCTCCACATCCTCGCCAGCATCTGTTGTTTCCAGACTTCTTAATGATTGCCATTCTAACTGGCGTGAGATGCTAACTCATTGTGGTTTTGATTTGCATTTCTCTAATGAGCAGTGATGATGAGCTTTTTTTCATATGTTTGTTGGCCGCATCAATGTCTTCTTTTGAGAAGTGTCTATACATATCCTTCAGCCACTTTTGGATTGGGTTGTTTTTTTCTTGTAAATTTGTTTAAGATACTTCTAGATTCTGGATATTAGACATTTGTCAGATGGACAGATTGCAAAATTTTCTCCCACTCTGTAGGTTGCCTGTTCACTCTGATGATAGTTTCTTTTGCTGTGCAGTTTAATTAGATCCCATTTGTCAATCTCGGCTTCTGTTGCAATTGTTTTTGGTGTTTTAGTCGTGAAGTCTTTGCCCATGTCTATGTCCTTAATGGTACTGCCTAAGTTTTCTTCTAGCCTAGGTTTTCTTCTAGCCTAAGTTTTCTTCTAGCCTAGGTTTTCTTCTAGCCTAAGTTTTCTTCTAGCCTAGGTTTTCTTCTAGCCTAAGTTTTCTTCTAGCCTAGGTTTTCTTCTAGCCTAGGTTTTCTTCTAGCCTAGGTTTTCTTCTAGCCTAAGTTTTCTTCTAGCCTAGGTTTTCTTCTAGCCTAAGTTTTCTTCTAGCCTAGGTTTTCTTCTAGCCTAGGTTTTCTTCTAGCCTAGGTTTTCTTCTAGCCTAGGTTTTCTTCTAGGGTTTTTATGGTTTTAGGTTTTACATTTAAGCCTTTAATCCAACTTGAGTTAATTTTTGTAGAAGGTGTAAGGAAGGGGTCCGGTTTCTGTTTTCTGCAGATGGCTAGCCAGTTTTCCCAGCACCATTTATTAAATAGGGAATCCTTTCCCCGTTGCTTGTTTTGTCAGGTTTGTCAAATATCAGATGGTTGTAGAAGCGTAGTGATATTTCTGAGGTCTCTGTTCTGTTCCGTTGGTCTATATATCTGTTTTGGCACCAGCACCATGCTCCATTTTTTAAATCCAAAAGAATTATGACTTATTTTTTTTCTGAGTGATTTCATTGCGTAATTCCGTTGCTTCCCTTCCAGACAGCAGATTCTTCCTCTGATATTTTCTCTGGCATTTGCATAACTTGGGCTTGTCTACATTTTAGCCTTTAATTGGCTGTGAACATATGATCGAAGGGTTTAGCTTAGTTTATTTTTTATACCTGGTATAGCAAGTGAAAACTAATACACCATCTTTCAAATTCTACCAACTGTTTCATCATTATTGCTAGTTTTCAGGCTGTGTGCAGTTTGAGTTTTTTATCTGGTTTGTTTTGGCTTCATAATCAGTTTAGTGGGCAGCCTAGGGAGGGTATCAGGGGCAACCTTCGCCTTGATCTTGTTGCGTAAGATGAATTACCTGATCTGGAAGGGTCTGTCCCCAGGTATGCATCCCACCTTCCTCACAGGGAAGCATTTGCATCTATCATAAGGGCCAGACTGGTTTGGAATAAGGGAAGCTACACACTTGATGTTAAATGACTGGCGTCTGTCCCCAGTGAGGCCAATGACCAATGGTGGCCAACAAAATCCCTTAGCAGCATCTGGGGAACTGTAGGGGTGCGACCAGCATGCGGTGCCTCCTGCATAAAACAGCAGCTCAGATGAAGGGGTAGCTCCCTGTGGATGACATGGCCCCTCTCGCCCCCTTTCTCCTCTGGCACAGCTGCTTATACTGGGGTCATCATTCCAAGAGGCCCAACAACCTATGCACAGGAGAAGAAGAGGAGCAGGCCAAAAACAGTGTGTCTCTCTGGTTGGAATTTGAAATGGAAGAATGGAAATTATAAGGCAATTAAGAGAAGGAAGAGAGGGAGATAGTTCTAGTTGGGAATCTTGGCTGCAACTCTAACTTACACAAACACTGTATTAGGAGGGTGTGTATGGAGCCCACATCATGGAGCGTTTGGCTATGCCACACTAGGTCCTGAGGGCTTCATGTCTTTCCCCTTATTTAATTCTCCAACAAATCTCAGAGACAGGTTTGATTAGTGTCGCCCTTTCACAGATGAGGATACCAAGGCACTGTTAAATTTAGTGACTTGACTGGGTGCAGTGGCTCATGCCTGTAATCCCAGCACTCTGGGAGGCTGAGGTGGGAGGATCACCTGAGGTCAGGAGTTTGAGACCAGCCTGGCCAACATGGCAAAACCCCGTCTGTACTAAAAATACAAAAATTAGCCAGGCATGGTGGCATGTGCCTGTAATCCCAGTTACTTGGGTAGCTGTGGCAGGAGAATCGCTTGAACCTGGGAGGTGGAGGTTGCAGTGAGCCGAGATCGCGCCACTGCACTCCAGTCTGGGCGACAGAGTGAGACTCCATCTTAAATAAATAAATAAATCTGGTGACTTGAGCAAGGCCACACACAGCTCATAAGCAGTGGAGTCAAGATTGGGATGCAGGCTGTCTGACTCCAGAACTCAGGTTCTTTTCCTCCTGTCAGCAATCTCCACGTATGTAAGATTATCATTCTCCCAGAATCTTCAGGAAGCCTGCCTTCCATGGGTCTGGGAACTCCTCTAAAGTAGGAGGAGTGACCAGGGGCTGGCAGCCAGGAGCCCTGAAGGTCCGGGAAAGTGACCTCCCTTCAAGAGAACCTGCCATGAGGGCTGTAGTCGGATGGCGACCCCTGGCAGCAGCATCCTTGCACCTGCTGAGACCACGCAGCTCTGGCTGTAGCCACGGTCCCAGCACAGCAGGCGTATGACAGTCGGCCACTCCTGCCCAGGCCAAGGGCCCTTGAAGAGCCAACTTTTGCTCTGGGGCTGCCATGGCCTGCCCGGCATGTGTTGTCAGAGCTGTGCTGTGGTCCCAGGCTCTTCCTACTCATTCCTCCTTCCTTCCTTTTTTTCCACTAATGCCAGCCCTGCTTAGAGGCCAGAAGGCTCTCCCTGCCTTCTCCTGCCCCACTCTTTTCATCCTCCCCAGGCAGTTGGCCCAATCAATCTTTAGCACATTGTTTTGGGTTGAATTGTGTCCCCCCAAATGATGTTGAAGGGTGGTGGTTAATTTCATACTTAACTAGGCCACCGGATGCCCAGACATTTGATCAAACATCATTATGGGTGTTCCTGTATGAGATTCATGTTTGACTCAGGAGACCCAGGAAAGCAGATGGCCCTCCCCAGTGTGGGTGAGCCTCTTCCAGTCAGTTGAAGACCTGAATAGAACCAAAATGCCAACCCTCCTTCAAGTAAGTTGAAACACTTTTCTCGTGATTGCCTTGCGTTGGGACATTGGTTCTTTCCTTGCCTTCAGACCCAAACTGCAACATCAAGCTCCTCCTGGGTCTTGAGCCTTCTAGCATTCAAACTGGAGCTGCACCGTTGGCTCCTCTAGGTCTCCAAGTTTCTGACTGCAGATATGGGGACTTGTCAGCCGCCATAATCATGTGAGCCAATTCCTTATTTTATCTCTATCTGTCTATCTATTGATTGATCTTTCTACCTATATCCTATTGGTTTTGTTTCTCTAGAGAAAGCTGACTAATTCAAAGTCCTAACCCCCAGTATTGGTGAATGTGACCTTATTTAGAAATAGGGTATTATATGGTTTGACTGTGTCCCCACCCAAATCTCATCTTGAATTGCAGCCCCCATAAGTTCCACATGTTGCTGGAAGGACCTAGTGGGAGGTAATTGAATCATGGGGGCAGATCCCCCCATACTGTTCTCATGGTAGTGAATAAGTCTCACAAGATCTGATGGGTTTATAGGGGAAATCTCTTTCACTTGGCTCTCATTCTCTCTTGTCTGCTGCCATGTGCCTTTCACCTTCCACCGTGATTGTGAGGCCTCTCCAGCCACATGGAATTTTGAGTCCATTAAACCTCTTTTTCTTTATAAGTTGCCCAGTCTTGGGTATGTCTTTATCAGCAGCATGAAAACCGATATACTAAATTGGTACTACAGGACTAATACCGGGCATTTGCAGATGATCAGTTTAAGATGAGGTCAGACTGGGCACGGTGGCTCATGCCTGTAATCCCAGCACTTTGGATACCCTTAGAGCAGGAGTTCAAGACCAGCCTGGCCAACATGGTGAAACCCCATCTCTACTAAAAATACAAAAATTAGCCGGGCATAGTGGCAGGCACCTGTAATCCCAGCTACTCAAGAGGCTGAGACAGGAGAATCACTTGCCGGGAGAAACTCTGCCGGGAGGCAGAGGTTACAGTGAGCCGAGATCATGCCATTGTACTCCAGCCTGGGCAACAAGAGCGAAACTCTGTCTCAAAAAAAAAAAAAAAAAAGATGAGGTCATTAGAGTGAACCCTAGTCCAGTATGACTGGTGTCCTAATAAGAAGGAGGATGCTTGGACACTGATGCAGATGCGTGCAGAGGGAAGATGGTGTGAAGATACAGGGAGAGTCATCTCCAAGCCAAGGAACTCCTAAGGCTATGAGAAGCCAGGAGAGAGGCACAGAACAGGAGAGAGCCCTCAGAAAGAGCCAACACCTGATTTAAGACTTCTGGCCTCCAGAACGGTGAGACGTTGTTTAACATGGCTGTTGTTTAAATCAACCAGTCTGTAGCACTTTGTTGGGGCAGCCCTAGCAAACTAACATAGTTGTCTAATTTAGTCTTGGCTTCTGCTCTTTAGAAGACCTGAACTGACAGACAAGGGGAGTGTAATTCCCACAGACCAAAGAAGAAATCATGTCCTCTTGAGTTGTACAATGTTTTGTGCTGCTCCACCCTAGAGCTGCCTTGGTTCCAGGCAGTATATCTTTAAAATACCCACCACTCCCCTTCTTCTTAAGCACTTTGAGAGGCCAAGGTAGATGAATCTCCATTCTTGCCAGCAACCATTGGTTCTCAGGGTCTGCCTTAGTCAGGGCTCAGAACCATGTAAGGCACATGGCTGGAGATACTTTTTGGCTGAATGTCAGGGACCTGAGGCATGGATAGAGATAACCACAGAACATGGCATGCACAATTGGCTCCTGGAGGGAGGAAAGGCTTTCCTGGAGGTAGGATTCATGCCGCAAGTCATAAGAAGGAGGCTCTGAAGCTCTTGACTGGGGGTTACGCTGGACTAGACTGAGGACATTCCCAAGAGGTCTGCACAGTGAGACTAGGAAAGGGCCAGCCATTCTTCTGGGGAGGACTCCCTGGACTATCCCAATGGCCAGCTCCAAAGACATGAGGAGAGATCCCAAAATGGACATCTGAGCTGGTTTTCCTATGCCCACCTCTGCCGAGACCAGCTCGGTCAGGGAGACCCTAACCCAGCTGCGCTAGAGGAATTAAAGGCACACACACAGAAATATAGAGGCGTGAAGTGGGAAATCAGGGGTCTCACAGCCTTCAGAGCTGAGAGCCCTGAACAGAGATTTACCCACGTATTTATTAACAGCAAGCCAGTCATTAGCATTGTTTCTATAGATATTAAATTAACTAAAAATATCCCTTATGGGAAACAAAGGGATGGGCCTAATTACAGGAATAGGTTGAGCTAGTTAACTGCAGGAGGGGCATGTCCTTAAGGCACAGATCGCTCATGCTGTTGTTTGTGGCTTAAGAATGCCTTTAAGCAGTTTTCCACCCTGGGTGGGCCAGGTGTTCCTTGCCCTCATTCTGGTAAACCCACAACCTTCCAGCATGGGCGTCATGGCCGTCATGAACATGTCACAGTGCTGCAGAGATTTTGTTTATGGCCAGTTTTGGGGCCAGTTTATGGCCAGATTTTGGGGGGCCTGTTCCCAACACACCTCTAAATCTCATTCTTAGACTCCTGCCCCAGTCCTGCCTTAAGGGACGCTGAGGCATCACCAGCTCAGCCTGGACTCAGCCTCAACCGTAACCCAAGCTCTTTCATCCTTGCACACTGACTTGCCTCTATCAGGGTAAGCCATGTGGCAATGGTGGTTTCAGGGACCCAGTGTTTCCCTAGGGAATTCTGTTGTGTTTTTGCCTCTCACAGTTTAAGTCTGAGCATCTGGTGAGTCCGTTTCTTTTAAATTTTTGTTAAAACATAAGAAAGAAAGAAATATCAGCTAGTCTGAGTTAGCAGTTAAAGTGCCTCTAACCTCAGTGACTCCTAGCCAGCCAAGACCAATAGGTTGAAACTTCCTAAGTCTTTGTTGTTTTTCTGTTAATATATATTTTTTTCTAACTCTAAAATAAAACATTTCTAGTGTAGAATATTGGGAAATTAGAGAAAAATAAAGGAAGAAAGTAAGGATCTCACATAATCACATCAGGGATAATTACCATTAATATTTGCTATGGTAGCAATTTTCACAAGATAGCCACTTTTTCAAAAAAATGACTTGATGAAGAAATCGACATTTAAAAAAATATATACAGGCACTAATTTTAAAATAAAGTGACTCAAACTGCCCCCTGGGCAATTTATACCTGCAATGTGATTGAGGGTATGGTCCAGGAAAAGAGGTTGCACCTACGTACTGGGCCATAGAAGATGTTCTGAGAATACTGAGATTTCGCTCTGAGAATTTACGTAAAGTCTGCATTTTTGTAAAAGAGAAATCATGACATGAAAACACTTAGTAATTCTTACATGGTAATTATTGAGTACTATGCATTTCACAAGTATTGGTTTTAAAATTTTCATACAGTTCATGAGTTCAGACCTAGTTGTATGAGTTAGAAGCTGTTACTATCCCATGTGAGAAATAAGGAAACACCAGACCTTAATAACTTGCTCAGTCACTTAGCTTGATGGCAGCAAACTGATATTTAAACCCAAGTATTTCAGGTTCTCAAGTTCTTCTTCTTCTTCTTCTTTTTTTTTTGAGACAGAGTCTCTCTCTGCCATCCAGGCTGGAGTGCAGTGGCCCAATCTCAACTCACTGCAACCTCTGCCTCTGAGGTTCAAGCAATTCTGCTACTTCAGCCTCCCGAGTAGCTGGGATTACAGGTGCCCACCACCATGCCCAGCTAATTTTTGTATTTTTAGTAGAGATGGGGTTTCGCCATGTTGGCCAGGCTGGTCTCGAACTCCTGACCTCAGATGATCTGCCCACCTCGGCCTCCCACAGTGTTGGGATAACAGGCATGAGCCACCGTGCCTGGCCTCAGGCTCCCAAGTTCTTAATCACCATGGTATACTGCAAACATTGAGTGAGTACCACCAGGAGACCCCTGGTGAAATGCAGCAAAAAAAAATCTCACTAGAGAAATCAAGATGGCAGCTAGTCAAGTTGAACACATGGCTGAATTACCCATGTTTACTTCCAATGTTACCTTAGTTCTTGAATTCATCTTTATCAAATACTAGATGGATACTCGAGTCTGTTTGGGGGATTTCTGTTGTATTTTATTTACCTGTCCCTGGGCTGTTATTGCACCTACTTCAACAGAACACACCTCCACAGTGCAGCTCAGTGGCAGTGGGGACAGCAGGGGGACTTGGGTTTCAGAGTCAGCCTGTCCAGTCTTTCCCAATGACTTTTCTAGTTGAATTTTAAAATTATGTTCAAAGTTCCAAAAAGAATCAAAGGGATAGTTTCAGTGTAATCATATTAAACTGATAAGGCTAAGCTCAGTGGCTCATGCTTGTAATCCAACCACTTTCAGAGGCCAAAATGGGAGGATCACTTGAGCCTAGGAGTTTGTAACCAGCCTGGGCAATATAGTGAAACCCCCATATCTATAAAAAAAAGTTTTAAAAATTAGCCAGGTGTGGTGGTGCATGCATGTAGTCCCAGCTACTCAAAAGGCTGAGACAGAAGGATTGCTTGAACCTGGGAGTTCAGGAGTTCAAGGCTGTAGTGAGCTATTATCGCACCAGTGCATTTCAACCTGGGCGACAGAGTGAGACCCTGTCTCTAAAAAAATAATAAAGAAACATTCATTATAGCAATAGCTAAGTCTCCTTCTTATATCCCTTGGCAAAGTTTTATGTTCTTCTAATATGGCCTAAGAATTTTGTTTTAGTTATGCCTTAGTTAGTTTCAATTTTATTCCTCTTTATATTATGTTTTAGGTGGTAATTTTTGTCACATAGGAAAACTATATGTGTATGTGTATATATGCACACACACATAAATATGTACATATATACACATATACACTTATATTTAATTTTTATTCTACACAATCCTGCTGTACTCATTAGTTGTAATAGTTTTTGGTTGTCATTGCCTCACAACTGTGACTAATGATAATTTTGGCTTCTTTTTCGTAATTATATGTTACTTATTGAGTTGGCTAGGATTTTCAGAAGAGTGTTGAATAATAGCAAGGCTGTTAATATAGCAAAAAAAAAAAGAAAGTAAAAGAATAAAAGAGAAAATAATTAATTCATCCCTATATTTCCATGCATTAGGATTCTAAGGAAGTATTTTAAATGGTGATAAAAATAATACTTAATGCAGTCAGAACCAACATATACTTTTAACTAAAAAAAATTTGGCTCCAAAATTTTATAAGATGTTTTCATTTTCTTTTTGAAAAGGAGAAAAATAGAGATATATCAGGGTTCTGGGTGAACTTTCAGCATAGATTTGTTCAGAATGAGGTGCTGTTCTGACATGTCAAAGATCCAGAGCCGAATGTTTTGGTTCCTCTGAGAGAGAAAAGGAACAAAGGGAAGCAGGAATAGTCCCAAGATGTTCTCAGACACACATGGGACTTTCGCAGCAATAACTAGAAGAGACTCTGCTGGGAGAGGCCAAGGTCCCAGTTCAGCCAGTGAAGCCCAGGGGTAGTGACATGGAAGTATTGATATTATCGTACCCACCTCTGATTCTTGGGAAGATTCTATATCCTATAAATATAAGTGGTAAGAAGAGAGGAGAGTCTTATATTTGTTTGGTTGTACCTTTAATCACACCCAGTCATATAAGTTAGAAGCTGTTACTATCCCATGTGATAAATAAGGAAAAAATAAGGAAACACCAGACCTGAATAATTTGCTCAAACTCACTTAGTTTGTTAGTGGCAAAATGAGATTTGAACCCAAGCAGTTCAGGCTTCCAAGTGTGGAAGGTGTTGCCAAGTTATTGCAGGGTGGAGTGGAGACTGTAAAAATCTAGGAAGATTTTACCCACATATTGCTTTGTGTGTTTCTAAGTCCTTGTTGTGTATTAAAGCCCTCTTAACCAACCTTCCCTTAACCACCATTGCTGGATTGACCAATATTCTTCATGTCTTCTGCAAAATAGACTCAGTGTGGCCATATTTTATATATATATATATAGAGAGAGAGGAAGAGAGAGACAGAGAGAGGGAGTTTTGCTCTTGTCGGCCAGGCTGGAGTGCAATGGTCCGATCTCGGCTCACTGCAACCTCCACCTCCTGGGTTCAAGCTATTCTCCTGCCTCAGCCTCCTGAGTAGCTGGGATTACAGGTGCCCGCCACCATGCCCGGCTCATTTTTTTTTTTTTTTTTTGTATTTTTAGTAGAGATGGGGTTTTCACCGTGTTGGCCAGGCTGTTCTCAAACTCCTGACCTCAGGTGATCTGCCCGCCTCGGCCTCCCAAAGTGCTTGGATTACAGGCGTGAGCCACCACGCCCAGTCTCAGATTTTGAGGCTAGTGGGTTGCTCTCTGATAAATCCTCCTAAGACTCAGGCTGGTTCCCAGGTGACAGTGAGCAGGTCTATGCAAACCTACCTCCAAAGTCCAAGGAAGCTGAGAGGCCGAAGAAAGAGGCTGACAAATCCAGTTTCTTAGAAAGAAACATTTTATAGGGACTTATAAACAGAAGCCATGATGTCCTAGGAGGCCTCAAGATGAGATAGTGGATGGCTTCGCACCATTATCTCCCAGACCCACCGCTTATGTACCCAGGCAGAGGAATGTGTAGGACAACTGCTTAAGGGCAGGATTTACCATAAGTACGTGTTCTTATGTAAAAAACAGTAGATAACATAGAAATCTCCGAGGCCTTCCTGGAACTGGGGTTAATGAGAAGTACGTGGTGGATTAGCATCCAAGATGCAGTTGCTCTGGCCCCCACACCAAGCCCGTTTATGCCAGTTGTATTGGTTGTTATAGTGATGTAATTTAAATAAATACTAGCTGACTCTATGAAGCGTAAGTGCAAAAGGAAAGAGCTATCGTTTATATGAAAATGAAGATGAAGGCTCTGGAAAGACTAAGAATGAGTCTCTTAAAAATGTTTTTAAAAAGTTGTGGCCAAGACATTGGGGGGTGGGGTGGAGATTGTAAACATCTAGAAAGATTTGGGCCAGGTGCAGTGGCTCACGCCTGTAATCGCAGCACTTTGGGAGGCCAAGGTGGGTGGATTGCTTGAGCCCAGGAATTCAAACCCAGCCTGGGCAACATGGCAAAATCCCGACTCTATAAAAAGTACAAAAACTAGCCGGGCACGTTGGTGTGCACCTGTAGTCCCAGCTGTTCAGGAGGCTGAGGTGGGAGGATCAATTGAGCCTAGGAGGTCAAGGCTGCAGTGAGCCTTGATCTTTCTACTTCACTCCACTCCAGCCTCCTGGGTGACAGATCAAGATCTTATCTAAAAAAAAAAAAAAAAAGAAAGAAAGAAAAAAGAAAAAAAGTGAAAAAAAAGAACCCAACAATCCCATTACTGGGTATATATCCAAAGAATTATAAATCATTCTACTGTAAAGACACATGCACACATATGTTTACTGCAGCACTATTTACAATAGCAAAGACTTAGAACCAACCCACATGCCCATCAATGATAGACTAGATAAAAAAAATGTGGCACATATACACCATGGAATACTATGCAACCATAAAAAAGAATGAGTTCATGTCCTTTGCGGGAACATGGAAGAAGCTGGAAGCCATCATTCTCAGCAAACTAACACAAGAACAGAAAACCAAACACCACATGTTCTCACTCATAAATGGGAGCTGAACAGTGAGACCACATGGACACAGGGAGGGGACCATCACACACCAGGGCCTGTCGGGGGGTGGGGGACAAGGGGAGGGAGAGCATTAGGACAAATACCTAATGCATGTGGGGCTTAATGACGGGTTGATAGGTGCAGCAAACCACCCAGGCACATGTATACCTATGTAACAAACCTGCAGGTTCTGCACATGTATCCCAGAACCTAAAGTAAAAAAAAAAAAAAAATTACTATCTTTGTTCTGGTATATAGTTGTACTTTATACATTATGAATAAAAAAGAAAGATTTTACCCACATAGTGCATTGTGTATTTCTAAGTTCTTGCTCTACATTAAAGAAATCTTATCCGAAAAGATCAGATGATGCAATGAAGAGGTAGTATTGCAAGAAGGATGATGCAGAATTCCAGCAAGGAGACCTCACTCAAAGAACAGAACTTGGTTCTCACATCAAAAGAGGGATTTTTATCTCCAACAAATTATATTTGTGTCTCTTAAGTTAAAGTAACCTACTCTAAATATTTGTAATTTCTTAACTAGCTTTTTGTTTCACCGTCGACGACTCTCATGAATGCCTCAGATAGAAGGACTTTTTCTCTGTGTTTCTTTAAAATGAGAAGCTGGTCTGCTGTCGATGGCCTTTAAATACACCCTCCTCTGCCAAGACATGCTCTTTTTAGGTTCTGGGCACAACGCAGCAGATGGTGTTGCGCCGGGTAAGATGAGAGGTGCTGCATTCAGCAAAAAAAAAGCAGACGTCTCAGATGTCCCAGCGCGAGCCACTGGTTAATGGCCGTTTGGTTTTTGGTTTTTTTCCTAAGAAAATATGGGTGATTTCTCACTTTCACATGTCCCAAAGAGCTGTTACTTAGGAATGCTGACCTCATGGGTGGAATTAAAAATGAAATGTTGTGAAATTCTGGTGTGGTGGGTAGGAGCAGATGTGCAGCTCTGGGAAAGATCCTAGGAAGGGGTTTGTGCTCATCCTGCCCCATCAAAACTTACCCAGGAGTTTCTCTGTTGCCCTTGGGAAAGAAGTTGAAAAAGCTGGTCCCATTAGTCACCCTTGCTGGTGGCCTGGGAGGGCTGCATTCCCAAGCAGCATCCCACCGAGGGTCCCCCTGAAAAGGTCACACCCTGAGCTCAGTAATCATTCTCGGCAATGTGCGTGCTGTCAGGCATGGCTTGGAAGAAAAGCTTAGGAGGGGTTGCGGTTTCTGCCTTTGTGGATTTTGAGCATCAGCATCCACAAAACACACAAATTCAAACACATTAAATAATTGTCCTAAAACTCAGGCATGCCGCATCTGAAAGACACGTTGCTTCCTGACACACCGCCCATTTCCCCATACCCCTGCCATTTCCTTTCCAGAGCAAAAAACCCCACTGGCATCCCAACGCTAAATGGTTCATGCCCCCCTGAGTTCAAGGATCCTTTAAGAGTCCTCTGATAAAAGGGGAAAATGCCCTGATAATCCTAATGGGCTTCTCAGTTGCCAATGGAAATTTGAAAAATGTGAAAAATAACAGAGCAAGAAAGATTGTTCAGACGACTGTGGTTGGCAATAATTTGCCCATGGAGTTTTACAAAGGCATCCAAATTAAATCATTCCTCATGATGCATTTTGCTCAATATAGCTCCTGAATATAAAGAATAGTATGACTTATAAAATTCAGCAATAACACGTATGCACAAATTCAACATTTATATTGTTATTTTCTTCATTCGTGGGTTAATGAAGTTGAGAAACCAGCAAGAATGGGGTTGTCTAAAATGCCTGCTACTTTCGATGGCTTTTGGGGGGATAATCAGCACATTTTTCAATTATCCATTTTTATAATGTAAATGACTAATATTTCAGCCTTCATCAGTCATTGTACACTGGAACAAACTGATCGATCAGATCTGCTAGAAGGTGGGAGATGCTCAGTGCAGGACAAGAAGAGCAGGGAGGGCCAGGCACAGTGGCTCACGTCTGTAATCCCAGCACTTTGGGAGGTGAGGCAAGCAGATTGCCTGAGGTCAGGACTTCGAGACCAGCCTGACCAACATGGTGAAACCCCGTCTCTACTAAAAAATACAAAAAATTAGCCAGGCGTGGTAGTGCACGCCTGTAGTCCCAGTACTGGGGAGGCTGAGGCAGGAGAATCGCTTGAACCCGGGAGAAGCAGGTTGCAGTGAGCTGAGATTGCGCCACTGTACTCCAGCTTGGGTGACAGAATGAGACTCCATCTAAAAAAAGAGAGAGAGAAGCAGAGAGTGAGTCTTCTGGTATTAGATTGGTGCAAAAGTAATTGCAGCTTTTAATGGCAAAACCACAATTACTTTTGCACCAGCCTAATAAATAAGGGTCATCTCTGCCTGCTGGGAACTTTTCATGTAGAAGGATCTCCCAGACACCATCTCTCTCCTTCCCTGTGTCTCTTTCTTTCTTATTTCATTCCCATTTAAAGTTTTTATGATCTTTTGCCTAATATTTATTTTTATTAACTTCCTTTTCATTTTCCTTGTTTGCTCTCAAGGGTGTCTCTGAAGAAGACAGAGGACTTGAGTCTGCCTGTTGTCCTCAGCACAGACACACCCCGTCCTGACTGTGCAAGAGTAGAACGGGCTGTTGGTGTTTTATCACCGGAAATTTACTGATACAATTTTCTGATCTTCAGAAAATTTGGGAAAAATAAAAAATCAAGCTAGATGCAAATGCAGAAGAATAAAGGGAAGAAGGGAGGTGTTAGGCAGAAGTCCAGAGCTTCATCCTACCAATAATTTCAGAAGGAAAGTGCTATGATTTGAATGTTGGTGTCCCTCCAAAATTCATGTTGAGCCTGAACCCCCAATGCAACAGCATTAAGAGGTGAGACCTTTAGGAGGTGATTAGGTCAGGAGGGTTCCGCCTTCAGAAATGGAATTCATGACCTTATAAAAAGGCTTGGGTGCATCTGTTTGGCCCTTCTGCCATGAGAGGACACGTAGAAGGCCCCATCTATGATGCAGAGACCTCCCACCAGACACCCGATCTGCTGGTGCAGTGATCTTGGACTTCTCAGCCTCCAGAAGTATAAGAAATAAATTCCTGCTGTTTATAAATTATCCATTCTCGGGTATGTTGTTGTAACAGCACTAATGGACTAGGACAGAAGGGTGGACCCAGGTTCCTCTTGCTGCCTTCTGCTCAGGCCGAGTCCCCCCCAGCACGGCTGGGCTGCTGCACCTGGGTCTCACCTATCACCAAAGAGAAGCTGGGCAGGGCCTCAGGGAACTTCCAGAAACGTGAGGAGAGCATTCCTTCCTTGTTCACCTCTCCTGGGGACTTCATGATGATGTATATTCTGCTGAAACTGATCACAGATCTGGTATGATTCTATTCATTTTGTTTCACCATGAATCATAGTACTTGAAACACAGAAAGTAACATAGGGTCATCCTGTTCAATCCTTCTCTTTTTGTACCCCCTGCTCCACTCTCCCCACACTAAGGAAGAGAATAAAAAATAAAATGATGGACCCATCTATGTATGGCAGAATTTTAGTTCCTCTTCTATTCTTGCCAGCCTCTCTTCATATTCCTGAGTTCACAGGCACAAGTAACTGAACCAGCACTTGGCAAATTGTGGAGACAATTAGCCATTTGTTACTTGTTTTAATGAGCCAAGTGGATAATTGTTTCTGGCTAGAGCCACTGGGGATACAATCAGTCCTCTGCGTTCCTAATTTCTGGGTTAAATCTATGCTAGCGGAGTGGTCCTATCTGAAAAAAGACTGGAATGTTGCTCTTAGGATTGATAAAATGTTCTATCCTACTGCAAAAATCATCTCGTTACACCAGACCTGAGATTTACAGTTCACTCCTCACTCCCTTTAGGCGATGACAAAGGTGTTTCTTATAAGTTCCTGCAGGATGGTTGAGAGAGAGCAGAGGACAAGGGAACCATTCTCTTCTGCATTTCCAGGGGAGAGGACAAAGCCACAGGCATCTGCATGTGCCTGCAGCCATCTGCATGGCCATCTCTGCCCTTCTCTTGGGAGATCACAGTTTTGCTTATGTACAACCACTCTGAGCTCTCACTAAACTCATCTTTTCTATCTCAGCATTGAGGCACTGCGGGCGGCTCTCATGGGAAGTCCCTGATGAGCTCTATCAGAAAGGCAGCCTGCCTCTCCAGCCTCACCCATCAGGCCTGCTCTGAAAGCAGCTCCTCTCTTGCCAAGGCGAAGGCTTGGATTTACACCAGCTGTTGTGCACTCCGATTAAGACTGTCGTTGAATCAAACCCTTGAAAGCAGCCCTGATGCCCATGGTGTAGATTGAGTTTTCGTTCATGGGTCTCTCTGTGTGGAGTCTGTAGCTAACACAGATTTAGATATGGCAGTGAGCTCAACTGGAAAGAAGTCCTAATCGCAAGCACATTGGTACTTCTGGATAAGTTTTGGCAAAAGTTATACATTTTTTTGAAGGGTTTGAGGAAGAATAAAGATACACGAAGGCCTTTGTTAAGTAGCTGGATTATTCAATTATGCACAAAAATGGAGAAAAGACTTGGTACGAGTAATTTCAAATGACTGAACTATAATAAAAGTTGGCATTGGAGGATGGAGGACCCATTCTTGAGCGTGTGCGTGTGTGTATGTGTGTGCACGTGTGCAGCAAGGCGGGGGTTGCAGGGGTACGGAAACCTGCCTCATTTGCTGGTGCAACTAACCCTGCTCTTGTGACGTCATCTTTCCCCGCCCCTCCTCTGTAACCTGAAAGTTGTAGGAAAAGAATTGTTCACCACATTGTTTGTGTATGATTAGTTATTCAGCTGTACAAACTTTTTTCTAGTGTATTCACCTCCTAGAAATAGTGGAATTAAGAGAAAAAGACAACTAACTTATTGGAGACTCCTACTACCTACCGGGTGCATCACCTCCATGCCTCATTTAAGTCTCAAGGAGACCCTGGATGTAGGTGTTAATATTCTGTTTTTAAAGATGTGAAATCTGAGGATCAGAGAGGTTAAGTTATTTGCGTAAGATCACACAGCTAGTAGTAGTAGATACAAGAATTGAATAGAGGCAGTTAGTTGCCAAATGCACAGCTCCGTCTACTCTAAAACTGTAACCTAGATGTCAGGGGGACGTTGTCAGTCTTCCACCATTCCTGCAAGTTCCCAGGGGGCTCCTCCTCGTGGTCTCTTCTGTCCTAAATGCTTCTGAGTCTGTGTGAGCTGCCTCTGTTCCATCCCTTAGACACAATGATAAAAAAGCCCAGGCACCTCACCAGTTACATAAGGTATCTACTCACACCAAGCGTTTTGTGGGGCTAGGAACTTGACTAACAGAAGGTTTAGGGGTGAGATCACGAGCTGCAGTGACTTCCTCCTCTCTCCCCCTCCCATTCTGTTCCTTCCCCAGCTCACCCAGTGGGCTCCTGCTTTCGGAACTTTTGTAGAAAGTAAAGCAACCACACTCCATGACCTCTCTCCACGCACGCTAGAGCTGGGAGCACGCCATGGATGAAACACACGGTGAGATGCAGCTCAGGCTTCTCTCCGGGGGCTTCCAAGCAGCCCCACAGAGTTGTTCCAAAATGGAGTCACTCATACTTAAATTCCATGTCACCAAACTGAAACGACGTTGTTTATCTGACATTTGAGAAATCAGAAGGGAGATCCAGTTGTAAGCTATGTGGTAAGAAAGTCCCTCTGCTTCAATCCTTGTGAGGAAGGCAGCCTGAGGTGACCTGATGCCACCCCACCTCTGGTTTGTCTTATGCTATTTCCTTGTTCCTGCTCAAGCTGCCTTACAAAAACCAACTCTTCTGCCCACGGGGCAAAGCACCTTTTCTGTTTCATAGCTGGGTACATCATGACTCATGAATCAAAAACAAAATGGCAACAAGTTTAAAGATCGAATTGGCAAAGGCCAACTTTTTTTTTTTTAATTTGTTTTTGACAGAGTAAAAATCACCTTGTCCTTGAAGAAAAGCATCAAATGAGCCATTTTGTCTAAACTGCCAAATCCGATCTCAACTACACCACTATGGCAATAAGGCACTGATCAAATTTTCCTTTCTGGACATGGCCAGTTCTAACCAGAGGGGAAGGTTCATCATTTAGGGGAGAAAAATGATACAGTATTTGGGACACAATTATACTAAAAAAAAATTATTTGTTGTTTACTTGAAATTTAAATTTAACTGGATGCCCTATATTTTATCTGGCAACCCTAAGAAGGAGGCATAAGAAAGGGATTATGGCCGAGTGTGGTGGCTCATGCCTGTAATTCTAGCATTTTGGGAGGCTGAGGCAAGAGGACTGCTTGAGGCCAGGAGTTTGAGGCTACAGTGAGTCATGATTGCACCACTGCACTCCAACCTGGGTGACAGAGTGAGATCCTGTCTCAAAAAAATAAAAAAGGAAGCTTAATTTCATGGAGCTAATTTTCATGCAGGATATGCTTAGAGATTCAGAACTTGATCGTGTTTCCAATGCACAACTGTTTTGGGAGAGAAATAGTTTCTTAAATCCTTTGAGTTCATTTTCCATGAATTAACCAAGTATTGAAAACTTGGGTGAAGAGTGTTGTGTTAATTGGAAACATTGCTATCACAATCTCCAAGTATGGTTTTTAAGTAAGCCTGGGAAATTGCAGTTTGAAAATGCCATTAGCATCAATCAAAATGAAACACGAGCGTGACACCCAGGAAATGCCCTGGGAGGGCAGAGGGGAGAGAAAGAGGGAAAAAAAAAAAAAAAAAGGCAAACTTTTCTGCCTAGAAGCTCTCTGCAGCTTCGGGCATGCCACAGAGGAGGCTTTCTTGCCTCTCCACCTGCAGGAGCCTCACCTGAGAAGACAGAGAGCAGCTGCATCAGCTCCCGATATGAAAAAGTGAAAACAAACAAGCCCTGGGAAAATAGACATCATATAAATGTTTAATGTGGCTGCATTAACTACATAAAGGCATGCTCATGCTTTGTAGACAAAATAGTTAAAGTCTAATGCATGGCAGTGATCAGCAAATTATTAAATTGTGCAAGTGCTGATGCTCCCGTTTCCAATTTCCTAATGTTCCTGATGCCATTACAGGTAAATGGTGCCGGCCCCATGTGCACAGAGGGATCTTCACTTGCTTTCTTTTTTTTTTTTTTTGGTTTCCAAAGCTAATGGTTTTTCCCATTAGCCTTATAAAAGTAATGCATGTTCATGTTTTAAAAACTTCACAAAAGCTAGCTTGAAAAATATAATCCATAATCCCCCCTGCTCCCCAGTACTCACTTCTAATTCCAGATGTATTTCTTTTCTGTCTTTTTTTCTTTTTTAGGCACAGTTTTGCTCTGTCGCCCAGGCTAGAGTGCAGTGGCATGATCTTGGCTCACTGCAATCTCTGCCGCCAGGGTTCAAGCAATTCTCCTGCCTCAGCCTCCCAAGTAGCTGGAATTATAGGCACCCACCACCACGCCTGGCTAATTTTTGTATTTTTAGTAGAGACAGGGTTTCACCTTGTTGGCCAGGCTGATCTTGAACTCCTGACCTCAGGTGATTCACCCACCTCGGCCTCCCAAGGTGCTAGGATTATAGGCGTGAGACACACTGCACCTGGCCCTTTTCTGTCTTTTTAAAAAATGTCATTTTGTATAGAGCATACACTACTGTGTTCTGAGGTTTTTTTTTTTTTTTTTTTTACATTACCAAGAATTCCTTTTTAACATAATTTTAAATAGCAGCAGCATACTGGAAATAAATTAAAGGTATGATTAGCAGAAAAATGTATAACAAATGATCCTAAATATTAGCTAGAAGTGAGCCACAAATGCACCAGCTCTCTGCTAGCTGAAGCCAAGACATCCACACCACTAGTTTACAGGATTCATAATGTTTGTAAAATAAAACACAATATGCACTTCAGGGCCATGTTTTTCAGATATTGACACCCAAGGGGGAATTTTCTCCATGAACCCTTCTTGGGAGGATCCATTTATTCTACAAATAAGCCTGCATATGAGAGATAAGAAGGACACTGATGGGATTCAAGGCACACTACCTCAAAGTACAGCATGTTAGCACATTGAGTATTTTAAGCCAAAGAACTATAGGCCTGGTGAGATGGCTCACGCCTATAATCCCAGCACTTTGGGAGGCAGAGGTGGGAGGGTCCCTTGAGGCCAGGAATTTGAGACCAGACTGGGCAACATAGCAAAACCTCGTCTCAACCAAAAGTTAAAAAAAAAAATGACCCGGGTATAGTGGCATGCACCTGTGGTCCCAGCTGCTTGGGAGGCTGAGGCAGGAGGATCACTTGAGCCCAGGAGTTCGAGGCTGCAGTGAGCCATGATTGCACCACTGCACTCCAGCCTGGGCAACAGAGTGAAACCCTGTCTCTTAAAAAAAAAATATATTGAGGTGTGGCAAGTGCAAGAAGAGCGCTCTGACCTTCCCCTGCACTCTGACCTTCCCCTGCACTCTGACCTTCCCCTGAAGCAGGCCACAAGACCCTCATGTGAGAGGTGCCCCTCTTCTGAAGACACAGGGGCACGGAGAGGAATTGAACACACAGGACTTGCTAAATTTCCCTCAGTTTACTCATCCCCTTTAACCTACCACATCCTTCCATGGCTTTCTCATCTTTTATCAAACAGCATAAAAACACACAGGTTTAACTGTTTCTTCTGGTCTTCATGTCATTTGAGGGCTCTGTGTCATGTAAAACTTATTAAATAAATTTGTTGGCTTTTTTTTTGAGACAGAGTCTCACTGTGACACCTAGCCTGGAATGCAGTGGCACGATCTTGGCTCACTGCAAACTCCACCTCCTGGGTTCAAGCTTTCCAAGTAGCTGAGACTACAGGCACAAGTCACCATGCCCAGCTCATTTTTGTATTTTTAGTAGATACGGGGTTTCACCATGTTGGCCAGGCTGGTCTCAAACTCCTGACCTCAGGTGATCCGCCTGCCTTGGCCTCCCAAAGTGCAGGGATTACAGGCATGAGCCACCACGCCCGGCTGACTTTGCTCTTATTAATCTGCATTTGGTTACAGGGGACCCAGCCAATGAACCTAAGGTGGGTAGAAGGGGAAGATGTGTTTTCTTCTTACAACACGTTCATCCAACTTTCATTCTCATAGCACACCCATTGTCAGCTGCAGGTAGCAGGTCATAAGCTCTTAAAGGGGTGGCCTTTTCTACAGATTCCAGAAGATACAAGAAAATCAGCATCATTTTTCTTAGGTTTTTTGTAAATACGTAGTATCATTCTCTACCCCTACTATTGTGATTCTAGCTTTAATGCCTAAAAAAACCCAAAAAATCAAATAATCACAAGCTCATATTATGTACAAATTTGAAAATATAAATGTGTTCATAATAGTATTGTTTATCATGGCAGAAATATAAAGTAAAAATCACCTAAGTGTTCAGCAGTAAGAGAGTTGGCTAAGTAAATTATGGAACATGCGTACAATCCTTTTGGTATGTGAAAAATTATTCAGCCACAAAAAGCAACTATGATGAAGAAAATCTATTGATGTTAATTTTAAAAAAAGAAAAAGCTGGATACCAAAGTTTACGTAACAGCGATTCTTAGATTTTACATGAAAAGGGATTGGAGCAAAATTAAAAAATAATGATAGCCAAGATGACGAGGGAGTGGGCGCCTTTCTTCCTCTGTTTTCTTAAATTTGGGGTTGTCTAAGTTGCTTTCCTTGTTGCAAGTAATCCTATTTGTTGTTGTTGGTTGGTTGGTTTATTCTCTCTGGTTACTTGTTGGTTGTCAAGTCAATGAATGAAACTTCCAGTTCCCTTAAAAGCACTGCAGCCTTCTCATGCATCCACTTCAAGCAGGCTACAAACCTGACTCAGATGTGAGGAGCTGATTGTGCCAGTTGCAAAGCACTGTTTGTTCCTGAGCAAATGATTTAGGACAGTTATTATTACTCAGAAAGTTTATTTGCACAGACCTCACTGTTGCAGCTCATAAAAACGGGCTCTTGATAATACTACATGGAAAAAGAACAAGCACAAACAGGGCAGAATTGGAAATGAGCTCTGGCCCCTGCTGGCCCAGCAAGGAGGAGGGAGGGTGGGGCCTCCCAGCCACAGGTCCCTTCATGCAGTGACTCAGAGGTGCCCTAACTAACAAAGATCTTTCCTGCCTCTTCTACTGGCTGAAAAGCATGTTGGCACCTTGCAGTGGGGCAACAGAGAATTAGAAGAAGCTGGGAAGGGTGAGGATCTTAGAAGGAGACACTAATTTGAACATAGGTCCTGGAAAGTAGAAAGTTAACCATCTAATTTAATGGATCCAAAAATGGTGCTAAGCTTGAACTGGATTTGAGGTTGTGTTTTTGTACCAGCATGTCATTCTGGTCTTGGAGGTACATCCAGAGGTGATGTTTTTGGGCTGGAAGGCTGATGCTACTAAGTGGTCCTTTGCAAGGTGGAATAGAAATCCAGCTAGAGGTAAGAAACACAGGCCCAGTTCTGGAATCAGAGGTCCAGTCAGACAGGCCAGGATCTGGGTAGGGTGTTGAAAGGCAGTGCCAGGGGTGAGAAACACAGGCCCAGCTCTGAAATCAGAGGTCCAATCAGATGGGCCAGGATCTGGGTGGGGTGTTGAGAGGAAGTGCCAGAGGTAAGAACCACAGTCCCAGCTCTGGAATCAGAGATCCAATCAGACGGGCCAGGATCTGGGTAGGGTGTTGAGAGGAAGTGCGGTGTAATAGGCAGAGGGAAAGCATTGGTGCCTCAATTTCCAGCCCCTCAAGGCTGGTCACAGAATGCATTATTGTTCTCAGCTACTGGCCCCCTCCCCCTGTAAGGTGCCTGTGCAGTACACCATGAGCACAGCCACAGTACCTTTTGTGGGTGGAGTCAATGAACCATCCTGCTGAGAATAGGCTTGGGGCTTGGGAAAGTGACTTGCTTTGGCCACTGAAATGTGAACAGAAGTCATACAGGGAGCCAGTTCCCAGCTGAACTATTAAGGGCTATTGTCAGATTTTGGGGTTTGTTTTGGTTTTGCTTTCTTGCTTTCTCCTTTGACATGAGGACATCACTCCCCGCAAATCAGCTGCCCCAGTGGAATCTGCTTGTGGGAAATACACGGAGCAGAGCCACAGCCAACTTTCTGCCAACCTGTAATGCATGCAAGAAATAAACTTCTGTGGTTATAAGGCAGTGATTTAGGGGGCTGTCCTGTTTCCAGAGACTTACCTTGAAAATGCTGTCCCTGGCCAGGTGCAGTGGCTCATGCCTGTAATCCCAGCCCTTTGGGAGGCTGAGGGGGGAAGATGGCTTGAGTCCAAGAGTTTGAGACCAGCCTGGGCAATATGACAAAACACCATATCTACAAAAAGTACAATAATTAGCCATGCACGGTGGTGTGTGCCTGCAGTCCCAGCTACTCAGAAGGCTGAGGTGGGAGGATCACTTAAGCCTGGGAGGTTTAGGCTGCATTAAGCCATGATCATGCCACTGCACTCCAGCCTGGGCAACAGAGTGAGACCCTGTCTCAAAAATAAAAAATAAAAAAAAAATGCTGTCCCCTCTGATGAAGCACTTCACGGGGCTATTTCATGTGGCTCTTTTGAGAAATGAACAGGGAATGCATTCAGCCCCCCCAAAAAAAATGAATGAGAACTTAAGGGCTGCTCCGTCTCTTGGGTACCACATTTCTGGTGATTAAATGGGAGGGTCAGTGGTGAGAGTTTCAACAACTTCTGTTTTGTTTTTCTCTAAATTGTCATTTCTTTTCCTCCTTGAAAAATATTGATCTAGAAATGAAACTGTTAACACACATGCATTTTTTGATGTTTTGGAGAAACCCAATGTTCCGGAGGGAAAAGGCACTCATTGTGGTTGAAATTACCCTCTTTTTGCTAGCCTGAGCATGACCTCTCTCAAATGAGAAATTGCACAATGCTTCCAGGCCTTCCAAGCTCAGATTTACTTTTCACAAATAGCTGAGCTAGAAAAACCTGCTTCCATCTAGTACAGCTGCTTCTGCAAGGGGACCCTGCAGCTCTGTTTGCTTATGTAGGGAAAATGTTGCCCCACAAAGCTCACACATTTCTCCCCCCACAGTTTTAGGTGTAATTGTCTCCTCTCTCTCTCTAGCTCCTTATATTATGTTAGTTTAAGCCTTCGTTACCTCTTGCCTGGAATCCTGAAATTGTTTTAGGGCTGATCTCTCCCCAGCCCTGTTTCTTCTACACACTCCTGCAAGGTTTGTGTTCCTAAAGCCCAGCCCTACTAATCTTCCTTGGGCAGAAATCTCTATGCACCCTATCATTATTAACATGGCCTCTTTCTCTGGGTCTCAGCTGTTCTCTTCTATACTTCCTGCCTGTTCAGAAACTCTACCGTGTATTTGGAGTCAGGCATTTTCCTGCGTTACAGTCTTTACTAAATCTTTCCTAATCTGTAATCAAAAGTAATTTCTCTCACCTCTGAAAGTAACCTTAGCACTTAAACTTCATTCTAGTAAACTCTAAAATAATTCATAATCATGGTGGAAATGTTGGAAATTAAATTATGGAGAAAGCAGTAAGACAGAAACATAACGACACCTGAGGAGATAATCAATGTCAACATTTAGTTACTTTCCCCCCTCTGTGATAAAGACTAAAAGGCATTGGCAGGAGAGAGAAGTAAAAGTTATCAGGGAGTTGGTGGTGCACATTGGGATAGTGGCACATTAAAAGGCAATAGGAAAATCAAACATTTAAAGTGATTGAAATTGAAAGATGTCCATATTATTTGGTCCAAAATTTCTGCTCCTCAGAATTTATCCTATGGAATTAATAGCCTAAATATCTAAAGGTATTGGTTTGAGAAAGCTCATTACTTTTAATAGCAAAAAAAAAAAAATTGGAAACAACCCACAGTTAGATCGGTTGGGAATTAATTAGCTCAATTATGAAATATCCATTCAGTGAAATACTATGTCATCATTAAAAGAAGGTAAATTGCAGATGAGAATATGTAGCATGATCTAATTTGTTGTGCTGTTTTTTCCAAATGTGCATATTATTTTTATTTATCTGAAGTCAGTTCTAAAGTTCCTTGCTTAGATTATTTTGACAAAATATTTCATATGCATAGAAATGGTTTTAGCATGACATATATTGATTATTAAAGGTGGTTAACTCAGAGGAATAAAATTAGGAGACATTCTTTTTCTGATGCATACATTTCTATATTTTATAATAATAAGTAAAATATGGTTGACTCTTTGTATCTGTAGCTTCTGCATCTGTGGATTTAACCAACAGCAGGTCAAATATTTAAAAAGTAACAATAAATAGTTGCATCCATTCTGAAAATGTACAGAATTTATCTTGTCATTATTTCCTAAACAATACAGCAAACCACTATTTACAAAGCATTACCATTGTATTAGGTGTTATAAGTAATCTAGAGATGATTTAGAGTGTACAGGAGAATGTGTGCAAGTTATTTGCAAATACGACATCATTTAATATCAGGGACTTGAGTATCTGTGGATTTTGGTATCTGGACGGGGAGGAGGAGGGTCCTGAAACAAATCCCCCATGGATACAGGGGCAAATGTACCATAGTCCCGTGCTAAGACAACAATAACAAAAATTTATGACGAATTGTTTTGGTGGATAATTTATATGTTCTCTAAAGGACTTATTTAACAACATAAAGGCCTCTTAGAAAACAAAACTGTATATTTAAAGATGCACATAGAAATGGGGTTAATGTAATAAATTAAAAGCAATGAAATACAAAGTAACACTGTATAAATGCTTGTCTTGTTCAGTTTTAGTAATGTTACAGGAAAGGGGGATCCCGATCCAGACCACAAGGGAGGGTTCTTGGATCTCACGCAAGAAAGAATTTGAGGTGAATCCATACATTGAAAGAAAGTTTATTAGGAAAGTAAAGGAATAAAATAATGACTACTCCACAGGCAGAGTAGCAGCATGAGGGGCTGGTTGGCCATTTTTATGGTTATTTGTTGATTATATGCTAAATAAGGAGTGGATTATTTATGAGTTTTCCGGGAAAGAGGTGGGCAATTCCCGGAACTGAGGATTCCTCCCCTTTTTAGACCTTATAGGGTAACTTCCTGAAGTTGCCATGACGTTTCTAAACTGTCATGGCGCCCGTGGGAGTGTCTCTTAGCATGCTAATGCATTACAATTCGTGTATAATGAGCAATGAGGACGACCAGAGGTCATCTCGGTTTTGGCAGGTTTTGGCCAGCTTCTTTAATGCAACCTGTTTTATCAGCAGGGTATTTAGGACCTGCATCTTGTGCTGACCTCCTATCTCACCCTGTGACTTAGAATGCCTAATCTCCTGTAATGCAGCCCAGCTGGTCTCAGCCTTATTTTACCCAGCCCCTACTCAAGATGGAGTTGCTGATTCCAACGCCTCTGACTGTAATGCTTTAAGTTTTGTTGTTGTTGTTGTTTTGTTGTTTGTTTTTGAGACAGAGTCTCATTTTGTCACCCAGGCTGGAGTGCCGTGGCCCAATCTCAGCTCACTGCAAACTCCGCCTCCCAGGTTCAAGTGATTCTCCTGCCTCAGCCTTGCGAGTAGCTGGGATTACAGGCGCCTGCCATCACACTCGGCTAATTTTTGTATTATTTTAGTAGAGACGGGGGTTTCACCATGTTGGCCAGGTTGGTCTCGAACTCATGACCTCAGGTGATCCACCCACCTTGGCCTCCCAAAGTGCTGGGATTACAGGCATGAGCCCCCATGCTTGGCCACTTTAAGTTTTTACTTCCCTTTACAAGAGGGACTCTGATTGCCTCCAGGTCCAAGGAGGCAGCAGCCTCCAGTGGGAAAAAAATCAATGGCTCTCAGCATGCTTTCCTCCCTGGGGCCTGTTCCCTGATGGCCGTAGAGGTGCCCGTCATCTGCAAACTTAGTGTGCTATTCTACTACTCTTTGGACACAGTCCTTGGAGACACAGGTTCTATTTGCCTGAAGCAGTCAGGGTCTCTTCTAGTCTAGATGTTTATCACAGTTCGACAAGAATTTGCATCAAAATATAACAAAGGTAAATAAACAGGGATTGCTCCTGGGTTCACCCCAAGTGACCAAGTGAGAGGAACGTGGACCTTCTCAAAAGCCAGGTCTTATCGCGAATGTCAGAGCACTCTCAGTGTGGTCGTGATCTGCAGTTGCTCAAGCATCAACTTTTCAATAATAGAGACTTCAAAGAACAGAACAGTTGTCAGCCCGTGGAATCCAGCCTTCCTCATCCAAGATGCCCTGCTAATACCTCTTCTGCTTTGCCCTGGGTTGCTGGTTCCTGCTCAGCCAGGATGGACTTCTCAGCTGTATCTTCTCGGGGCTTGGGACTTGAGGAATTATGGGGAGCTGTATCTTTCTTCCGAAAGGAAAAATCACCCTCAGGTGTTTTTTGTTGTTGTTGTTGTTTTAAGCAGAGTTTAAAAATAGTTCTTTGTGTTGCAGAAAACCTCTGTCACTTATGTTGTTTGTCCACAAAACAATTTCACACCGAGGATCTCATAGTTTAAGCCTGTCCAAGTTTCCTGAAGTGCTTCCTGATAAGTCATTTTTCACATGCAACTCTGTGAGAGCTCAAATTCATTCTTTTCAATGGTGATCTTTTCTGAGTTGCTGCCCCACCTCTGGGGTTGAACATTCACTGCAGAGAGCTTTTCAGACGCTGGATTGTGGAGCTCATTAGTGCTGCTTCTAATGTTTGCTAAAAACCTCAGCAAAAGGGAAGACGGGCAGTAAATATTTCTAAAGCTTTTCTGGCTACAAAATTAATGGCAATTTCTCAAGGGACCTGCTGAGATTCCCTTTCAAGTGTCTTAGTGACTCAGCATTCACAAATGTTAAGCAGGGCTCAGACCCAGCCCTTTGAAGTCTCCCATCCCACAGGTTGGAATGGCAGTGTGATTTAGGATGGTCAGCAGGGGGGAGAGCAGTAAATGGACCTTGTCACCAAACAAATAAACGAAACCAGCCGGGCCAGATCAGGGCAGCTTGGTGCCTTTTACACCTGGTGGATCCAAAGGAAGGGAGTCCCAGGGCAGAATGGATGGATGCAGAATGGCCGTGATGTGCTGGGATGAGAAGACAATTCTTTACAGAAGGATCAAAGCCATCATTTTTGTTTAAAGCTTCTCTCAAGGAAAACAATTTTTTTTTTTTTGAGTTTAGGAAGAGAGTAGGAAAAGAAACTCTGGCTACGTCAATATTCAGTCCTTTCTTTCTTTTTTCTTTTTTTGAGAAAGAGTCTTGCTCTGTCGCCCAGGCTGGAGTGCAATGGTGTGATTTCAGCTCACTGCAACCTCCGCCTCCAGGGTTCAAGCGATTCTCCTGCCTCAGCCTCCCAAGTAGCTGGGATTACAGGCACCTGCCACCACACCCGGCTAATTTTTGTATTTTTAGTAGAGAGGGGGTTTCACTATGCTGGCCAGGCTGGTCTCGAACAACTGACCTAAGGTGATCCACCCACTTTGGCCTCCCAAAGTGCTGGGATTACAGGCGTGAGCCACCGTGCCCAGCCTATATTCAGTTATTTCTACTTGCATTTCCTCACATAAGCACAGACAATGGGTCTGGTGATGAAAAGAGTCCAACTTTGTAGAATATTTGAAGAGATTCATTCTGAGTCAAATATGAGCGACAATGGCCCATGACACAGCCCTCAGGAGACCCTGAGGATATGTGCCCCAGGTGTTCGGGGAGCAGCTTGGTTTTATACATTTTAGAGAGACGTGACCTGTCAATCAAATACATTTAAGATATATTAATACATTGGTTTGGTCCAGAAAGCCAGGACAACTCCAAGGGGTTGGGGGAGAGAGAGCTTCCAGGTCATAGGTAGATTATTTATTTATTTATTTATTTATATATTTTTATTTTTATTTTTATTTTTTGAGACCAAGTCTTGCTCTTGTCCCCCAGGCTGGAGTGTTATGGTGTAATCTCGGCTCACTGCAACCTCCGCCTCCCAGATTCAAGCGATTCTCCTGCCTCAGCCTCCTGATTAGCTGGGACTACAGGCACATACCACTACGCCCGGCTAATTTTTTTGTATTTTTTTAGTAGAGACGGGGTTTCACCATGTTGGGCAGGCTGGTCTCGAACCCCTGACCAGCCTGGGATTACAGGCGTGAGCCACCACACCGTAGATGTTTCTTATCAGAATTCAAGTCTGTGTTGATGTTAATGCCAGAGAAGTATAGTGAGGCATGCCTGATCCCCACTTCTGTCAGGGCCCAGACCAGTCTTTCAGGTTAAATGTAGAGCACGCTGGCCTAGAGGAGGAAGTCCATTCAGATGGTTGGGGGCCCTCACATTTTCTTTTTGGTTTACAGGTCCTTAGTCAAAAGCTCTTTGTGACCTCCCCTTTGATGTTCTCACCACACGCAGACTACATGCATCTGCATGGGATGCTGAGCTTTCTCAAGCTCTGCCCATTGGAGTCATGACAAATTGCTCAAAGCTACCATCTTCCCAGAGGCTTTCTAGAATCTTGATGAAAACTGACCTATTTCTGATACTAGAGTCATTTCCCGGACCTCGGATATGTAAACTGTGAAGTCAGTAGCCAAGAGAGAGGCTGAAATATTGATTCAGAGAGAACAAGTCATTGACATGTTGGCTTTAGTGCCTTGTATGGGCTACCTCTATTGTAGCATGTCCCAGCGGGACACCTGGGAGATGCTACACACACCCACATGGACACACCTACTCCTACACTCACACGCAGACACACATACACAAGCCCACTTCCCCCACACATACCCCACACCTCATGTACACATGCAGAAACACAAGCACTCACACCTCCCATACTCCCCCACCACCCATCTCTCACACATGAGGTTTCTCTGCTCAAAGAAGTTTGGAAAATCCTGCAAACAAAATATAATTTCATTTTGCAGTTGACAGTTTATGGTAACAACTCTTAGTAGTCCCACCATAAAGAAAGCTGTGTAGGTTTGCATCAGCATGATCCAAGGGCAATGTGAGGCATAGCCCCTTTTCCTACAGCCTCTGTGGTTTTAGGAAAATCCATTTAGAAACTGGTATAACAGATAGTGAAATACAACTCCCTTCCTTCTTGGACTTGCCTTTTGTTTTCTGACTTAAAAAAATTGTATCATCTTTCCCTGAACAGACCAATAGTGAGATCTGCAATTGAATCAGTAATAAATTGCCTACCAACCAAAAAAAGCCCAAGACCAGATGGATTCACAGCTGAATTCTACCAGAGGTACAAAGAAGAGCTGGCACCATGCCTGCTTAAACTATTCCAAAGAATTGAGGAGGGGGGACTCCTCTCCAACTCATTCCATGAGGCCAGCATCATCCTGATACCAAAACCTGGCAGAGATACAACAAAAAAAGAAAACTTCAGGCCAATATCCTTGATGAACATTGATGAAAAAATCCTCAACAAAATACTTGCAAACTGAACCAAGCAGCACATCAAAAAGCTAATCCACTGTGATCAAGTAGGCTTTATCCCTGGGATGCAAGCCTGGTTCAACATACACAAATCCATAAATGTGACTCATCACACAAACAGAACTGAAGACAAAAACCACATGATCATCTCAATAGATGCAGAAAAGACTTTTTATAAAATTCACCATCTCTTCTTGTTAAGAACTCTCAATAAACTAAGTTTTGAAGGAACATACCTCAAAATAATGAGCCATTTATGAAAAACCCACAGCCAACATTGTACTGAATGGGCAAAAGCTGGAAGCATTCTCCTTGAAAACCAGCACAAGACAAGGATGCCTGCTCTTACTACTCCTACTCAGCATAGTATTGGAAGTCTTGTTCAGAGCAATCAGGCAAGAAAAAGAAATAAAGGACATCCAAATAGGAAGAGAGGAACCCCCTGTTTGCAGATGACATAATTCTATACAGAAAACCCCATAGTGTGGGTCCAAAACTCCTTCAGCTGATAAACAACTTCAGCAAAGTCTCAGGATACAAAATCAATGTACAAAAATCATGAGCATTCCTATATACCCACAACAGTCAAGCCAAGAGCCAAATCAGAAATGCAATCCCATTCACAATTGCTACAAAAAGAAAAAAAAATTACCTAGGAATACAGCTAACCAGGGAGGTGAAAGACCTCTACAATGGAATTACAAAACACTGCTCAAATAAATCAAGAAATGGTACAAACAAACAGAAAAACATTCCATGCTCATGGATAAGAAGAACCAGTATCACTAAAATGGCCACACTGCCCAAAGCAATTACAGATTCAATGCTATTCCTATCAAACTACCAATGACATTCTTCACAGAACTAGGAAAAACTATTTAAAAATTCATATGGAACCAAAAAAGAGCTGGAATAGCCCAGGCAATGCTAAGCAAAAAACAAACAAAAAACAAAGCTGGAGGCATCACATTATCTGACTTCAAACTATACCACAGGGCTACAGTAACCAAAACAGCATGGTAGTGGTACAAAAACAGACACATAGACCAATGGAATGGAATAATGAGCCCAGAAATAAAGCCACACAGCTACAACCATCTGATCTTTGGCAAAGCTGACAAAACAAGCACCTGAATAGGGAAAGGACTCCGTATTCAATAATGGTGCTGGGAGAACAGGCTAGCCATATATGGAAGATTGAAACTGGACCCCTCCCTTACAACATATACAAAAATCACCTCAAGATGGATTAAAGACTTAAATGTAAAATGCAAAACTATAAAAACCCTGGACGCCAATCTAGGCAGTACTATTCTGGACATGGGAGCTGGCAAAGATTTCATGATGAAGACTTAGAAAGCAATCACAACAAAAGCAAAAATTGACAAATGGGACCTAATTAAAGAATTTCTGCACAGCAAAAGAAACTATCAGCAGAGTAAACAGACAACCTACAGAATGGGAGAAAATACTTACAAACTGTATACCTGAAAAAGGTCTAATATCCAGCATCTGTAAGAAAAAAACAAATTTACAAGAAAAAAAAAACCCTTCAAAAGTGGGCAAAAGACATGAACAGACATTTTCAAAAGAAGACATACATATCTGCAGCCAACAAGCATATGAAAAAAAGCTCCATATCACATATCATTAGGGAAATGCAAATCAGAACCATAATGAGATATCATCTCACACCAGTCAGAATGGCTATTACTAAAAAGTCAAAAAATAACAGATACTGGTGACGTTGCAGAGAAAAGGAAACCCTTATATGCTGTTGGTGGGAGTGTAAATTAGTTCAGCCATTGTGGAGAGCAGTGTGGCAATTCCTCAAAGAGTGAAAAAAAGAGCTACCATTTAACCCAGCAATCCCATTACTGGGCATATACCCAAAGGAATATAAATCATTCTACCATAAAGACACATGTACATGTATGTTCATTGCAGCACTATTCACAATAGCAAAGACATGGAATCAACCTAAATGCCCATCAATGGCAGATTCGATAAAGAAAATATGGTACATATACACACCATGGAATGCTATGCAGTCATAAAAAAGAAAGAGATCATGTCCTTTGCAGGAGCATGGATGGAGCTGGAGGCCATTATCCTTAACAAACTAACCCAAGAACAGAAAACCAAATACTTCATGTTCTTACTTAAGTGGGAGCTAAATGATGAAAACACATGGACACAAAGAGGGGAAAAACAGACACTAGGGCCTACTTGAGGGTGGGAGGTTGGAGGAAGGAGAGGATCAGAAAAAATATCTATCGGGTACTAGGCCTAGTACCTGGGTGATGAAATAATCTGTACAACGAACCCCTGTGATGCAAGTTTACTTACATAACAAACCTGTGCATGTACTCCTGAACCTAAAATAAAAGTTAGAAAAAAAAGTGGCACACCTGTAGTCTCAGCTACTCAGGAGGCTGAGGCAAGAGGATTACTTGAGCCTGGAAGTTAGAGGTCGCAGTGAGCCAAGATTGCACTGCTCCACTGCAGCCTTGGTGACAGACTGACTCTGTTGGGAAAGGAAGGGAAGAAGAGAAGGGGAGGGGAGGGGAGGGGAGGGGAGGGGAGGGAGGGAGGGAGGGGAGGGGAGGGGATGGGATGGAAGGGGAGGAAACGGAAGGGAAAGGAAGGGAAGGGAAGGGAAGGGAAGGGAAGGGAAGGGAAGGAAAGGGAAGGGAGATATCATCCTGTGGCATCAAAAAGCCTTTGGGCTCTTAACTTCCAGTATGGCCTGTTCCTCTGGGTATTGTTTAGACAAACCCCCAGGGAGCTGGCCTCTCTCAGGTCCCTTTCCTGAGGCTCTGCTTGACCTGGGTCTGATCCCAAGTCTGGCCGGTTGTGCCAGTGTGTGGGGGGCATCTTCTCTCTGTCGTGACACAGGGGAGCCCCTGCAAATTAGATAGAAAGAAACACCATTGCTCAGGCTGGAGGTGGCCTAGGCTGTGTGTCAACCTCATTTCTTTGGTAAAGTGCCCCCACGAAGGCTCCGTTTGCCGCTGAAGGGAGACCATGGTGAGAAATTCTGCTCATGCTGCTCTTCTTCCTGCTCTCTCATTCTAAGTCCACCCTTCACCTAGGTTAACTGGATGCATGAGGACCACACCAGGATGGCCAGAAATATGAGGCTGAGGGCCACCGGCATCACGAACAACAATTGGAAGCCGAGATCCCCTCTCCTTCCACCTGTTCCTGCAGTGGTGGAAAGAGGAGCTCACTCACGCCTACTTCAGAGGGCAGACGGCAGGGTCTAGAGGACAATTGTGCAGTAGGCGGTGCCACTTGCATTTGAAAGTCATTGTTATTGGGGGTTCTCTTTGAAATGAGAAGAAAAAAATTGAAAATGGGGATGGATTTTATTTAAAAAAAAAAAATCCTCAGAAAGGCAGCCCTCCCAGGGCACCTGCTTTGTGCACTGGAAGCCAGTTCCTGGGCTCCTTTCTGGAGTCCTCACCCTCAGGTGGGAGCCAGTTTTCTTATGGACAAAAAGGATGCTGTGTCTCCACAGCCCTTCTGGAGACCAGAACATCCAGCCTCACTGAGCACTGAGAACAGTCTCCACGTTGAATTGCTTGCATGTGTCAGCTTTGTAGAGAACCACCAACTGTGATTTAATCTCACCTTTCCATGACCACGGAATATCTCAGCTATGAAAATAAGTACTGGCTAAGTTATAGTAAATGGTAGAGTGCAGAGATTAAGCAAATGAAACCTATACTCAAACAGGCTTGGTTTTTATTTCTGACACAGAAGCTTATAAATCTATGACCTTAAAACACTGTAAGCCTCAATCTTCTCAACTATAAAATGGGCATCCTTTTATACTAGTATCTCCTCTGGTTGTTGAAAGGATTAAGTAGAATAAATCTTGTAAACTCTTTTACATAGTGCCTGGCCCATAATAAGTATTTAATAAATATGAACAATTATATAGATGGTACATATAGATTATATGTATGGCATATTGTAAGTGCTCAACAAATACTTGTTATTCGTATGCATTTCCAAGTCTATTTACGCTCATGCTTTTTAAGAAAGCTGTCATGAACCAAGTTCGTCAATAAGTTTATGCATAAAGAAGTTTGTTTTTCTGGAGGTCCTTTTGTAAGTATAATTTATGAATGAATGAAATGATCCTTCCTACATTTTCACTTAGGAAGCAGGGATTTAATGTGATGCTGTTTGATTAATTCTGCTCTTTATGCCACCCCCCAAATAACTCAGGATTGCATTGCATGGCGACAGCCCTGTATCATAGCATCGTAGAATATTGGGAATTTGCCTGTCCCGTGAACTCAACCAGAGGAGCCAAGACTCTGGTTGTCAGACTTTCCGTTGGTGTCTTTGGTTGTCAGACCTTTACCAGAGGCCGGGGGCAGAGCCTGGTGCACTCTTTGTTTTGTGGTTGCTGTTTGGGGGCCTTGTTTGGAGGATGCAGTGGCCGTTATTAATGGGTAAGGGAGGGCTTGCTTGCCTCTCTGTCACAGTTTCTTTTAAGTACTTTTTTTGTTTTGTTTGTTCCTAGTACTTCAAAGCTGAAGGGTTTTTCTTGGGAGCAGAAGCAGAGGTGACCAGAGTCCTAAATCATCAAGACAGGATGGAGGTGGTGAGTAGACAGTGACTGCTCATGAAGAAGCAGTTGAAAAAAAAAAAAGGGAGGAAGGGAGGAAAGAAAAAAAGAACAGTTGGTCTTACATTAAGTGTCAGATGTTATCTGACACTTGCATTTAGAGACTTGGTAAAGAAAAAGATGGTTTGTACCTCTGGTAACAAACCATCTCATACTTCCATGGGCAAAAAAAATCACCTGGGGGCTTGTTTAGAAGGCGATTCCCAGGACACACCCCTGCACATTCAGGAAATCTGTAGAAATCTGCATTTAACCTGAGCACCCTGGAAAGCAGCAGCCAGGGGCACTGAACCAGATTACCTGATACAGTTAGAGACGTTCAGAATCCTGAGGGACCGCTGTCACCAGCCACAGGCAGCTGCTAACTCTATGTGGGCTGAGTACTTTGCTCTCGACCCCTAACCCACTGCAGCTTTCTGGGAAACCTTGCCCTGGTGAATAAGTGATGCAACCAGGGAAGATAAAGAGATGCTCAACCCTTTCATCCTTGCTGGAAAAGTTCTTCCAAGCACTTTGACAGCCCAGCTAGCTGAGGTCAAGCATTCAGCCTCGGGCTTGGGAAGGAGAGGATGGAATTGGTCCACACAGGTCCATGACTGGGATGTCAGCCTCAGAGTCACTGTGCACTAATAACCCCCATGAGCCTGCAGCTCATCCAGGTGGAAATCCTCCTTGCCTCGCCAGAACAACCTCCACAGTAACAGCCGCCAGCCGGCCCCAGGCTGTCTCGAGTCAGCTGGGGTGCGCACAGCACAGCCAGGTGTCCGTGAGCATGAGGATTCAAAGCTCACTGGAAAGATTCATGGTTGATGAAAATAGCAAAAGCAGATACTGGCTGAGCTCACGCTAAGGAAAGAGACACACCTAAGTAGATATTATGGGGCCATATTTGCATGTAGATTGCACCATAAACTTCGTCACAATTATAAATAACTAAGGGATCAACAGGATGTTTTGATATCATTTTTAATTCACCACTCATAAGGGAAATGGTGGGACTTTTTTTTTTAAGGCCTCACCAAATGTTCAATTTATTTTTCTTTATATTTCTATGCTAACATATAATTTTATAATTAACTTCTTTCTTGTGTCCTTAACATAATTTTATGCAACAAACCAAATGATTATATGCACTCCCAACATTTTCACCAAATTTGATGATTTTGTTTGTGCAAGGATTTTATATTAGCCCAGAATTCTCAGGCTTAAGTACTAGAGAATTTATTTGTTTTTTGTTGTTGTTGTTGTTTTTGAGACGGAGTTTCGCTCTTGTTGCCCGGGCTGGAGTGCAATGGCAGGATCTTGGGTCACTGCAAACTCCGCCTCCCAGGTTCAAGCAATTCTCCTGTTTCAGCCTCCTGAGTAGCTGGGATTACAGGCACCCGAATAGTGGGACTTTTCTTTGAGAAGTGGGTAAGGGCAGCATGTTTTTAAAGTGTTTTGGAGATCTGATATCACTGTAGGCAAGGGAAGATGTTATGTGATAATGTTTGGAAAACTCTGGGTTAGACAAAGTGAAACACACATCTTTTTTTGCAGGATTTCTCTTTATTGATTGCAAATCTGTGGGCTAGATCACTAGACCCCTTTGTCAAAGCTCATCTTTAAAAATTAGTGTGTCCCGAACAGATTCTGGGAAATGTTGCATTACATAACTCCAAAAGTCCCCTCTGGCTCTTACGGCCGACGGCCTCTGGAAGGGAGAAGGTGGGAAAGAACACAGATCCCACTGTCAGTGCAGTAGGATGGTAGATGGCTGTCCAAAACTCTGCCAGCAGCTGTTGCACATAAAAAAATACTAAAAGTTAAAAAAATTCATATATGCCACTGACAAAATAATTGCCTCTCCAGAGAACACATAATGAAGAAACGAGCTATTGTGTATCGTCCAGATTTGTATTTGTCATCTACAAATTACAAAAAAAAAAAAAATTGTATTACCATGGGGGAGAAAGCTTCCTTTTCAATAAATGGCAAATCTCATTGAAGGAAAAAATTAACATTGTGATCTTCCAAATTCTACTGCATTGAGGCTCAGGAAACCAGATGCGGTGATACAGGTGCCATCAAACCCCAGGGAGGAGAGTGGCCACTCCTCAGAACTCGGTAAACAAGACCCTTCCAGCCGCAACAGGAAGAGACTTGGGGGAGTCCAAGGAGGCCAGAGGAGAAGGCCTCGATGGGAGTAAACAGGAACACCTTGTGTTCTCCCATTTTCTTTTACTATTTTCGACTTTTTTCCTCTATGTAGGCAATGATTTGGAAAACTCAGAATCCTGGTCAATGAAAGATAAATAGGGATGATTACATGACAAATTTGGTAAATAAAATTAAGACAGCTTTACTGAAGGCAGAATTGCTGCAGGTTTAATTTGAACTTGGAGGAAAAAAGAAAAGTGTCAACCTCATTTTTCTAGGAGATGAGAGTATTAGTTTAGCTTGAAAATAGGCAAATAACTTCATTTGGCAGAGCCCATGTTCTTTTCTCTAACATTATAATGCCACCACATAGTGGGAATTCAAGAACTGACATGCCCTAAATATGCAATAATAATTTACTGTATGGCAGAAAGGCTACTTTCTCTAAAGGATACTTAATCTCAAAGCAATGATTAGTGTCATGCTCAAAGCTGAAATGCTCCAGGAAGATTCATTAAAGATAAGGGCATGAACTTCATCACTATGCCTCTTTAACATCATTCTAGAAATTGCAGCCAATGCAATAAGACATGTGACAGAAATAGTTTCAAAAGGAGAGAAATGCTAATTGTCAGATGATTATTTAACTGTCTACCTAGAAATCCCAAGATAATCAACTAAAATTAGAATTATAACGGAAAACAGAACTCAGTAGTTTATGAGATGCAACGAAATAAATGTGAACAAATTGTTAACCTTCTTACTAATGACAATACCCAGCAGGAGAAAGCCCTACTGTATGTATGCATGTGTGCACATATGTGCATATGTATGTGCAATCGTGTGTATTATGTATATATGAACAACTATATATCACATCTATCTGGGAATAAACTTAGCCCAAAATGTAAGAACTCATTTGAGGAACAAATGAACAATAAAATGATAAAAGGCACCTAAGTTAAATAACTGAAAAGACTTGGAGAAACTCGTAATATTCCTGAGTAGCAAAACGCATCAGGGTTGTAAATGTTATTTTTATGTCCAATTAACTACAGTTTCAATTTAAGTCCAATAACTTGCTATTATATTTTTTGTAGGGTCCAGCCCTATGGGGCTTAGCAGGTGTTCTCCCCGTGTGTGGAGACGAGAGATTGTTATAAATAAAGACACAAGACAAAGAGATAAAGAGAAAAGAGCTGGGCCTGGAGGACTACTACCATCAAGATGCGGAAGACTGGTAGTGGTCCCGAATGGATGGGCTCACTGATATTTATTGCATACAAGACAAGGGGACAGGGTAAGGAGGGTGAATCTTCTAAATGACTGACAAGGTGAAGCAAGTCACGTGATTACAGGACAGGAGGCCCTTCCCTTTTAGGTAGCCGAAGCAGAGAGAGAAGGCAGCATACATCAGCGTTCTCTTCTCTGCACTTATAAGAAAGACCAAAGACTTTAAGACTTTCACTATTTCTTCTACCACTATCTACTGTGAACTTCAAAGAGGGACCAGAAGTACGGGCGGAGCATGAAAGAGGACAAGGAGGGTGACCACTGAAGCACAGCACCACAGGGAGGGGTTTAGGCCTCCGGATGACTGCGGGCAGGCCTGGATAATATCCAGCCTTCCACAAGAAGCTGGTGGAGCAGAGTGTTCCCTGACTCCTCCAAGGAAAGGAGACTCCCTTTCGCGGTCTGCTAAGTAACGGGTGCCGTCCCAGACACTGGCGTTACCCCTTGACCAAGGAGCCCTCAAGTGGCCCTTATGTGGGCGTGACAGAGGGCTCACCTCTTGCCTTCTGGGTCACTTCTCACAATGTCCCTTCAGCACCTGACCCTATACCCGCCGGTTATTCCTAGGTTATGTTAGTAATGCAACAAAGAGTAATATTAAAAGCTAATGATTAATAATGTTTATAATAATGATTGATAATTGTCCATGATCATCTCTGCATCTAATTTGTATTATGACTATTCTTATTCTAACTATTTTATTTTCTTTATTATACTGAAACAGTTTGTGCTTTCAATCTCTTGCCTTGGCACCTAGGTACTCTTTCACCCACAATTTCTTTTTCTGTATTGAGGTAATCTGAAAAAAATGAGTGGAAGAGCTAACAATTTCTACTAAAGATAAGTAATAATGAAGCCCTTAAGAAATATTATAAACCTGTACTAACTAAAAAATAAATAAACATATCTAAATAATGGACACTGCTCCCTCATGGGCCAAAAGTATATAAGAAATTAACCTGAAAGCAGTGATATCATAAAATAGTGAGAAAGGAAAATTCATTTAATAAATAGTATTGAAAGCAAGATTTGCTACATAAAAAACCTCACTTGATGTAGTCTAAAATAAATTTTGATTAAAGTAACACGTAACTTCCACATAAGATTCTAAGACCAGGTAGTTCAACTTATGATTATTATTTTAAAATTTGAAAAGTCTGCAAAAAAAGTCTATTTAGAGTAGCTAAACTAGAGTACCTCTAATTTTAGAGTTTAAAAAATAATAATTAGGCTGGGCACGGTGGCTCACGCCTGTAATCCCAGCACTTTGGGAGGCCGAGGTGGGCAGATCACGAGGTCAGGAGTTTGAGACCAGTCTGGCCAACATGGTGAAACCCCGTCTCTACCAAAAATATAAAAATTAGCCAGGCGTGGTGGCGAGTGCCTGTAACCCCAGCTACTTGAGAGGCTGAGGCAGGAGAATTGCTTGAACCCAGGAGGTGGAGGTTGTAGTGAGCCAAGATCGTGCCACTGCACTCCAGCCTGGGTGACAGGGCAAGACTGTGTCTCAAAAATAAATAAATAAATAAAAATTAAAAACTGTAATATTGTCTTTATCTTCAGTTAAGAAAAACTTTCTAGGCACGAAAGCAATGCAAGAATTTACAAATATAGTAATTAATATTTTTAGAATCAAAAAAGTTAAATGTGTAATTTAAAAAAATGAGAATGCTGCAAATAAAAACTTTGAAACTAGGTTAGGTTGAAACTAATGTTACTTTTAGAATCAAATTCATGGCCTTAAATTCTTATATTATTAACTAAGAAAAAGTTAAAATAAAGACAGTTAAGCATTCAGGAAAATGTGTTAGGGAAAAATTCAAGAAAACAGTTGGGTGCTGTGGCTCATGCCTGTAATTTCAGCACTTTGGGAGACAGAGGCAGGTGGATTGCTTGAGTCCAGGAGTTCAAGACCAGCCTGGGCAACATGGCAAAACCCTGTCTCTACTAAAAATATAAAAAAAAATTAGCTGGGTGTTGTGGTGCACATCTGTAATCCCAAGAAGGATGTAATGCCCGAGAGGGTGAGGTGGGAGGATCACCTGAGCCTGGGAAATAAAGGCTGCAGTGAGCTATGATAGCACCACTGCACTCTGGCCTGGGCAACAGAGTGAGACCCTGTCTCAAAAAAAAAAAAAGAAAGAAAAGAAAACAAATATGGGAAAATAGTAAATAGTAGAAAGAAAATAATTAAGGCAAATGTACATATTAATAAATTTGGGAAAACTTTTTACAAGTGAATCTTTCTTTGAGAAACATTTAACAGAATAGACAGTGCTAGGCTATATCTGCATCATGAAGGCAGGAATCCTATCCTATTTTCCCCCGGGTATCCTCAACACCTAAAACATTACCAATATTTCTTTTTGAAGAAATGAGAATAGATATACAATGTGAAAATATTATAAAAAGATAAAACATAAGTATACAAAATTAAGAAGAAAAATGTGGGAATAATATGCAGAGAAGATAAAATTAAAATATTTCTTCAAATTTAAAAGCCTTTATGGGATGGAAAATAACATTTATCAAAATGAAGTTAACAAGAAAAAAAATCTATAAAGTAACATCTATGAGAAACTTGTTTAAATTATTTCCACATAAGAATCTAAGGCCTGGTAGTTCAATCTATGATTATTGTTTTAAAATCTGAAAAGTCTGCAATATCTGTGCAATATAAACTGTTCCAAAGTACACTTTTAAAGTGTGTGGGCTGGGTACAGTAGCTCACACCTGTAATCTCAACATTTTGGGAGGCTAAGGTGGGAGGATCACTTGAGCCCAGGAGTTTGAGGATGCAGTGAGCTATGATCACAACACTGCCCTGCAGCCCGGGCAACAGAGCAAGTCCCCATCTTAAAAAATAAAACATAAAGTATGTGTGGGGGCTGGAGAAAGGGTAGAAAAATCCATCCTGTAAGTGTGGTAAAGAATGTATTTATATTAACAATATTAGCTGTCTCATATCCAATGCTTAAAATGTTTTGACTACCATAAAATTAAAAGTTTTTTTTTAATGTGTCAAGAAATGTCATAAAGAATGATGAGTGAAGTAGCAACTCAGAAAAATACTGGCTATGCTGATAGAAAATTAGAAAAAAGAAGCAGGCCGGGAGTGTTGGCTCATGCCTGTAATCCCAGCACTTTGGGAGGCTGAGGCTGGTGGATCATGAGGTCAGGAGTTCGAGACCAGCCTGGCCAGCATGGTGAAACCCCGTCTCTACTAAAAATACAAAAAATTAGCTGGGTCTGGTGGCACACACCTGTAATCCCAGCTACTCAGGAGGCTGAGGCAAGAGAATTGCTTGAACCTAGAAGGCAGAGGTTGCAGTGAGCCGAGATCACGCCATCGTACTCCAGCTTGGGTGACAGAGCGAGACTTCATCTCAAAAAAAAAAAAAAAGAAAGAAAGAAAAGAAAAGAAAAAAGAAACAACAGTAAGGCAGCAGGTCACATTTATTGAGAGATGCAAATGCATTATAAATAGATGTTATTTTTAATGCTATCATTAGAGATTTAAGAAATACTAACTTAAACAAGACCAGATTTGGAAACATGAAAATAAAAGGTAATGCTCAACGTTAACCAGTGTGGTGGGAACTAGTACTCACATACAATGCTAGTTGGAGTCAAATTTGAACAACTTTTGTGAGGGTAATTTGACAAGATGTATCATGGGCCTTAAAAAATGTTCACATTCTCTCAACCCCAAAATTCCACTTTTGGGAATAACACTTTTTATCCAGGAATATCACCTCTTGGACTATGAAAGATACACTCAAGAATGCAACCAAAGAGGCCTGTCGTGCATTGTCACAATCATGGAACCAGGACTGACATTTTGTTGATATAAATGTTTCAAGGTATTTTCACTCACACTTTCTCACTTAATTCTCACAAAATCTCTTGGTGATAGGTTTAGTATCCCCCATTTCAAAATTTCCAAAGCAATAAATAAGAAGCTCAGGTGAGTCAAGGAACTTCCTCAAAATCCAAGAGCTAACTGGAACTGGAGCTTAACTGAGTCTAGGTCTTCTAAGGTCTTGCTTAGTGTTCTTTGTACTTGATCTCACGGCTCTGACCATGTTCAGATGATAGACACGGACCTCAGAAAGTGTCTGGTTCACACAAGCCCCTGGGTTGGATAAGTAACTTAGGGTCAGAGGAAGTAAGTCAGCATTGGTTAGCAGATGGCTGAACATGACTTCCTGCTTCCAGTAAATATTCTTGTGGTTGCAACAAGTGTTTCTCTAACTTTCACAGCAAAGTGGAGAAGTATTCCAAGTCATGCCTGCGCCATCAGGAAAAGATTTTGGGAAGCCACGAGGCAGCTGAGACACTCCTGAGGGTTGTTTCAGCCCATATTTAGCTCCCTCAATCCTCCTCGCCTCACGCGCTGCCCAACGTTCTTCTTCTTTGTGCCCACCGGGGCAGTTGAATCCTCATCTTTGCAGAAGTGAATAATATTTTGAACATGTTGGGGAGAAATAGTCTCCTGAAAACATAAGGCTGGGGATTTACAGTCCCTGATACCGGTGGGTCTTACACTTTATTGTGAGCAAGAATCACCTGGAAGCCTTGTTAAAAAATGCAGATTCCAGGGCTCTGTCAATCATGTTTCTGACCCAGCAGCTTTGGAGTAAACCCAGAGATGTTTTAACAGTTGGTCTGAATCAGAGGCAAAGAGTCCAAGGAGCACAATGGCAGCGGAACAGTTTTCTATCTCCTGTTATTTCTTGACTTATGATCACTTCCCCAGGGCCCGATGGGCATTTAAGTCCAACCTTTAGGACCATTCTTCCTCTGTCTTTGATGCATTTTAAAGCATCATTTTTGCTTGTCTTTTTCCAAGACCAGGTAGCAGCCAATTCCAGACTTGGCCTATTTATTGATGCTGTCTTGAATCCCCATAATATTAATTGCTGGCTTTACCACTCCTTTCTTCATGTTGGTGTTTGGAGAAACAATTATCTTGCATTCCCATATCAGCCGTTAGCTCATGCCACAGGCAATTCATTTATTCAACACAGGTCGAATGGGAGCTCCCAGGTGGTACAGAAACTATACTGCAAGGCTCAGAAAATATTTTCTTTGCAGGTGACTAAGATGGCTGTGTCTTCTGGCCAGCAGAGAACCATGCACCCCTCCTCTGGTTGTCATGACCAGCTTCACTGGTGTGGGACCAGTGCAGCCCCACAGGGCCCTAAGCATAGAAGGGCCCTGCATTTGGTTTAATATTCTGCTGTTACCTTTCTAAAATTCTTAATACTTTTTGAACAAAGGACCTTGCCTTTTTGCTTTCCACTGGACCCTGCAAATTATGTAGCTAGTCTTGCTAGTTGTAGTCAGAAGGTCTCACGTCAGATGTACAAGAAGAGAAATTAGCATTTGGGTCTCCTGATGTAGCTCTGGTGGCTGGTGTTGTAGCCATGGGACTGCTTAGCCTGGGGTTGACATATACTTATTTGTCTTTGCTACACAATACCCTTCTGGTTGAATTTAATAGTACTTCTCTTCTTTTAGTGGTAAGGAGTTCAAGGTCACTACTTCTATTTTGGGCAATAATATCAAGGAAAGAAAAAGAAAATTCTTTTTTTTTTTTTTTGAGACAGAGTCTGTCACCAGGCTGGAGTGCAGTGGCACCATCTCAGCTCACTGCAACCTCTGCCTCCCGGGTTCAAGTGATTCTCCTGCTTCAGCCTCCCGAGTAGCTGGGACTACAGGTCCCCGCCACCACACCCAGCTAATTTTTTGTATTTTTAGTAGAGACAGGGTTTCACCATGTTGGCCAGGATGGTCTCGATCTCTTGAACTCGTGATCCACCCGCCTCAGTCTCCCTAAGTGCTGGGATTACAGGCGTGAGCCACCGCACCCGGCTGAAAAAGCAGATAAATTCTTAGAACAGAAAGAGCTCATGAATGGCAGGGGACAGGTCAGATAGCTAGCTCTTCCACTCCACACTGCCTCTGTCTCAATCATTTTAGCTCAGAGACACAAGATGCATAGAGACATAAGATTCAGAAAAGCCAAAGATTCATTGGTCAACCAGTGCTTGAATATGAGATACAGATATGGCTTTGTGCCATGCGAGTGTGGTTGTGTTCTCTGACCATTTGATTGTCAGATAGAGCAGCCCACTCAGGGAAGCTTCAGCAAACAACACCAGCACCTCCAGAACTCAGTGGAAGGACAGATGGCCCAGCCACGGGACAACCTAGAATCCAGATTTAGGAAGCAACCAGGGACCAAGAGGCCATTCTCTCCAGCTCTGTCTGGGGAGCCATCTGCTCCCTCTTCCCCGATTTTGCTGCGTCCCCATCTTCTTTGTTTCTCATTCTCCACAAGGAATAGATCTTTCTTCCCCGCTTGTGCACAGCAGAAATGTGACCACCCAGGTGCAGCTTTTCACGGCCTGTCAGTTCACATGCCCTGCAGTGATTACTCAGAGCCCCAGGAGACAAATTCTAAACTCCCAGGAGAAGAAATCAGACTGGGACTTTGATTAGGAATTGCTGTTGGTTCTTAGCAATGGTGCCGGTGGATGGGTCACAAAGTCTGTGACCCACTCAGAAGGGTCTGTAGGAACAGGGTCTGTAGAAGGGAGGTGAATGAGAAGTCCATCCAAAGGACTCACATGTTATCTAGGGTGCCAAAGAAAAAGTATGATCAATATGAAGTTCTGGATGGAACTTGTGGGAGGGTGAGCTATGGGTGAAGCCTGTTGCTAGGTGAAATTCACAACTGATGATCTAGTTCTTGGATTGGATGATGAGTTCATATGTGTTCATTTAGAGCATACATGCAAATAAAAAAACAAAGTAAAAGATATAATGAATTAATAGTGCTGTATCATGAGCCAAGGATTATGATTAAAATGATTAAAATAGAAAAAAACCAAACAATAAAACAATGAAACAAGGGAGATGGATTTTGAGTTCATGGAGAAAGAAGGGAAGCCAAGTTTAGGAGTGCCTGCATCCCAGAAAATGTTCTTTACATAGACACCACTTACTGAGTACCATGTGGCACACACTGGCTCATACAGAATTCAAAACACTTTTAGAATTTAGTATTTTATATTATACCTATTTTATGGATTAGAAAACTAACTCAGAGAGATTAAGTTGCTCCATATTAGGGCAGATCTAGGTTCTCAATCCATGTTTCTCTAATACCAAATACTAACTGGTAATATAACCCTTCAAAGTGAAAAACAGGGGAAATTTTCTTCCTTCCTTCCTTCCTTCCTTCCTTCCTTCCTTCCTTCCTTCCTTCCTTCCTCTCTCTTTCTCTTTCTTTCTTGAGATGGAGTCTCACTCTGTCACCCAGGCTGGAGTGCAGTGGCACCATCTGGGCTCACTGCAACCTCCACCTCCTGGGTTCAAGCGATTCTCCTGCCTCAGCCTCCTGAGTAGCTGGGACTACAGGCATGCGCCACCACGCCCAGCTAATTTTTGTATTTTTAGTAGAGACGGAGTTTTACCATGTTAGCCAGGATGGTCTCGGTCTCTTGACCTCGTGATCATCCCACCTCAGCCTCCCAAAGTGCTGGGATTACAGGCATGAGCCACCGTGCCTGGCCAGGAAATTTTCTGACACACCATCCATCCCTGTTATGGTTTGAAATGGGTCCCCCCAAAAGATTTGTTGAAGTCTTAAGCCCCACTACTTGTGAATGTGACTTTATTTGGAAATAGGGTCTTGGCAGATGTGGTTAAGATGAGTTCATTAGGGTGGGCTCTAATCCAATATGATTGGCGTCCCCTAAGAAGAGGATAAGAGACACAGAGACATGTACAGAGGGGAGATGATGTGACGAGACATGGGAGAATGCCTGTGATGATGGAGGAAGAGACTGGAGTGACACTGTCACCAAGCAAGGAATGCCAAGGATGGCCGATGAATATGAGAAGCTGGAAGAGGCCCGGAAGGATCCTCTGTAGAGCCTTCGAAGACAGCGTGGTCCTGCCCACACCTCTGTTTTGGACTTGTGAACTCCATAACTGTGAGACTATCAATGTGTTACCTTAAGCCACCCTGTTTGGGGTACTTTGCCATGGCAGCCCTTGGGAATTAATACAGTATGCTTGGGAAGAGGAAAGAAAGTGAGGAGGTGGGGAGGCCCTGGCCAGGGTGAATGGGGGTAGAAAGGAAGGGTTAAACTCACTCTCTGGATGGAAAACATTCAGGAAATGAAAGCTCTCCCTGTCCTGACACCACAAGACCTGCTGTGAAAGCTGTCAGATAAGGGACATGGAGAAAGTGCTCTGCAGGGCCCCCAGAGAGCAGCAGTCCAGAGGAAAGGGCAGTGGAGGTGGGGCAGGCCCTGAGATTCCTGCAGAATTGCTGGACTCTGCATCTCAGTTGTCTTGGAGCCCAAGCAGTCACCAGGGCTTGACAGACAATGGCAATGGGTGAGATATCCCAAGACCCACCCCGGCACATGCACTGGAACTGAGGAGAGGAGTGGGATGGGACTCAGGTCTCAATATATCAGCAGGTAGTGGGCCACGTTCCCCCATGATGGGCTTCTCAGCTGCTAGCCCCTGACCACACTCCCGCTCCAGTGGGCCTGCCACAGTGGCTCCCATCAGCAAATCCATTTCGTAAGCTCACACATTTTAAAGTTATTAATTTTTTCTTATATGTTTAAATAGTTACAAAGGGTGAAATTTCCAGTGGATTTGAACTACAGTTGACCCTTGTACAACACAAGTTTGAACTGTGCGAATCTACTTACGCGTGGGTTTTTTTCTGTGTATATATTGGAAAGATTTTTGGAGATTTGCAACAATTTGAAAAAACTCACAGATGAACCACATAGTCTAAAAATACTAAAAATTTTTTTTTTAAATCTAAGTATGTCATGAATGCATAAAATATATGTAGCTACTGGTTTATTTATGTGTTAATGAAATGTTTATGTTATCAGTAAGGCTTTCGGCCAACAGGAGGCTATTAGTAGTTAAGTTTATGGGGAGGTAGAGTGTTGGGAAAGGGGTTGGGCCTTTCCTGCTGGCATGTGGCCTCAGTCAGTTTTTGGCAATCTATACAGGGACCCAAAGGAGACTGCTGACAATGCCCAAGGTCTCCTGAGGGACACAGGTCACAGTATTGTGAGAAAATCAAAGTGTGATTTATAGTTGTGTGGACCCAGACTTCAACTCCAGCACAGACAAAGATCAGATACTGATTTCACACATCTGATAGAAAAATGAAGCATTCAGAAACTGACCATAAGCTCAAAACCAGCTGCAAGAAAAGGAAGAAACATACAAAGGCCTTAGAACAGAATTCCGGTTCTGTTAGAGATGGTACAGAATATAAGAGCAGTGTGCAAACCAGGAACATGGACCCACTGTCAAACCCAGGAACATGGACCCATGAGTTGGTCATACATTCCAGGACCTCCTCCACCACATCCAAAGGCAGGTGGAGAACCATCCCCACCACCTGCCAGCCTCTACCAGTGCCATCTCCACCCAGAAGAGTTATTCCTCCTCCTCCAATTCCTTTACTTGTACTAAGTGATAAACCATCACCATCAATTTTGTTGGGGACCCTCTGCTCTAACTTATGGAATGAATCAGAAATAAATGTATAAACCTGAACTCCACGATGTGATTCTCCATGAAGAGGCTCAATCGGTTCAAAGGCAAAACCATGCCTAGAGGTTTTTGGCATCTTCTAGTCATTGGTGGTCATGAACGTGCAAATAACTGCATGGCTATGTGTATGCCGTAATGTTAGAGAAAATGATTGCAGGCTCTCTTGCTTTCCTTGGTGAGCTGATTATCTTTTCTTTTTCAGTACACTATATTAATTATTCAGAAACTCCATAGAGTGAGGCACAGTGGCTCACACCTGTAATCCCAGCACTTTGGGAGGCCGAGGCGGCTGGATCACCTGATGTCAGGAGTTCGAGACCAGCCTGGCCAACATGGCAAAACCCTGTCTCTACTAAAAATACAAAAATTAGCCAGGCGTGATGGTGCATGCCTGTAGTCCCAGCTACTCAGGAGGCTGAAGCAGGAGAACCGCTTGAACCTGGGAGGTGGAGGTTGCAGTGAGCTGAGAATGCACCTCTGCACTCCAGCCTGGGTGAGAGAGTGAAACCCTATCTCAAAAAAAAAAAAAAAAGAAAGAAAAAGAAACTCCATAGAGAATATGAAATTCATGTAGAAGGCACAGGGGAAATCGATAGAGTGTTGTAAGGATTATTGTGTCAGTTTTCTAAGGCTGCTGTAACAAATCGCCACAAACTGGGTGGTTTATAAAAACAAAAACTCACCTCTCACAGTTCTGGAGGGCAGCAGTACCAAATCAAGGTGTTGGTAGGGGCACACCCTCTAGGTCCCCAACCTTTTTGGCACCAGGGACAATTTTTCCATGGAACGGGGAGGGGGGATGGTTTGGGGATGATTTTGGCACATTACATTTACTGTGCACTTTATTTCTATTATTATTACATTGTATTATATAATAAAGTAATTCTACAACTCACCATAATGTAGAATCAATGGGAGCCCTGAGCTTGTTTTCCTGCAACTAGATGTTCCCATCTGGGGCTGATGGGAGACAGTGACAGACCACGAGGCATTAGATTCTCATAAGGAGTGTGCAACCTAGACCCCTTGCATGCGCAGTTCACAATAGGGTTTGTGCTCCTATGAGAATCTAATGCCGCTGCTGATCTGACAGAGGCGGAGCTCAGGCAGTCATGTGAGCAATTAGGAGTGGCTGTGAATACAGATGAAGCTTCGCTGACGCTTCCGCCACTCATCTCCTGCTGTGTGGCCTGGTTCCTAGCGGGCTACTGGTCCATGGCCTGGGAACTGGGGATCCCTGCTCAATTGGATGATCTTTCCTTGCCTCTGAGCTTTTGGTGGCTATTGGCATTCCTTGGCTCATGGCCACATGTCTCTCCACTCTGTCTTGTCATTGCTTTCTCCTGTGTGTGTCTGCGTGTGAACTGTCCCCGCCACTCTGATAGAAACACATGTGTTTATGTTTAAGGCCCACACGTCTGAGTTTTGCATGCTGCTCTTACACTCTGTACTGTCTCTAAATTCCTTTCAGCTGGAATCATTTGTGTGTGTGTGTATTTTTCTAGATGGTCCATATATTAGAATCATTTCATCTGCAAACAGTTTTACTTACTCATTTCCAATTTGCATGCCTTTTATTTCATTTTCTTAACTAATTCCTGTGGCTAGGACTTGCAGGAAATCTTGAATAGAAGCAGTGAAAGCAGACATCCTTGTCTTCTTCTGGAATTTAATGGGAAAGATTTTAGTCTTTCACCATTGAGTAGGACATAAGCTGTGGGTTTTACCTACAGTCCTTCCTTATGATGAGGAAGTTCCTGGCCATTCCTATCTTACTGAGTGTTTTTATCATTAAAGATAAATGGATTTTGCCAAGTGGTTGTTCTGTATCAATTGAGATGATCAAATGGATTTTCACCTTCATTCTATTTCTGCATATACTACATTGATTGATTTTCTTACGTTACTATACCTTGCATTCCTGGGAAAAATCTGACTTGGCCCTGGCATATAATAATGTGCTGTTGGGTTGAACTTGCTAGTATTTTGTTGAGGATTTTTGTGTGTATGTTCACAGAGGATTTTGTTCTGTGTTTAAAAAAAAAAAAGTTTATGGGGAGTCAAAAGTGATACATGGATTTTCAACTACAATGGAGTCAACTTCCCAGCTCCTGAGTTGTTCAGGGTTAACTGCACTGACACTTAGAGACAAAAATAGTAGCATCACTCTTTGAAATTATCCAGTGGACTCTAAATATCATAGTAATTTGACAAGTACTGGCATCCATTAAAACGGAACCACCACCGACAAGCTCTTCTGAGCAGTTGGAAATGTTACTTCCCTCCTTTTCTCCTTAAACTCACATTTTCATTCCCACAGAATTTCATCTGATGTAAAGCATATTATGCTTGAAAGTATTTTATCGATTATACATCTCTGGATCAGACACAAATGAGATCATGGGCAGGAACTGAAATATGTCAATATCCTGTGACCATAAGAATCTAGGTGCTAAAAATTTCCTCTGGATCACATTATCATTGCACTAGCAGCACATAATGGATCAAAAACACAAATGGATTTTACATTTCGATGGACAAATACTATACATAAAGAGGAAGTGTTATCAAAAATTTATCTCTTAATTAGGTGGATAGAGTTGCTTTACTTTTCTAGTAGTTCATGTGTCTAAGCATAAATATTCCACTGCTAGAATGAGTTGAAATTCAGCAAAAAACTATGCTTATTTTTCTTTTCTATAGCTCTGAGAATTTTGCCCTTTACACATAAACAAACAGTTGGAAGTATAAGATTTGATTTTTTTTTTTTTTTTTTTTGTAAATCAGTATCACTCAATTCTTTGAACTGTTTCTGAGTTATGTCCAAAAACATGTAGGGCTCTTTCACAAAAAAAAAAAAGAAAAATTAATGATTGGTCAACTAATTTTTTAAAAGTAAACATTTAGAAATGACTGCATGGCTTGTAAAATAATTTGTTATCTAGTCATTAGCACTGTTTATTTTTTTCAGTCAATACCAATGTTGAAAGGTCCTTTTGTAAGGAGTCCTGGAAGTAGGTCAGGGGGTCTTTGCAGAGGTAAGTAAGTTAAAATGAGGTCATTAGAGTGGACCCCAATTCAATATGACCAGTGTCCCTATAAGAAGAGAAGAGACTTTTTTTAATGAAGCGGGTGAAGGGTGACTGTGGGGAGCGAAATGGGAAAGGGGAACATCACATCCATTGCAAGAACATTTTCAAGGGACACTCATTTAGAAACCGAAAGGCTGAAAAATGACTCTGTAAACTACTTGGGCCTGGTTCCCGTTGGAAACAAACTCTTCTCATGCTGCATGGGTGTGTGGACCCTCTTTGGAAGACTTTCAGCCAAAAGGGCTCTGATGTGGTTTGGCTTTGTGTCCCCTCCCAAATCTCATCTCAAATTGTAATCCCCAAATGTCCAGGCGGGGAGGTGATTGAATCGTGGAGGTGGTTTCCCCTATGCTGTTCTCATGATAGTAAGTTCTCGTGATATCTAATGGTTTAATAAGTGTTTGACAGTTCCTCCTCCACACAGTCTGTCTTGCCTGCCACCATGTAAGATGTGCCTGCTTCCACTTCTGCCATGATTGTAAGTTTCCTGAGGCCTCCCCAGCCATGAATGGTAAATAAATTAAACCTCTTTTCTTTATAAATTACCCAGTCTTTTATAGCAGCATGAGAATGGACTAAAACAGGCTCCTTGCCACCTGATTCAGCAACCACAGTTGAAAAGAATAATCAAAGAGTGTGGAAGATCAACCATGCATGTCTAATTTTGTTCCCTCCAGAACAATATTCAGTTAAGCTTCACTAAAGTAATGAGAGAGAGAGAGAGACCCAGATAGGCAGGGCAGAAGAGGAGATGACAGTGACAACATTTGAAGAATTGGAAAGCAGAAAGCCGATGGGTACGGCAAGGACTGACCTGAGAGGACCTTAGAAAATTGACTCTCTCCTAGCAGGAAGAAGCTGAGAAACAATCTGATCTCAAAAGGCACAGGAACAGGCATCTCTAGGAATCTCTGGAACTGGAGATGAATCCAGGACCATCCATGTACACCGATGGAAGACAGCACATTCAGATTAGACCCATGTGACTCTCTTAAAAATTATTTTTATTTATTTATTTATTATTTATTTGAGATGGGATCTTACTCTGCTGCCCAGGCTGGAGTTCAGTGGTACAATCATGGCTCACTGCAGCCTCAAACCCCTGGGCTTAAGCAATTCTTTTGCCTCAGCCTCCGAAGTAGCTAGTAGTAGGGGCGTGAGCCACTGCACCCAGCCCTCATGCGACTCTTGAGACAGATCCATTAGGGGCACTCCCCCAGGTCACAGCCACCATTGTTGTTTGCATCTTTCTACCTGAGGACAGAGTGCCTGGGCCAGCCTGGGCCAACACAGCTGCCTTGCCTGTGTGTTGATGAAGCTCCTTCTTTTCTCTCAATATCCTGGTCCATGGGCCTTGTATTACCCTATAAAAATATTACACTTGACCTCCTTCTTGCAGCAGGAGGTGAACCAGAAAATACTGACCGGTTCACACCCTCTGACTACATTTCTGCCAGTGGTCCACAGCCTGGCTGCTCTGCCACCCTGCCTGATGTTCTCACTGGAGTGGTCCCTAGGGCTGTCAGAATTCATTCAACATCGCTCTTCTGGATCCCCTAGAAGAGGCCTTGTAAACTCCCAGGAATGCTGAAGGCTGACTGAGACCCACAGATCGTTCTGCTTATTCTACTGGGAATCTGCATTTTCCAGTAGTGACACAGTCTATTTTTTATACAGCTCAATTTGTGCTTATTACTCTGTTTTCCTAAACTTAATAATATGTTGTTTAGGAATCTATCTATCTATCATCTGTCTATGTGGATCGATTCTTAAACAACATATTAGCACATAGACATTTAACCTCAAAGTCAGAAAGAGGAGACAGGTACTGGAGACAGGCAACAGGGAGCCTTGTGGTAGTGATAATAGCTACTTTTTCTCCTGACAGTGGGTACCCAGGTGCTTTTTTATTACTATTTTTCAATGTCCATGTATGTGTGTCTCACACACACACACACACACACACTTCTGTGGGTTTAGCTAGTGCCAGTAATTTCCCAAGAGAGGTTCAATTCAGAATACGCTGCTTGATTGAGGGTCCGACCTAAACATCTGAGGAGCAGCTCTGTGGTCAGTGACCTGTCTGGGATGTCACCCTGGCTGTGACCAAGGCCATCAGCCTCCTTGGTAAGGCTCCGGCTCACTGAGCTTTAACCACAACCCCAGAAATATGGCTGGAGAAGCAGCTTCTCGCAGGGGACTCTGCCCTCCCTGGCCGCCTCCCTTGCTAGGGGTGCCTTCCTTCCACAACACCACCAGAGGACCTAACCCTTCAAGAACCGGTGAATCCCTCATGCCCACACTTGTGTCACTCCTGGCTGGAAGGAGGTTATTCTGAGAGGCTGGCTGAGCCTCCTTCCTGCAATTCATGCCCAACATGGGAAGTGCTACCCCTAGTGAAGCACACTTTCGGACAGACCAGGATTGCGGTGACCTCAGGATGGCAAATGAATCCACAGCGACAAGGCAGCAGTGGGGAGTGGGAAACACCAAAGACAGACGTCAGGTCCCCAACCTCCTTCCTCCTTTGTCCCTCGCTCCCCTGAGTCACAGTTGAAGCTGTGCCCTTTCATGTCACTCAATTAGGTTGATAAGAGACAGCGCTAGAATGGGAGATATGAGAATATGGATAAAAGAAAAGACAGCCACAGAGGCTGAAAGCTGCATCTCAGCCCATGGACAGGCCACACACTTGGAGAAGACTGTGTGGCTCCTCCCTTCTCCAGTCACCTGAGTTTTGGCACAAGAAGCACTAACATAAGAAGCCAGTGGTGGCTGGGTGCAGTGGCTCACGCCTGCAATCCCAGCACTTTGGGAGGCAGAGGTGGGCAGATCACAAGGTCAGGAGTTCGAGACCAGCCTGGCCAATATGGTGAAACCCCATCTCTACTAAAAATAGAAAAATTAGCCAGGCACGGCGGCGGGCACCTGTAGTCCCAGCTACTCGGAAGGCTGAGGCAGGAGAATCACTTGAACCCAGGAGGCGGAGGTTGCAGTGAGCCGAGATGGCACCACTGCACTCCAGCCTGGGTGACAGAGCAAGATGCCATCCAAAAAAACAAAAAAGAAGCCAGTGGTACAGGAAGTTTCATTACTGAGAGTGTGGACTCCTGACAGTGGAAAGCAATTTGGGGATTAGAGTCACAGACAGCGGCTGAGCCTCAGGTCCTGGAGTCAGACCTCGCCTAATTTGCTTTTGTTCCCTAAACTTGTGTCCCTGTCTTTAAGATACTAACAGTGGGATAACATGCAGCACAGTGCCTGCCCCCAAGCCTCAGCTCCTATCGCGTAACGTCCCAAATGCTTCATTCATTCTTGGGTTTGTTTGTTTGGTTTGGTTTGAAATGGAGTCTTGCTCTGTTGTCCAGGCTGGAGTGCAATCTTGGGTCACTGCAACCTCTGCCTCCCGAGTTCAAGTGACTCTCCTGCCTCAGCCTCCAAAGTAGCTGGGACTACAGGCACCCACCATCATGCCCAGCTAATTTTTGTATTTTTGTAGAGACGAGGTTTCACCATATTGACCAGCCTGGTGTTGAACTCCTAACCTCAGGAGATCCACCCGATTCAGCCACCCTAAGTGATGGGATTACAGGCCTGAGCCACTGCCCCCCATTCTTGGCCCATTCAAGCATCTGTTTCGTGCTGCTGAAAGCCACAGTGAGTGCTCTGAGTGTGCTGAGAACCATGAAGTGGCTCTGCGGAACATCTCGCATGAGGACGCTGCACGGGACAAGGGCTTGTGGTTTTGGCTGAGGAAAGGCAGAGCGCGTCACCACTGTCCCGCACCCTGTGCCTGGCACACACCCCAGAACAGACATCGCTCTGCCTTTCTGCCCTTTATCAGAATGCCATCTAGTCAGCAGACAGCTATCACGAGTCTAGAGCGTGACAGGCTGGAAGCAGATGCTGCTAAGATGCCCAGACAGGCCCTGAGAGGTGGGGCAATCTGCGAGCTGTTAGCAGGACGCTGTCCAGCAGCAGGGACTTAATTTCATTAGAGGGAGTGGAGGAAGAGATGGACGCCGACGAGGCCAGTTGTCAGCTCTGACACCCACACACGTGAGCCCTGGCTTCCTGGTAATTCGGGAGGAAGGACTGCAAAATCCCATGTCAGTAGGTTGCCGTGGGAACCCCCATGTCTTCAGCAAACAGATGCTTCCATGGAAATGAAACATTGTTGCATTAAGTAGCTGACCCTCTACAGAGATTAAATGTTAGCAAAGGAAAATTCTAACATTGAAACAGAATTGGAAGGGAGTGGGTAGACATCAGGCAATATTTCTTATTTTCCTCTGAGTCCTAAAAAGGATCTAGCAATACCTCCTTAAGGGGAAATGGCATTAACCCACCAAGCAATTGAATCACTGACTTTCTACTTGCTCTCTCTCAGGTCCATGTGAACAGAAGACCTGGACTGTATTCCCACCCCTTTGTGCCTATAGAACTCTGTCCCTGTTTAGAAGGTGGCTGTCCCGTTAATAAAAAATTTAGGTAAACCTGAATCTTCCAAAGGGTGATATAGAACATGAACTATTTAAAAGCTTAACATTTTTTTTCTGAATATTTTATTCTAAAATTAGTGGTTGTATGTTTTTTAACTGTTAAACATTTTCATTGACTTACTCCTCAAATGGTTAAACTGATTGAATATAAATAAAGAAGCAGGTATTATAAAGTTGTGGTTTCTAAAATGTGGATGAGAATCTTGTTTCCTGGGCCAGAATCCCAGACCTGGGATGTGTGAACACAAGGTCACACAGACCGACATGCTTCCCTGGGCCTCTGGGAACCAGCCTGCCCTTTCCTTCTCTGAGTTACTCTGGGAGCTTAGGCGGTCTCAGCTGATGGTGGAGGGAGTCCCACTGCAGTGAGAAACATGATCACTCGCAATTTAATAATGCAACGAGAATAAACTTGAAGTACAAGGTATTATAGGAAATGGGAATCTCAGGAAATGTGCACAGACAAACTTGTCAGGAAAAACCATCCATTGTAGCAAACTCTGCTCTGCTTAAGGCACCCTTTTTCTCATAATTTGCTGTAGATTAACTATTGTAGCTAAGAAGCACTAACATTGGAATAAAAACAAACATACTTCTCTTTATGGTGTATCTTTGAAAAGAGACATGTGCCATAGTTTTCTTGAGAGGGATGTGGCATAAAGCTGGCACAGAGGAGTTGTTTGGCTCCTATTTAGGTTTGTAAATATCTCTCAATTTCAGCAGTGCTCTCTGTGCTTATGTAGGTTCTCTTCGCCCCCTGTATTTTTCCTAAACTTTCCTGAGCTCTCCTGACCTTATTTTCTCTCCAAGCCTTGATGCCAGTTTGACTTCTGGGTGATTCTGAGACTGGCTGCCTGTAGCCCCAGGTAGGATGATGATCAAGTGCCCCAGGAGGTGATTTTTACTGGGAAAAAAAAGCAGCAGCTCCCTTGTTTGGGGTGGAATGTTACAGCAACCAGGAAATCTGGTGATGTCATTCATCAGGGGCTTTCAGGCCGGGAAAGGCGTCACTCAGGCCTCTGGCTTTAGCTTTGAAAGATATGGTTGGGACATGTTGCAGTTCAGCTTCACTAGCATTCAGAGACCGGAGTGGGGTGGTGGAAAAAGACACTGGCCTTAGTCAGGGGGCCTGAGTTCTAATTCTGTTTCTGCTCCCAGGACCAACTACATGATTTGCAGGACCTGGTGCAAAAAAAAAAAAAAAAAAAAGAAAATACAGGGCCTCTTGTTCAAAAATTACTAAGAATTTAGAGAGGATAGCAGCAGATCCTTAAACCAAGAACAGGGCCCTTCTGAAGATGGGTCCCTGTGTGACTGCATGGGTCACTTGCCCATATGCAGGCCTTTGTGCAGGATCTTGATCCCTGTGGAGTGTGTGACTCAGCCTCAGCTCCTTCACCTGGAAAATGAAGGCATCGGGCAAACAGAGCTTCCCTCTCAGCTGCACAGTAGGTGCTCCACTCATGACGCTGAAAAGTGGGAAAGGGGCCCAGCCATCTAAGCAGCCCCTAATGGGGTTAGGATGTGGGGAGCCCAGGAAATTGCACCCTGAGTTTGGAACAACTGACAGAGACCAAGGAGGAGCCGATGAAGGTCAAATGCAGGCCCTAGTTCTGCCAGAGCTGATTGCAGAGCCTGCAGCCCCCACGGGCTTCCTGACGCCAGACCCCAGGAGGACAGACCTGTGCTTGCAGCCCCTGGCAGTTGGACAGTGCAGGCAGCACATGTCTCCACGGGGGCAGTGGGTCTGGGGAGACCCGCGCTCTGTCCTTCATAAAGGGGCAGGCATGAGTTCCCTCCCTGTGAGTTCCCCTGCAACTTGCCCATCAGATCAATCCCCCACCTCCACTGAAAGCCTGCAGAGGCCAGGAGCATTACATCCGTGGGGCTGCCTTCATCTAGAAGGGAATCTCTGAAACAGACAGTGCACCCCCAATGGGTGTGAAACAGGACTGGCCGTGGTGCTAGCATCTCCCCAAGGAGCATTTGTTTCACAATGGTTGCTCCCTTTATCTGGAATGCCATGCTCCTCCCTGTCTGCCTGGATAACTCTGAGGTGTCCTCTTAGACTCTGTTTAGATCCTTCCCCTCTAGATTTTCTGTTGATCCCCTGGGTTTGCTGCACCCAAACCCTCATGATGCCTCATCCTAAGTCCATGTTTTGCTTCCTCTCCCCTTCGTTGGGCTGAAGTTCCCTGAAGATGTTATAGGTGCTTCCTGTTTTCTTGACTGATAAATGAATGAGGTTGGAATCTGTCGTGGAGTTTGCTTTCCTGGCTTAAGCCATGGAGGGTCGATTCCTTGCTCATGTCCATATTGCTAGAAGCACAGGCAGGATGTGAACGAGCAGAAGACGAAGGTCACTGAGCCAGGCAGAGAGACACGGAACAGCGGCCATTGGGACACACAAAAAGACATGGAGCAGTGGCCATCCAGACAAACAGAGAGACATGGGGCTGCAGCCATCGGGACAGACAGAGAAACCCAGGACAGTGGCCATCGGGACAGACAGACACGGGGCAGTGGCCATCCAGACACACAGAGAGACATGGGGCTGCAGCTGTTGGGACAGACAGAGAAACCCAGGACAGTGGCCATCAGGACAGATAGAGAGACATGGGATAGTGGCTGTCCAGACAGACAGAGAGACATGGGGCTGCAGCTGTCAGGACAGACAGAGTGAAACGGGACAGTGGCTGTCCAGACAGACAGACACGGGGCAGCAGCCATCGGGACAGACAGAGACAGGGGACAGCAGCCATCCGGACAGAGAGACATGGGGCTGTGGCTGTCGGGACAGAGGCCATCAGGACAGACAGAGAAACACGGGCAGCAGCCATCAGGACAGACAGAGACAGGGGACAGCAGCCATCCGGACAGAGAGACATGAGGCTGTGGCTGTCGGGAAAGAGGCCATCAGGACAGACAGAGAGACATGGGGCAGCAGCCATCAGGACAGATAGAGAGAAATGGGATAGTAACCATAGGGCCAGAGAGACACGGGACAGTGGCTGTCTGGACAGACAGAGAGACATGAGACAGTGACCATTGGGAAAGACAAAGAGAAACAGGACAGTGGCCATCAGGACAGAGAGACACGGGACAGAAGCCATCGGGTCAGATAGAGAGACATGGGACAGTGGCCATCGGGACAGACAGAGAGACATGGGGCAGCAGCAGTCCGAACAGAGAGACGCAGGGCACAAAACTGGCCCACTCCCAGCCCAGGATGCTTGACTGTGTACACAGCAATTTCATACCCCACCTCTATGGTCAGTGCTTGGCCAAGACAGTGTGATATCACAGTAAATGAAAGGAGAGGGAACCCGGAGGCATGAGGTTCTGTCTACTGATGACCATCACATGGGGAGGGGGGCGTATTTAAAACCTGAAATAAAATGAGCCCACTCTAAAGAGGTACTCATTCAGTGGAGCGTGGGCTGATGCAGATTTCTATTCAATTGCAATGTCGCAATTGAAGGTGAAGACTGAGCTGCAGACTGGAAGAAGTACATCAAGTTGGTGTCAAACACCCCAGGCCACACCCTGGCTCTGTCAGTGACTCTCCTAGGAGCTTGGGACAGTCCCCAAACCCAGTGAAGCCCTACAAACTGCATCGTGGAAACTGGGAACTCTAATGCCCATTTCACCACATGACTCAAGATGAAATAAGGGTAAGTGAAGTAGTTGGCACTCAACCTTTTTAAATTAAAAGTTATTTGGAATTAAAGCTAATAAGACTGACTGATGCATTGAACGTGGGGAGGGAGGGAAAGAGGCAAAGGCTACCCAGGGGCCCTGGGCTTGGGTGAAGGGCTGAGAAGCACTGGAACTATTCAATGAACCTGGGGACACAGGAGGGGCAGATTGAGGTGTCCCGTGATTGCACAGGGCAAGAGGAGGGTGTTTCCTTCAAACTTCACTGCCCAAACCCGAGGTCAGGTCATTTTGCTGGAGCAGCTCCTATTTCTTCTTGCAGCATTTTTTCTGTCTCTGAGATTTTTCTCTTCAATTCTGTGCACTGCACCCTTACTATGGAACATTCTGGAGGTCATTTCATCTTCAGGACTCCCCATCTTCTTCCCTGAGACTGCATCACAGCCAGCTCCTCCCTTCTGCCCCTCCCCTGTACCTCTCTCTGTCCCTCCCCTGTACCTCTCTCTGTCCCTCCCCTGTACTTCTCTCCCTCCCGCAGTGCTGACCTAGGAGGCTCTGGAATCTCCATGGAGGATCTCCATGTCAGAACCAGAGGGTGTGGCCTTGATACGCAGACGCAGAGGCTACAAACTCTCCCAGAAGAGGCTGCAGTATAAGGAAAGGCACAGTGTTGGGAAAGTATGAAAAAGTCTCAGAGACTGATTGATTAAACCCCGGGTTAATTTATTTACGCTACTCAAACAGGCAAAAAGCCTGTCACAGGGTCTAGAATGTCAAGCTGGCTGGTCAACAAGCTGTGTCTTGAGTCTTTCAGAAATGAAGGCGTTATCAGGCTGGGTGCAGTGGCTCATGCCTATAATCCCAGCACTTTGGGAGGCTGAGGTGGGTGGATTACTTGAGGCCAGGAGTTCAAGACCAGTCTGGCCAACATGGCAAAACCCCATCTCTACTAAAAATACAAAAATTAGCTTGGCGTGGTGGCGCATGCCTATGGTCCCAGCTACTAGGGAGGCTGAGGCACGAGAATCACTGGAACCCAGGGGGTAGAGGCGGTAGTGAGCCAAGACTGCACTCCAGCCTGGGTGGCAGAGTGAGACTCTATCTCAAAAAAAAAAGATTTATCTTTTTTTATCTGTTGTTATCAAGTTACTCAGGGAGGACAGGACACCTGGTACTGTTGTCCATTTAGACTATGGACCTGACTCTGAGTGATTCGGGCCTTCTCCTGAATCCTGACCTCTGAGCTGATTCTGCCACAAACCTGCAGGGTAAAATGAAATAACAAAACATCAGCAACACACACACACACATGCACATGCACACGCACAACAAAATGAAAAACTTGTCTAAGATTTAAGATAAAAAAAAATATTGTTTAGCCAGGCATGGTGTTGCTCCCTGGGCAACAGAGTGAGACTCCGTCTCAAAAAAAAAAAAAAAATTGTCACTCATCAATGTGTGATGACTAAGTAACATTCACACTTAATTTCTGGGCTTGGGTGAAGGGCCAAGAAGCACTGGACCTATTCAATGAACCTTAATTTCTTATTGTGAGTAGGCACCATCTCAGCCTTATGAACAGGCTGCAATTTATCTGATGGAGAGATTATTTCTTAGAAGCATGACTAACTGGTGATTTTGGTATGATCCATGTTTTTTGGGAAAACCAGGGTCAAGAAAATAGTTGAATGGTCACACGCAGTGGTCCTAGGGTACTGCCTACACCTGCTATTCCAGGAATTTCATTTGCTCATTGTGAAGTCTCTCTAATTCTTTTTCCTTTTTTTTTTTTTAAACAACTGGTAATGAATTTATTTAAGATAGTTGACTTAAGCAACTGCAATGGTGACTTCCACCTCAACTCCTGGCTCATTACTGATGGAAGTCATCTGCCTAACAATCTCAGAAGGACTGTGCAAGTCAATGAGTCGCTTGTGGATTCCCATCTGGAAACCATCCCATGTCGTAGAACCTTCACCACAAGGAGTTTTTCTTGTAGTGATTCTCAAAGTCTTGCTAGGCATTCCAACTGGTCCTTTCACTTTGAGATTCTTTTCCTGTGCTCCTCTGACCAAGTCAGCACACACCTTTTCGAGGGATTTTACATTGCGGCTTGTTAGAGTGATTCAAATTGGGTGAATTGCCACCTCCAGCTCCACAGGTGTTTTTCCACCTTAAAAGCCATGGCTGCTGCGCGGCTTCCTGGCCAACTTGTTCCTCAGCGAGAGCAAACAGCGGTGAGTCAGGAACAGGAGTGTGTGGATCAGCGACTATTTCAAGAGGGTTGTCTCAGCAGTGGTGGAGAACAATGTAGGCTCAGTGTCACCTACACCTGCTGTCTCCCTGCCTTCCTCCTGGGACCGGTGCTGTGAGCTGTCACTGGGGCAGAGCCTGGAAGCTGCTGTTGTTGCAGGGGGTCCCGGGGTCGGCTGCTCTTAGCCTATGCCTACAGTGCCTGGGTTGAGGCTGCCAGTGCCTGGGCCTGAGACCTCCTGTAAGACAATGTCCTCCATCCCTGCAGATGTCACAGACACCAGAGCAGGGCTCTGTGCCTCTGGGCCATGCGGCCACCCCTTAACAGGACAATGCCCTGTTGGGGGCTCTGGGGATTTCATGATCAATAAACGCAGTCCCTCCCTTAAGGGCCTAGCAGGATCAATTGGCATAATCTGTGCTTTCACACAAACAGAGGGAGCACCCACCCCAGTTTTGTGGGTTCAAGGATCCCCAGGAGAGAGCCTGAGCTGCAAACATTGGGCTCAAGTTGTCCAGGTGAAAGATAGAAAGAGGAGCGCCCCGCTGCAGAGACGCAGGTGAGGCCGGTCCCTGTCCTGCACTCACCTCTCCTCACGAGGCAGGCCAAGTCCCAGCGGCAGGGCTCTGGCTGAGCTGAGGGGCGGACTGTGCTCAAAACAGCAGTTTCCCTCTGGGCCCTGGACTAAGGGGTACCCCCTGGCTCCCCGGCCTTCCCTGAGGGCCCTCAGTCCGCTGTGCAAACAGCCCCATAGTGCTCTCTGCAGGAGCTCCTGGAATACCAGGTCCACTGCCTTGGGGGTTCCCCGGCTGAGTCCAGCCCTCTGCAGGTCCCCAGTGCCCCTCCCTCCAGAGCGCACTTGTTAATATACACAGCACACAGGTAGGAAAGTCCTGTGTAAGGAGTTCTGGCTCGATATTTTTCTTAATGTAGACTTTGCATCTTTATTAAAACATCTTTTATCAACATCTTCCAATTTCACCATTTTCCCCCAGGCTTGCTTTTATGAGAGTAAAATCAGAGACACTCATACCCCGTGGCCTTCCTTGCACACTTGATCTTCTCTGGCAGTGACTGGCATCATCATTGACCCTCTACACATGCCAGGAAATGGGACTGTCCTGGCATCCAGTTTCCACCTCCAAGGATCCTCACGGGCAACACTATTGTGATTTTGGTCCTGATAATTGGTGGGGATGGTCTGTGCATTGCAGGTGTGTTGAACGGCTCCCCTGGCCTCTACCTACCAAGTGCCAGCAGCACTTCTCTCTGGTTGTGACAACCAAAAATTTCTCCAGAATCTGGAGGGTTCAGTCACCCCCAATTGAGATGCACTGCATGATCTTTATCTTCTAGATCTGTTCACTTTTCTTTAATGCCACCTTCACCACTCCATCAGGTGCCCTCGCTGGCAGCTCCATTTCCAGTCTCATCCCCTCTATATCTTATTTGCTATCCCTTCTGTAGCCATGTTCATTTTTCTTTTTTTTTCTGAGATGGAGTCTTGCTCTGTCACCCAGGCTGGAGTGCAGTGGCATGATCTCTGCTCACTGCAACCTCCGCCTCCTGGTTTCAAACCATTCTCCTGCCTCAGCCTCCAGAGTAGCTGGGACTACAGCATGTGCTACCACGCCCGGCTAATTTTTTGTATTTTTAGTAGAGATGGGGTTTCACCGTGTTAGCCAGGATGATCTGTTCATTTTTCTAACCTTGTCCGATCGTGTCACCTTTTGCTTAAAATGTTTCAGTAGGTTCTCATTGCCCCTAAGTCAAAGGACCATATCATTTGCACAGACCCAAAACCACACGTGGTGAGACACCACATCCCCCTGGCTTCGTCGTGCCCCCTGCCCTTCATGCTCATGGTCTTTGAGCATCAGGTGCTCTTGTTCTCAGGCTCTTCCTTCATGTGGAAGGCTCTCCTCTCTCCTGTTTATCATTTAATTTAGTTGACAGGATGGAGAATGTGACTTCATTCCCTAGCATCATCCTTATTCCTGCACTCTGCACCCAGGGCCTTTTTTTTTTTTTTTTCCTTTTTTTGAGACACGGTCTCACTCTGTCACTCAGGCTGGAGTGCAGTGGCATGATCTTGGCTCACTGCAACCTGAACCTCCTAGGTTCAAGCGATTCTTCTGCCTCAGCCTCCCAAGTAGCTGGGATTACAGGCACTGACCACCACACCCAGCAACTTTTTTTTTTTTTTTTGTATTTTTAGTAGAGATGGGGTTTTACCATGTTGGTCAGGCTAGTCTCAAACTCCCGACCTCAAGCAATCCACTGGCCTTGGCCTCCCAAAGTGCTGGAATGACAGGCGTGAGCCACCACACCAGGCCTGCACCCAGGGCTTTTCTACCCCAGCACCGTTCACATTATTGTGGGTGGAGGGGGAGGCAGAGAGAGAAGGCAGGATTCTCCAATGAAACATGCTTGCGAGCTGTTGAAGCACCATGCTGTGTGCAATGGCTCATGCCTGTAATCCCAGCTACTCAGGAGGCTGAGGTGGGATCATATGAGCCCAGGAATTCAAGACCAGTCTGGGCAACATAGTGAGTCCCTGTCTATAAAAGAAAAAAAGTTCATCCAGGGTCATTTCCAAACAAATGGCCTTTGTTTGCAAATCTTCACAGGTTAATTTGGTTTCAGTCCAGATACAAGTTTGGAAGAAGAGAAATGCTAATTTTGTCTGAATTGCTAAGAAGGAAGCAGTCTTCAAAGTCACAGACTGATGAAGTTATAAGTAACCAATGAGCAGAAGGTGGGCCCTTAAGGGGCAAGCAGGCTGCACCTGAACGAGACACCCGACAAGACACACCTGAGCAGGCTCTGGGCTCCATGGTTGGAGTGATGGGGCAGCTGATCCCCACCCAAGCCATGGCACCTGGTGTCCTAGGTCGATCCGGTGCATTCAAGGACTTAATTATAATTTTTAATATTTTTCTTAAAACATATTTATTGTTCCTTTATTGTATAACTACATATTTATGGCCCCAAATTTGAAAATAACACAAAATAGAAGCAAATTAAAATCACTTATAATTTTGCCTCACAGAGTATCTGTTGACAATTTGGTTCATTTCCTTTAAAAAAATATTAGGCGTATATGCTCCATATTGTTCCATAGTCTGTTTTTGCGCTTAAGCTTTCATTTCAGCATTTCCCATTGCCATTTCTGAGTCCTTGAAAACATGATTTTCATGAATGCACTGTCCCACCTTAAGGATGGAATTGAATGGTCTTGGGGCACTGAAATTGCGACAAAGATTTAGAGCTTTAGCATTCATAAGGAATTAAGCTCTTCTCCCTTGTCAGAATTGTTTAGGAATGTGTTTAAAGTTTTGCAAATTATTTTTGCTTTGTTTTGCTTAAATTTTAGCTATAATTTATAATTTAATTGCAAAGTTTATAAAACATCCTATACAATGAGGCCTTTTTTTTGTAATACTAGATGTTCTTATGCTCTGTTTAATAGTCACTTTTGAAAATATTCTTTAGTTGCTTGAAAAGAAGGTACATTTTTTTTTTGTTTTGAGGCTCTAAATTTGTTTTTAGGTTATGCCCTAGTTGGCCATATTATTATCCAAATTTTCTATGCTTCTTAAAGTTTTCTATACATTCCTTGACTTGCAAAGGAAAACTTTTGGTCTATTAAAAATTTCCTACCACAAAATTTTGTGTGTGTGTGAATTTCTTCTGAGATTTTAAACTGTACCTGCTTTAAATATGTCAATGCTGTATAATTTGGCACATAAAGATTCATGAATGTTGTAATTTCATCATGACTATATTTTTACTAACATGAAACGATCTTTTCTGTTTATTTTCTCTTGCACATTGTTTTGTCTGATGTCATGTTTTAAACTCCTGATTTATTTTACTTATGTATGTCTAATTTATCTTTGTTCATCTTTTAAAATAATCTATTTTGGGGCCAGACACAGTGTTCACGCCTGTAATCCCAGCACTTTGGGAGACCGAGGTGGGCAGATCACTTGAGGCCAGGAGTTTGAGACAAGCCTGGCCAACATGGTGAAACTACGTTTCTACTAAAAATACGAAAATTACCCGGGCATAGTGGCATGAGCCTGTAATTCCAGATACTCGGGAGGCTGAGGCATGAGAATCACTTGAACCAGGGAGGTGGAAGTTGCAGTGAGCCAAGATCATGCCACAGCACTCCAGCCTCGGTGACAGACAGAGCAAGACTGTTTCAAAAAAAAAGAAAAAAATCTATTTTTTCCTTTTGTTTTCAGTCAGTCTCAATGACACACACTTACATTTCCCTTTCAATCCAGACTTAGAGTCTCTGAAAAGGAGACTTTAACTGTTTTGTTTGCTGTCTCAAAAAATATGTTTGCTGTTACTTTTGCCATCTTATTTTTCTGCTCTGTATCTTTTTAATGGATGTTTGATTTTTCTGTTATTTTCTGTCTTTTGCTCTATAGACTACATTTTACTTTCTTTCTACAATTTGGAAGATATATATTCTATTTTTAATTGTACTAATATTATCTGTAAGTTATAAGATTCTTCACCATCTGTCCAAAACCTGACATCTCTTGACTGGCTTCATATCTGCTAAAATGATATCCCTAGACCGCATTTAGAATCACTCTGTAGTCACCTAACACTTTTGAGCTGGGCTATAGAAATGTCTAGCACATGCCCCACGATCCCCTCAGTGTTCACTCTGTTGCTGACAGAATTCTCAGATCTTTAGCAGGAGAGAGGACCATTAGCCACATTTCTGGTGTTTATCAGTGTGGAGTCTCCTCTTGCCCCTTCTGCCTGGAAAAGAAAAGTATTTTAATGACCAAGGACCTCTGGTTGCTTCGCTTGGGGGGTGCACTCTTTAAGAAATACAGATTAGCAGGACTGTTGTGGTTGGGGTTAAAGAAGTGGCCCTCTTTGCCTAGGGATGCAACTCTATCTTGCTTGGAGTTTGGTACTCAGCTTCTCCTGGGCACTTGTGAGGTGCCTCTGCGATGGGCTTGGCTCCGTCTTTTCTGACCTCGGTGCTCTGCCTCAAAGCCGCATTGTGCATCAGCTAATGAGAGTTTCTCAATCTGTCCTCATCTGCACTGCTATTGGCAGAAATCCTTCCTAGACTGTGGCCAAGCATTAATTGGTATTCTTAGCTTCTGGTGCAGTTGCAATTTTGCAATTTTGCATGTGCCTTCAATGGGGTTTTAATGGGAGGATGGGAGCGGATGAATCAGGCAATCAGGCACCTGCTATGAGCCACCATATTAATCTGGGAGTCTGCAAGTTTGGCTCTGAATGACAGAAAGAGAACCATGGTGCTTTCAGTGTTATATAAAGCTCATGGCTCTCATTTCAGCTGATTCCATAGTCCAGGGTTTCCTAAATAATGTGTTGAAAAGAAAGAGATAATAAAACATGCCACATTTTTTTAAAAGCAGGGGAGAAAGAGGGATTCCGTGGTCAACCAAACTGGAGAAATCGTACACTCTACGCCTCTCACACATTCAAATTAAAACCTGGTGTGTTCAAAACCGGAAGTGTCCTGCAGCAAAAAAATAAGAAAAAAGAAAAAGAAAAAGAAAACTGGTGTAACACTGTTCAGACCATCACATCTCAGTACTTGACTTTGAAACCTTTTTGGTAAGGTCCCTGGGAAGGTCTAACAGAATTGGTGTCTTCCCAAAGTACAGTGGGGGGATCAATGGTCAGTGTGGGCATAAGAGAGTCTGGGAGAGAGGGCAACTCTGCTTCTCCAGCCCCTGCCCAGGTTTCACCAAATCCTGGAGGTGCCAGACAGACTAACTAAGGACACATGGCTTGACCATTCTTTGATATTATTCACTTTACTTAGATCTTCAGAAAACAAAATGCCTGGACCATATTTTTTTAACTTTCCATGGAGCCAATGCTACTGATTTATAATTAACAATGTATTTTTAAGCTTCATAGAGAATGAATTCGGTAAGCTTTTATTTACATGGCATCCCTATGTCTTATATAAAACAGCAAGTGAAGGTGATATTAGTGCTACTCCATATCCAAGAATAATCATTAGAGATGTATTTCATCAGAAGTGTAGTTTTATTATGAATGCAGGTTAATGTGTCTGATTTTACTTTCTGGGTATCATCTGTGTTTTGCTTTTAGCCTTGGTTACCAGGAAACTCAGAAACAAATATGGTATCCTGTTTCCAAGACACTTTCTCAGTGCTACCTGGAAATGTGAGCTTTCTTTGTTCATTTTGCATAATCTCTGAATTTTTAAGTCTTTAATCCTCCTATGCTTCTTTATTTCTTATATCACTGAAAATTCCTTTAGAATTAAATAGGAGTTAGAGATTCTTGATCTTAATGTATTGAACAGGCAGTTAAAGAGCAATTAGTGATAAACAACTTGATTCATAAAAAGGAAGTCAAGAAAATTTTAGCATTTCCCAGTATAAACACTGAAAATATGTCCCTAGCATCTGACGCATGAAACAACATCACGAACAGTAATGTTGACAGAGAAAAAGAATCCACTAAATCTAATGTTTCAGTGTCAGTAAAATCTTGAATTATCCTGAATTAACACACTGAGACCCAAGATTATCCTGATATTGATTTACTTTTATTTTCATAACTGCAGCCAGTTGTATTATTACTTTTTTCTTTTTCAGAAAATTTCAAACATACCCCAAAATTAAAAACTATAATACATCAATGTGCCCATTACCCGTTTCAGCTTCAATGATTATCACCATTTAAAAAATCTTGTCTCACATTGCCCTAGTCTACATTTTAAAAAATTTTAAAGCAAATCTCAAGAATCATTTTTTATATGTGTATATAGGGCTCTAACAGGTAAGGACTTTTCTTTTTAGCATAACAACCATGACATTATCACACCTTAAAAAGTTAACAATAAATTTTTTTTTTTTTTTTGAAACAGAGTTTTGCTCTTGTCGCCCAGGCTGGTGTGCAATGGCGCAGTCTCGGCTCACTGCAACCTCTGCCTACTGTGTTCAAGCGATTCTTCTGCCTCAGCCTACCGAGTAGCCGGAACTACAGGTGCCCACGACCACACCTGGCTAATTTTTTTTATGCATATTTAGTAGACATGGGGTTTCACCTTGTTTGCCAGGCTGGTCTCGAACTCCTGACCTCAGGTGATTCACCAACCTTGGCCTCCCAAAGTGCTAGGATTACAGGTGTGAGCCACTGCGCCTAGCCTACAATACTTTTTAATATTATACCTATTTCATAATCAAATGTCCCCAGTGTTCTCAAGAATCTCTTTTGATAGCTAGTATCTTCAAATTAGATTCCTCATAAGGTTTACACACTGCATTTTTTGTTATTTAGAGATATTCTTAAGTATCATTCTACTATTTGGGATGAGGTATGTAAGGATGTAAAGGTATTTTTCTTAACTATAAAACTTCTTTGAAAATCCCACAGAATACACCATAAAATAGTTTCTCTTTCGTAATAAATATTTAAATCAAATACCTAAATAAAAATCCTAACACTACCAAAAATTATTCACTGTCTTCATTTTCATAAGTAAACATAGTACCCACTAAATTTCATATTCTGCTCTTATTCCTTGATGTTATACCAATACCATTTCCATGTTGATAGATTCTTTAAAATTATTATTTTAAACAGGTGCATGTTATTTTTCTGTCTTGACCACTGTTGCTTTAGCCAGTTTTTAGCATTTGTTAAATCCATTGCATGCATTGAAAGGGCGAATCCTAATCACAGTTGGAAATTTTTGCCCTCATCCTCCTTTAATCCTATATTTGACATTGCCTATGGGTCTATGAAGGAAAGGAAGAAGAAAACAGACAGAGAAGGAAGAGGAATAGAGAAAAGGTGGAGGTTTGGCTGAGATGCATTCAAAATACTTGTTTTTCTTCCATCCTCTTGGAAGGGCTAGTCCTTGGAATTCATGTGCTCTTCCTCCTCCGAGAATAGTTGTAGTTATAGAAGGGGCCAAAATGTGCTGGCTCTGTGTGTTCATAATAAACCTGGAATGTCAGTTTCCAGTCATCAGATAACTGATGTGAACCCTGCCTTACCATGCCAAGGAGGAGCCTCCTGCTCTATCCCCATTGCTCCTGCTCTATCCCCTTTGGTGATGAATTGGTGTTGGGTATGGAGTTCTGGAAAACCGAAAGAAAGTCAATGTTTTTAATGTGCAACATGTGCAGTATCTCATTTATCAATTAGACATCCTAGAATAACCTTGTGCTCAATGACTGGTCTTGCCAGGTTATGGTATTCAGGGAAAAACACCATCACCTCATTTGCTGTGGCAAATAAAAAGGAATATTGACAAAGACCATAATCTGGGTGCCTCTTGTGGTGACAACTATAATCAATAAAATTTAGATAACATTATCTTTTATTGTTATTAAAGAAAAATTTTCCAGGAGCATTTTGTGCATTTAGTTTTTTTTTTGGTCAAAATTTTTCTCTAGGATTAATTTTTAGGAACAGGATTATTGGTTCTCAAGTTGAATATTTTTTTAGATAACATTATCTTTTATTGTTATTAAAGAAGAATTTTCCAGGAGCATTTTGTGCGTTTAGTTTTTTTTTGGTCAAAATTTTTCTCTAGGATTTTTAGGAACAGGATTTTTGGTTCTCAAATTGAATATTTTTTAGAAAGAGAGAAAAGGAGATGGAAAGAGAAGTTTATGTTGTTTTTTCAGAAGAATAATACTAATCACCAAGACCATAAACATAAATACAAGTCTCAGGTACACCAGCCATTGAGGTTTTAGACAGCATGAATACAGAAGTTTGGAGAGAAACACAGAAAATGGTTTTGTCACACCGAGGGCCTAAAATGAAACCTCTCAAATACATCTCCCTAATCCATTTCAATAGGAAGAACCATAGCAATAGAATCAGTTAAGCTAAGGATTCAATTGGGAGGGACCTATGCAGTTGAAGCCTCCGGAGATGGGTCCAGGTGTAGAGAGACCAGTAGATTGCAGGTCCACATCAAGGAGTGGCTCAGAATTCTTGCATCTTAATATTTTGAATCTGCAAAATATAGCCCAGCTAGAAAAGCCTTGGAAGTCACTTGGTGATATCACTTTTATTTCTAAAGCAACAATGAACAGTATTACTTGCAATATCAGCATAATTAGCCAACATAATTAAGATGCCCATTAACAAGGAAGACAGCTGGCACGTTTTGCATTCAGATTGACATGATTCCAGCCATAAGCATAATGGATGTTTGTTCAGTAATATGGAGCTATGTTGCAAAATCTGTGAGACGATGCTTATCTGACAGCTATAGGAAGTGCAAAGTCAAGTATAAGAAAAAAAAAATATGTTCCAGACAGTAGCAGATGTTCTTCGATCAAGTATTGCTGTGAAAAACTGTGGTAGAAGAATCAACTGATAAAATAGCAGAGGCTAGTTCAGCGGCTTACATGAAGATGAAGAAGAGGAGGAAGAGGAAAAAGAGGAAGACAAAGGAAGAGAAGAAGGAGGAGGAGGGAGGAGGAAAACAACAAGAACAACAACAACATTGGGAGGCCGAGGCAGGCAGATCTCCTGAGGTCAGGAGTTCAAGACCAGCCTGGCCAACATGGTGAAACCCCATCTCTACTAAAAATACAAAAAATTAGCTGGGTGTGGTGGTGCGCGCCTGTAATCCGAACTGCTCGGGAGGCTGAGGCAGGAGAATTGCTTGAACCTGGGAGGTAGCAGTTGCAGTGAGCCAAGATCATACCATTGCACTCCAGCCTGGGAAACAAGAGTGAAACTCCATCTCACAAAAAAAAGAAAAAACAAAAAACAAAAAAAAACACAACAAAACAAACCCTCTGGGCTGAGCTCAATCTCCCCATCTTTAGTGGGGGGCTGAGGTCGCATTGTCCTGAAGTTGGGGCCCTACATGTAGTTCTAGGCTGTGTGTTGCACAATGGTAGACGCAGGTATGTTTTTCCAGAAGGCAATTTTATGGCTGGGGGACAGATTTGAAGTATTACTATCAAATAAATAAGCCAGGCCGGGTGAGGTGGCTGACGCCTGTAATCCCAGCACTTTGGGAGGCCGAGGTGGGTGGATCACCTGAGGTCAGGAGTTCGAGACCAGCCTGATCAACATGGTGAAACCTCATCTCTACTAATAATACAAAAATCAGCCAGGCGTGGTGGCAGGCACCTGTAGTCCCAGCTACTCAAGAGGCTGAGGTAGGAGAATTGCTTGAACCCGGGAGGAGGAGGTTGCAGTGAGTCGAGATCGCACCACTGCACTCAAGCCTGGGAGACAGAGTGAGACTCCATCTCAAAAAAAGAAAAAAAAAGAGGCTGGGCACAGTGGCTCAAGCTTGTAATCCCAACAATTTGGGAGGCTGAGGCGGGTGGATCATGAGGTCAGGAGTTTGAGACCAGCCTGGCCAACATGGAGAAATCCCATCTCTACCAAAAATACAAAAATTAGCCAGGCGTGGTGGCATGGTCCTGTAATCCCAGCTACTCGGGAGGTTGAGGCAGAAGAATCGCTTGAAACCAGGAAGCGGAGGTTGCAGTGAGCTGGGATCGTGCCACTGCACTCCAGCCTGGGAGACAGAGCAAGACTCCATCTCAAAAAAAGAAAAAAAAGAAATGAGCCAGAAGAAGAAAATAACGAGATAACAAAAAAAGGAAGAAAGCAATTAAGAGTGAAGAATATGACTGGAAGGAGGAAGAGGCACCCTAATCATTAATTAGCCCAGCTGGGTTCTCAGATCCCGGTTGCTCCCTGAAGAGGTGAAAATATTGCCCCAAACCAAACCCTCTCCACCACCACTACCATTTCATGTCATGTGGAATTTTGGCAGACTTCTCAGTGAATAATCAAGAATCTCACAGAACTGGCATTCAAACCCAGCCATTTATGCAGTCTGGCAATTGTCCCCATTTCCTGGTCTCCTCTGCCTTCTCCGTGTCACCCTGTCTTGCAGCTCGGCCCCTTCCTTCAGGAACTTGGTCACACCAATGCTTTTGAGTGCTGTAGATTTTTCTGGAGGTGTCAGGGGGTGTCACAGGGGGAAGAGTCACTTTGGTACATGTTTTTTTTTCTTTCTTTCTTTTTTTTTTTTTTTTTTGAGAGAGAATTTTTCTCTTGTTGCCCAGGCTGGAGTGCAGTGATACAGTCTCGGCTCACCACAATCTCTGTCTCCCAGGTTCAAGCAATTCTCCTGCCTCGGCCTCCTGAGTAAATGAGATTACAGGTGTGCGCCACCATGCCTGGCTAATTTTTGTATTATTAGAAGAGACGGGGTTTCTCCATGTTGGTCAGGCTGGACTCGAACTCCTGACCTCAGGTGATCCACCCATCTCGGCCTCCCAAAGTACTGGGATTACAGGCGTGAGCCACCGTGCCCTGCCCAGCACAAATTTTTTTTTTACCATGCCCAATACTTTGTCATCTTTCTGGGCCTTCTTTTCTTTCTTTCTCTCCCTTATCACTTCCTGTCCTTTTCCTCCAGTATAGATCAAAAACTTCAAATTCTTCTTTATTTCTGGAAAGCAGTCAACCCTGCCCCACTCCACCTACAACGCTGTACATCCAAACTCAGCAAAGTGCTCTGCTCACCTGGGTCTTCCCGATTGCCAGGAGCAGTCTCCTTAGAGGCTGTCTTAGTCTGTTCTGGCATCCAGAACAAAGTTTCCCAGACTGGGTGCTGTAAAAACAACAGGGATCTATTTTTCACAGTTCCGGAAACTGGACATCTAGATCAGAATAACAGCATAGTCAAATTCTGGTGAGGACCTTTTCTGGGTTGGGACTGCCAGCTTCTCCATGTGTCCTCACATGCACAAAGAAGGCTGGAGAGCTTTTTGAAGTCTCTTTTATAAGGGCACCAAGGCCAGGCGCAGTGGCTCATGCCTGTAATCCCAGCACTTTGGGAGGCTGAGACAGGGGGATGATGAGGTCAGGAGATTGAGACCATCCTGGTTAACATGGTGAAACCCCATCCCTGCTAAAAACACACACACACACACACACACACAAAATTAGCCAGTCATGGTAGCGCACACCTGTAGTTTCAGCTACTTGAGAGGCTGAGGCAGGAGAATCGCTTGAACCCAGGAGTCGGAGGTTGCAGTGAGGTGAGATCACCACTGCACTCCAGCCTGGGCAACACAGTGAGACTCCATCTCAAAAAAAAAATAAAAAAATAAAAAAACAAATAAGGGCACTAACCCCAGCATGAGGTCTCTACCCTCATGATGTAATCACTTCCCAAAGGCCCTGGCTTTTGTTTTTTTGTTTTTGTTTTTTTTTTGACGGAGTCTCGCTCTGTTGCCAGGCTGAAGTGCAGTGGCACGATCTCGGCTCACTGCAACCTCTGCCTCCCGGGTCCAAGTGATTCTCCTCCCTCAGCCTCCTGAGTAGCTGGGATTACAGGCATGTGCCAACACACCCAGTGATTTTTTGTATTTTTAGTAGAGACGGGGTTTCACCATGTTGGCCAGGATGCTCTTGATCTCTTGACCTTGTGATCTGCCTGCCTCGGCCTCCCAAAGTGCTGGGGTTACAGGCGTGAGCCACTGTGCGCAGGCCTGGCTTTGGTTTTGCCTCTGCTATCCCTGATTCCCTGTAACTGGGACCACTAGCACCCTGTACTACAGAATTGGTTCTGCTCCCATTCTGAGTTTGTGGGAGTCAAGGAACATGTCAACATGCCTGATCACATCTCCCTCGTCATATTGACATGCCATTAGAAAGAAGTCACCTCCCCAGGCCTGGGACCTAAGAGTCCTTTGGCAACCACCTGGGTTCTATATCATTTTCCTAGTGTCCCTTTGTGATGGTATCTCTGTCTACCTAATTCCTCAAGCCAGAAAACGGAAGTGGGGGTGGGGAATCACCTTTTCGGTTTCCTTTCCCTTTTTTTTTTTTTTTTTTTTGAGATGGAGTCTCGCTCTGTCGCCCAGGCTGGAGTGCAGTGGCACGATCTCGGCTCACTGCAAGCTCCACCTCCCAGGTTCACACCATTCTCCTGCCTCTGCCTCCCGAGTAGCTGGGACTACAGGTGCCCACCACCACGCCCGGCTAATTTTTTGTATTTTTAGTAGAGACGGGGTTTCACTGTGTTAGCCAGGATGGTCTCGATCTCCTGACCTCGTGATCCGCCTGCCTCGGCCTCCCAAAGTGCTGGTATTATAGGCGTGAGCCACCGCGTCCGGCCCTCGGTTTCCTTTTCTTTAGGATTCTGCCCTCCATAAAAGGAAATACCTGGTCAAGTCTCTCTCTGGGACATATCTCCAACATGCCTGCATTTCTTCATCCTCAGGCACTACCCTGGTTCATCTCTCACCAAGATTACGATTGTCTTTCAGTTGATTTGACTTATAAATGGATCTTCCCATTTATCTCAGCATAACATACAATTCGATCTTTTAAATAAATACAAATCCTATCTCACAATCGCACTACAAGATACATATCCAAAGGAAATAAAATCAGTATGTCAAAGAGATGTCTGCACTTTCGTGTTTATTGCAGCACTATTCATGTAGCCAAGATATGGAATCAACCTATGTTTCATCAACAGAAAGAAAATGTTATATATATATATATATATATATATATATATATATATATATACACACACACAATAAAATAATACTATTCAACCATAAAACTAGTGAAATCTTGTCATTTGGGGCAACATGGATGAACCCGGAGGATGTTAAGTGAAATAAGTCAGGCTCAGAGAGCTAAATACTGCATGCTCTCACGCATATGAGAAATCTAAAAATACTGCTCTCATAGAAGCATAAAATAGAGAGTGGTTACTAGAGGCTGGGGAGGGTGGGGAAGATGGGGGATGGAGAGAGACTCATCAGTGGGTACAAGGTGACAGACAGGAGGAAAAAGTTCTGGTGTTCCATAGCACATTAGGGTGACTGGTTAACAATATTATATTGCATATTTTAAAATAGCTAGAAGAGAAGATTCTGAGTGTTCTCACCATGAAGATATCATAAATGTATGAGGTGATAAATATGCCAAATACAGATTGAGCATTTCTAATCCAAAAATTTGAAATCTAGGCCAGGTGTGGTGGCTCATGCCTGTAATCCCAGCACTTTGGGAGGTGGAGGCAAGCAGATTGCTTGAGCCCAGGAGTACAAGATCAGCCCGGGCATCATAACAAAACCTTGTCTCTACAAAATATAAAAAATTAGCTGGGCATGGTGGCACGTGCCTATGGTCCCAGCTACTTGGAAAGCTGAGGTGGGAGGATCACTTGAGCCCAGGAGGTTGAGACTGCAGTGAGCCATGACTGTGCCACTGCACTACAACCTGGGCAACAGAGCAAGATTCTGACTCAAGAAATAAAATAAAATAAAATAAAATAAAATAAAAAATCTAAGTGTGAAATACTTCAAAATCCAAAACGTTTTGAGTGCTGACATGATACCACAAGTGAAAAATTCCACACATAAGTGTTCAACACAAACTTTGTTTCATACACAAAATTAATAAAAATATTGTATTTCATTATCTTCAGGTTATGTGTATAAGGTGTTTATAAAACATAAATGAAGTTTGTGTTTAGACTTGTTAGACTTGGATTCCACCCCCAAGATATCTCATTATGTAAATTAAAATGTTCCAAAATTAAAAAACAAAATTGAAATCAGAAACACTTCTGGTTCTAAGCATTTTGGATAAGGGATACTCAACCTGTAGCCAGATTTAATCATTACACAATAGATATACTAAAACATCACACTGTACCCCATGAGTATGTACAATTATTAAGTGTCCATTTAAAATAAATAAATTAAATGCAAATCTGATCATGTTAATCTTCTGATTTCCCCTTCTATGTTTTCCTATTGATTTTAGGAAGTGTGACTTCGTATTTGATGCTCCTTTTGGCGCCAGACCTCTTCCTAAGCTATAGGAATATGGCTTGACAATTTCACTTCCTTCAGACCTTTGCTCAGCTATCCCCTGACCACCCTGTATAAAGCTGCAGTACACATACTCTTTGCCTCCTTATTCTCCTTGCTATTCCTCTACAGCATTCATCACCATCTGGTTCAATCCCTTCCTACCAGGGTAAGCTCCATGAACTAGGGAACTTGTATGTTCTGTTCATTGCTCTAGTCTCAGTACCTGGAACAACACATGTCACATGATAGGCACACAACAAATATTTAATGAATATTGAATTAAATCAGGTTTTGTTAGTAAGTGGTGGACTCAGGATTTAGATTCAAGCAATCTGACCCCAGAAATCTTAATATTTATAAGTAATGAACTTCCATGTACCAGGCAATATGGTACAATGAACTTCAAGTGAAAACACAAAATACATTATGGAATCACACTCATGGTGGAAGCTAGTAACAGGTCACAAGTAATCCACACGAGACCATGTAGACACACATGAGGCAAGTAGTAACTTGTAAAGTCATTATGTAGCATTTATAGATGACAATTTTATACACCACCAAAAGAAAACACAATTCAGTCAAAACCCAGGCAATATTTTTGCAAATCACCAGATAACGTCATGTGGTGAGTGCTTTAAGGAGCAAAACGAAACAATGAGGTTTTGGGGAGAAGAGACTGGTAAAACCCTAGCAAGCAAATGTTCAACCATAGCAAAACAAAGGGGAATGTGGTTGTTTGCATGTCCCATAGACAGAGGCAGAGGGTGGGGATCCACAGGGTGCCCCAACATCCCACTGGTGAAAAGAAAGAGAAAAGGGCAGGGCTCTACCCTTCTTCAGTCTAACAGGTTGGCCTGGAGCCGGGCCTGAGCAAGTCACCTCAGCAGCCTCCGGAAATAGAAATGCCATGGGAGGAATCCTGCCCAGTCTCCACCTCAATGTAGTGGCTCCTCACCCCTAAGATGCAAGGTGCAGGCACTTCCACAGCAGAAGAATCCATTAAAGAGGCTGGGTTTGAGAAAATGAACACAAATCAGTGGCTACAAAATATAACAAGGCTTGATTTATAAAAACAGCCTAAATGTCAGTGTAACAAGGAAAAGGAAGGTCGCTGGTGGGAGAAAGGAAGGATCCCCCTCAGTGGGAAGGTGCCACAAAGCCCAAAGATTCCAATGGAATCATCTAGAACCTTTGAGGAACCCCAGCCTCCTGCCTAGGATGGCCCAGGGAGAAGGGAGGGGATCAGGATTGAGGAGGACAGCATTGAGGGATTCTCCGTTATTTTTTTGTGTTTTTTTTGTTTTGTTTTGTTTTGTCTGAGTACTCCTAATTTTTCTACATAATTTATAACAAGAAAATTTTCAACTATTTATTTTTAAGGACAAAAAACATGTAGGGAATAAAGGAAAATTGATAAATAAACCCCAAAGCTGGTTATCTGAGAGTTGGTCAAAGATATTTTGGCAAAGCTCATTGAGAAATATCACACATGAAAATCAGAAATTAGGCTGGGTGCAGAGGCTCATGCCTATAATCCCAGCACTTTGGGAGGCCGAGGCAGGCAGATCACCTGAGGTCAGAAGTTCAAGACCACCCTGGCCAACATGGCGAAACCCTGTCTCTACTAAAAATACAAAAATTAGCCGGGCATGATGGTGGGCACCTGTAACCCCAGCTACTCAGAAGGGTGAGGCAGGAGAATTGCTTGAACCTGGGAGGCGGAGGTTGCAGTGAGTTGAGATTGCTCCATTGCACTCCAGCCTGGGCGACAGAGCGAGTCTCGGTCACGAAAAGAAAAAAAAGAAAGAAAAAGAAAATCAGAAATTAAAAAGATAAGGATACTAAACTACATGAGACCAGGCATGACAATACACCCACAAACTATAAACTATCAATAAGAAGATATTTTTTCTTGCCCATGTATTAAATAAAAATTGTTGTTGCAAGTAAAAACTTGGATACATTTATAACAATGTAAAAAATTACAAAACAAAAATCAAACCATAAAATATAAAACTTAAGCATTACTTTCTTCTCAAATCCCTGACCCGGGGAGAAGGGAGGAGATCAGGATTAAGGAGGAGAGCATTGAGGGAGTCTGCAGGTTTTTTTGTCTGAGTACTCCTAATTTTTCTACATAATTTATAACCAGAAAATTTTCAACTATTTATTTTTAAAGACAAAAAACATATAGGGAATAAAGGAGAATTGATAAATAAACCCCAAAGCTGGCTATCTGAGAGTTGGTCAGAGATATCTTGGTAAAGCTCATTGAGAAAAATTATACATGAAAATCAGAAATTAGGCTGCGTGCATGATCCCAGCACATTGGGAGGCCGAGGCAGGCAGATCACCTGAGGTCAGGAGTTCAAGACCACCCTGGCCAACATGGCGAAATCCTGTCTCTACTAAAACTACAAAAATTAGCCTGGAGAAGGGAGGGGATCAGAAAAATGCCACAAGTCATTTTTGCTATGAAGTCTCCGAACTCTAGCTAGGTTTAATGGTGCAACATCTGCATATTTGTATTTGTCTGTTTTCTTGCTGCTGATAAAGACATACCTGAGACTGGGCAATTTACAAAAGAAAGAGGTTTAATTGGACTTATAGTTCCGCATGGCTGGGGAGGCCTCACAATCATGGCAGAAGATTTCACTGGGAAATTCATTAAAGCTTTCGAGGAAAAGAGACTTTCCATATTTTATAAACTCTTCCAGATAACAAAGAAAATTATAATATCATTTTTAATGTAAATAATCTATTTTTTTAATATCAGCAACTTTGGCAAAGACAGCATGTTATTAATAAAATTGCAGACATCCTAAATAAAACACTTGAAAATAAATTCATAGATATGTTACAATATTTCAGTATGTCATTGAAGGCTTATTCCAAGAAGACAGAGTAATATTAATATAATGGTAGGAAATCTATTAATGCATACTTTAAAATACAAAATAAAAAAAAATAGATGCTGAAGAAGTATTTAATAAAGCTTAACTATCATTGTTATTTTTAAAAACCCTCTTAACTAGATATTATAGGATGACATCTTATACCAACGAGACAATATTATACTTTAAGAGAGAAAAGTTGAAAGCGGCTGGGCATGGTGGCTCTTGCCTGTAATCCCAGCACTTTAGGAGGCTGAGGCGGGTGGATCACCTAAGGTCGGGAGTTCGAGACCAGCCTGACCAACATGTAGAAACCCCGTCTCTACTAAAAATACAAAATTAGCTGGGTGTGGTGGTGTGTACCTGTAATCCCAGCTACTTGGGAGGCTGAGGCAGGAGAATTGCTTGAACCCAGGAGGCAGAGGTTGCAGTGAGCCAAGGTCACACCATTGCACTCCAGCCTGGGCAACAAGAGTGAAACTCCATCTCAAAAAGAAAGAAAGAAAAGAAAAGTTGAAAGCATTTCCAATAAATTCCGAAATACCTGCCATTTCCTATTGTCTAATGTAGCTCTAAAAGTTCGGGGCAATGAAATAAGTCCAGAAACAGCAATACAAGGTATAACTTTTTAAGTCAAGAAGACAAAATGATCTATATTTGCCTGTGATATGATATTTAATTTGTGACTCTAGGAAACTTTAATTACAAATTAAAAACTATTAAGACTAATAGAAGAACCCATTAAAAAGAGACGAGGTTTAAGTTAATGAACACAAATCAATGGTTATAAAACAGCCTAAATCGAGTTCCTCAAGGCAGGTGGCTGATCAACATGGACTAGAAAGGGCTCCTTGCTGGGCCTTCACAAAGGAGAGTGATGGTCAGAGGCTGGAAGACTGATGTTGCTGCTTCACAGTAGATATGGGCCAAGACATTATAAACTGTCATATTCTGAAAGTGTTGTGTGTTCCGAAGCCTTCTCTCTGTTGATGATTACTGTTACCCTCTGTTGGTGTCTCCATAGAGATTATTGCTTAAAAAAAAATAAGAAAGCCGACCTGCGGGTTAGTCTTAAGAAGGTGTGTCACTTGCTTCCTAGAGTCCCAGCCCCAGAGGAGTGGTTGGTGCAGCGCCATCTGGACCATGCAGCCACCACAGCGAGTTGGGGGTGACAATTTGAGTCTAAGGGAGTGATCCTGGGAGCTCAGCAGGAGAAAAGCCCAGGAGTTGTTCCTGGATATATTGCTTGCAAATCTCCAGGCAAGCTCAGCTGTTTCAGCGGATGAGTGTTTCCTGACGTGTGGGCACCTGCTGCTGGTTCTGTCCCCTTTCTCCAGTGTCCTTTAGAGTGTGCCTGGGGATAGAAGCAGTGTTATTTCTCCCTTGGCTTCAAGCAGGAAAAATATTCTCATACAGTGTTGTCTGAAAGAGTGATTTTCAAAATTGTGGGTCATGACTCGATAGAGGATAGAGAATCTGTGTAGTGGATTTTGAGAAACTTTTTAAAAAATACAACTAATGGAAGAGAAGATAAAATGCCGAAGGACTTCACACGCAGTAAGGGCATGCGCTGTTTTGTGGCATTTCGGTTTCCTGGTTTGGGAAGAAGAAGCAGATGGTCTACACCACTGGAAGGCACAACTCCATAGACAAGGGGTTCCTGGACAAAAAGTTGATAGTAGCACCAGAAAGGTAGAAGCAGAAAGCAAACACATCCCACACACCTGGAGGCACCGAGGCAAGAGCTGTTCAGGTCATGGCCTTGGTGTAATCCTTGCCTTCTCTTTTCTCTCATGCTCTACATGTAAACCATATACAAAATTTGTCAGCTTGACCTGCACTCTATATCCAGATTCCAATCACTTCTCACCATTTACTCTGCAAAGTGGCAGCTGGAATATTTATATGGTTTGGCTGTGTCCCCACCCAAATCTCATCTTGACTGTAACTCCCACAATTCCCATAAGGGGAGGTGATCGAACTATGGGGGTGGGGGGCGGTCTTTCCTGAGCTGTTCTCATGATGGTGAATGAGTCTCATGAGATCTGATGGTTTTAAAAATGGGAGTTTCCCTGCACAAATTCTCTTTCTTTGCCTGCTGCCATCCACGTAAGACGTGACTTGCTTTTCCTTGCCTTCCGCCATGATTGTGAGGCCTCCCCACCCATGTGGAACTATAAGTCCAATTAAACCTCTTTCTTTTGTAAATTGCTCACTCTCAGGTATATCTTTATCAGCAGCATGAAAACAGACTAATACAAATATGCAGATGTTGCACCATTAAACCTAGCTAGAGTTTGGAGACTTCATAGCAAGGACGACTTGTGGCATTTTTCTGGTTATTTGCCATTAAATTGTGAGCCAGTGAACTGAAAGGCAGCACACTTAAAAGAGTCATTTTATCCACTGTTCTCTTTCATTTAACTGACGATCTCCTCTTTCTCCCTGTGATGCTGTAAACCCCATGTCTTTTGTGAAACTGGCTCTGTAATCAGACCATGGCCCATCCAGCCTTGAAGCTCTCTCCTGCTTACAGATGGGGTTTTGACATTATGCCTTTGGGTTTTGTGGCACAGAGATTTCCACTTCTTCCTCATGAGCCCAAGCAAGCGTGAGCTGTCTCAGCTACTTGGAGATTGACGTCAATCTTTCCGCATGAGCCAGGGGAAGCTGCCTCATTTGTTTGCCCTGTGGCTTCTCTACTTTTCAAAAAAGGGAAATCAGTTCTTCTCTGAGTCATGTTATATTTTTTGTGACCGATAGTAAACCTCTGAGAAATATCTCTAGACGTTACACAGTTCAAATCAGTCACTTATAAAATTAAGCATTATGCTCTCTCTCCTTCTGAAAAGTCCAGACAAAGAGCATCAGATTTCAGAGAAGAATCTGCTCTTCAGAACAAGGGCTAACCTTGCATGTGCAGTTGTCAGGTAAAGATAGATCAGCCCTACTCACATGGCTGTAACCATCCACAATTTGGTTTCTCTGTGCAAGTTCCTCTGGTTAAGAAGCCTGGGATACCCAGGGAGATGCTGGGTGATGGGCTTGCACACAGTATCGTTGGCGGCTTCCTAAGATGTCAGGCTGAGCATATCCATGTTTCGATTTTGGTGTCAGCCATCAGTTGCTTTTAGGCTTACAGCAATTCTCTATTTTATGAACTCAAACAAAATTACAGAAGGAAAGCTGTCAATTACTTTTCTTTACTTTCTGAATTAGAGTGTCCATCCCTAGTCCTCCACCAGACACCACTGTAGGCAAACAAAGCATCTTACAAATGATGCATCATCAAGATGCACAGGGAATTTTTTTTTTTTAAGAACTACAGGAAAAAAATCAGTCACATGTTTAGCATTTTCCCTGGAACAAATTTATTTTGCTGTTACAGTGGTCGGTGGCCTGCGGTGTCTGTCCTTGGTATTTGGACAAGGAGATGCCTGCTCAGTGACTAAGCTGGGGTTCTCCACATCAGCAAGGCCCTCACTCAGGATTGGCCATGGATATGGACCGACCCCACTGCACCTTTAGAGTCCAACAGCTTTCCTTCGCAAGATGGCCCACTGGAGGTGAAGGTGGATTCTGTTGCCCTGGATCCCAGGAAGTTAACTTGTTCCTATGTGAGTCAAACCTTGGGTCTGATCTCAATTGTTTCCAACCATAAGCAATTGGTCTAGTGTTCGATGCAGGGCATGCTCAGAGCTGTCTGGTTATTTGTCCACACCTTGCTTGGCACATGTGTTATTTTGGAGAAAACTTCCTTTCTGCCTGAGAAGCAGGCAATGAAAGGGAGCCTCCACTGGTAGACAAGACTCTCATTCTCAGGCTTTGCTAACCTCCAAGGCAGAGTTTGTGCCTTGTTTCTCTGAACCCGAATGGCACCTATTGAGTTCCTTTTTTATAGCACCCGTTAAGTTCCTCTCAAGTTCTCTAACTCTAACCCTAACTCTAGTAGCATATATCACTTACCTTATTGTAACTGTTGCTTCCTCATTACATTGTAAGTTACTTGCAGGTGGATATTTAGTGTTAATTCATGTTGGTATCCCCAAGCTTAACATAGTAGCCACTTGTATCAGTTACCTCTTGCTGTGTAACAAATTATCCCAAACTCAGTACCTTAAGACAATGAGCACTTATTATTGTGGCTTATGTGTCAGTGGATCAGCTGAGGGTTGGCTGCTGAGCTGTACTGAACTTGACTGACCTCAGCTGGGTTCATTCGTGCATTTGGGGGATCATCTGGGGTCACTGCTCTAGCCTGGGCTTGGCTGGTAGAATTTAGCTGAGGCAGCTCTGCCCCACACAGCTCTCATCCTCCTCACAGGACCAGTGACCTAGTCTGGGCATGTCCTTCTCATGGCCATGGCAGAAGATCAAAACAGAAAAAAAAAAAAAAAAAAAAAAAAAAAAAAAAGCATTAAGGTCTCTCGAGACCTAGGTTCAAAACTAGTAGTGCTCGGTCACTGTTATCTCATTCTATTAGACGAAGCAAGTCTCACGATCAAGGCCACCCCCAAGGTGGGAAAACAGACTCTGCCTCTTTGGGGTAGCAGGTACTGTATAGTCCACATGGCAATGGATGAGCCCATTAACTTAATTGGGCACACTCCTTGACTCATACCATTAGCAAGTTCAGGCTCAGCTTGGCGCCAGTTCTTTTCTCAGTCAGAGGGGATTCAGCTGGGTGCAACGACTCACACCTGTAATGCCAGCTACTCAGAAGGCTGAGGTGGGAGGATCACTTAAGGCCAGGAGTTCAAGACCAGCCTGGGCAATGTAGTGAGACCCTGTCTCTAAAAAAGAAGGGGAGGGATTAAAGGATTCCTTCTTTGGTGCAAACCCAGCATTGATCCAAGCTTGCTTCGTGGAAGCCGTCTAGTTAATATCTGGCACCCAGCCTAGGAGGTGATTTGAAATGGGTAGGAGGGGCTCATAATATCCGGGGATGAGACTCCTGTCCTGAAACCACTCCTGCAAGCTAGGACTTGCTGAGTCCTGAGAAATAGCACTGCTGCTCCCTGCCTGGAACTTTACACATGCCCTGCTCTGAGATTCCTCTTTGTTACGCTCCTACCACCATCCAAATCACCTGCCATTCCTTGTTGGACATTTGTTACCAAAGGCTAAGCATGAAGGTCTTGTCTACCAGTGGAAGCCCCTTTCCTTGCCTGCACCTGAGTCTTTTGCCTGCTTTCATGGAAGTGTCAAGTGTGAGGTCTTGAAATTCAGGCTTTGAATGTCCAGTTTTCAGTAGTCTGTTCTGCTGTATGATAAGCAGCCAAACAGAAACAAAACAAGAATAAACTTTGCTTTTTAAAAACTGCTTTCCTAAGTTTCTTTTTGTCATATTAAGAGCCTAATGTGATGAGAGAACTTTCCACTGAGAAGACCAAACAGTAACAGATAATGTAGGTTACTTCCCTGAAATCAACCACCAAGCAAGTAGACGAGTCCTGACCAAAACCTTGGTCACCTGATGACCAGCTTAGATTCTTTTTCCTGTCCTCTGGCTCTTCTCGTGGTTAGTAAAATTCCTAACAGCGACTGACTGAGGCAGGAACATCATAGTAAGGAATGCACCATGTGTTAATGAGTGCATTTAGGAATCCTGCTGGCCCCTATCCTTTTCACATCCACATGTCTGTCCTGACTGCATGAGGCATCAGAGAGATTGTAAAAGGCGGATCACCCATGCCCTTAGAAATTGCCTATGGCAGTGGTTCTCAAAGAGTGTCCCCAGGGCATCCACATCAGCATCACCTGTTTACCTGGCCTCCACCCCACAGCTACCAAATCAGAAATTCTGGGGATAGTGTGCCCAACAGTCTATGTTTTCACAAGCCCTCCAGGGGATACTAAGGAATGTTCAAGTTTGAGAACCACTGATCTAGAGATCTAAACCATCACCAGCCTAGCAGTGATGGCTTTGGTGGTATATGGGGTGTCTGAAACAAAGTTTTCCTTAAATGCACCAAGAAACCCTTCCCATCTCTACCAGTATTGTAGTCAGACACAAGAATGCAGCATGGATTTAAGAAATTTGGAGGGTTTTTGTTGTTGCTTTAATTTGGTGGGCACAGGTTGGAAACTGTGTAGAGGGATATGGAAACACTGCAAGGATTGCCCCTCTGAGTAATGGGACAAGATAATCAAAATCAAAACCCTTTTGTGTTTTGTGACATTCCTAGTATTTCCTAGCTCTCTCTAGTTCTTTCCTAAGTGTAGGTTCTTATCTTGGTCCCTTTTAGCAATTATTCTCAGTTGTATTATTTCTGGCACAGAATATGTCTAATCCCAAAACAGAGCACATCAGTTATGCAATATTTAATGCTAAGTGACACTGGTTCATCCCATGTGTGGCACTGGGGAAGGGAGGGACTCGCCATTGTGTCGAACATGCCTGCTGGGGAGCAGGAATGTGAAGCTGATTCAGCAGAGGCAGGGCAAATACTGTTTACCCTTTCCTTAAAGAATCAGCCTGGGTCGCCTTCCAGGCAGGCCACCATGTGCTTACCTCTATGGTAGGAGTTGTCACCGAGTGTTAACAAGATAATAAGCCTTCTGAATGCCTGTTTAGCTCCCATCTGCCCTGACTCCTTGAGCAGAGGGTTCATGATTCATGCCTTTGTATTCCAGCCCCGAAGGTTTTTTGTTTGTTTTGTTTTTTTTTTTTTTTTACATTTCAGAGGATTACACAATTACATTTTCTTACTTTCTGACCTGCAAATAGATACCTTAAATGGAATTTTAAAAAAATTATCAAATTAGGTATATCCAAAATGCAACAATTACGCATATAACAATTAATTCACAAAGTGCAATTTTACTGGGACATATCCTAAGAATTGAGGAACAGCCAGTCGGGAGAAATCTGACCAAATTTAGCAATCAACTATTTACAAATCCAAAATCAAAACTCTCTAAATTCCCAAACCAGAAGCTTGAAAGTATTTATTAAATCCCCACCAGACAAAAGAGAGTGATGACTAAAACCTATCCAGTCTTTACAGTTTCAATCCCAAATACTGAGCTATTTCCCCAGTCTGTAACTGAATGGCAAGCATCTGTTTGTCAAACGCCTACCCATCTAACCTTTACACCATTATGCACATAGAAAGGCTAAGTGTTCATTAATTAAAAAACAAGTAGTCATTAAATATCCATACTATTGGCAAAACCCCATCTCTACTAAAAGTACAAAAATTATCCGGGCATGGTGGCAGACCCCTGTAATCCCAGCTACTCAGGAGGCTGAGGCAGGAGAATCGCTTGAACCTGGGAGGTGGAGGTTGCAGTGAGCCGAGATCGCGTCACTGCACTCCACTCTGGGCGACAAGAGCAAGACTTCATCTCAAAAAAAAAAAAAAAAAATCCACACTATTCCCCCAGCCCACCAAGCCCTTACTGCAGTCCCAAATATGCAACTTGTGTCACATAGTGACAGATCATATTTCATATATATATATATACACATACACACACACACACATACAGGATTAGGTACAAATGGCAATTAACAATCCCTACAAAAATTCAACTTCAGTTGAGGCTAGGGCTCCTATGCCTTGAGATGGTTTTGGACTTCAAAACTCAAAAATGCTGCTAAAATCTCACTTCTTTAACACAAAATTTGATTATATGTTCAGTTTAAGCTTCTCAGTTTAAAAATGGCTATAAGGTAAGTATTAAAAAGCCAGCCGTTGGCCCGGCACGGTGGCTCACACCTGTAATCTCAGCACTTTGGGAGGCCGAGGCAGGCGGATCATGAGGTCAGGAGATCAAGAACGTCCTGGCTAACACAGTGAAACCCCATCTCTACTAAAAATACAAAAAATTAGCCGGGCGTGGTGGCTGGCCCCTGTAGTCCCAGCTACTCAGGAGGCTGAGGCAGGAGAATGGTGTTAACCTGGGAGGCGGAGCTTGCAGTGAGCCAAGATTGCGCCACTGCACTCCAGCCTGGGCGACAGAGCAAGACTCTGTCAAAAAAAAAAAAAAAAAGCCAGCCATCCAGCCCTGAAGGTTTAACACCATGAGTGACCACACATCAGTGCTCAGTCCATGTTTGCTGAAGGAACAAATGACCCAGAAAAGCTTTTCAGACTCCATACCTGATAGAGGGGAGCTAGGGAGACTTTGAACAGAAAACCACATTAGGGTGCCTGTTACCTGTGTTTGGAGCAGGCATAACCAGTGGGCAATTACTAGAATCAACCTCCTCAGGGAACCCCAGGTCACAACTTGGGAAAACGCAAGATCACTCATCTAAGGAGATGAGATAAAGAAAATCCAAAACAGAAAGATAAATGCAATGCAGGCTTACCACAATATGCAAAGCAACACTTTGTGCCTATGGCTGCTTTTTAATTTTTATTAAACTTTTTTGAGGTCATTGTAGATTCATAAAAAGTTCTAAGAAATACAGTGAGACCCTATGCACCTGTTACTCAGTTCCCCCAATGAAACTCTAGCAACGCTACAGTACAATAGCATGGTCAGGATACTGACGTTGATACAATATCTTTAGATTCTGTGTTCTGGGCACCTCACCTGCCTGTCTGGTTCGGGCCCCAGAGATCACTCTTAAAATAGACATCTGGGAGGCACCCATTACTAGACTAGGTTAATTGGGAGTCGTGAGTTTCAAGCTAGGGAATTTTAGGATTTTTAATAAGGAGATGTTTAGGTGGTTTATTCCCAGGTTACAAGCAGCCGTGCCCATGATGAGGGTGAGGACAGAGCAGTGGTGCCTAGTGATAGGATCTGCTGGAAGAGGGCTTGGAGGCTCTGGGTGCATTCACCTCCACCAGCCAGCCTGGTGCCTGCATGAAGGAGCCAGGGGGGGTGGGGGCCAGATCCCAGCACACACTGGCCCCGCTCAGTCCTGGGGTGCTTGGATGGAATAAGATTTGAAATAGTGAGCGTTAAACTAGACCAGCTGTCTTACTGAGTAGGGATTCAGGGGCTCTGAAATGAGAGGGAAGAGGTGCCAGGGAGGCAAGGGAGGTTTGTTTGTGAGTGGCTTTGTACCAAAGCCATATGACAGTGGGAGGCAGGTCAGTCATGCACAGCCTGGATGAGTCCCTGGAAGGAAAGACTTGGTCCCTGGTGTGTGCACCTCTCCCTAGTGCCACCTCCTCATCACGTGATAGCTGCCTCTGCAAAATGCACAATAATGTACCAGGCCCCCCAAATCACAGGCATTAGAGAAACCAGCCTCTGGGGCGCTTGGTCCCTGCAAGGATTGGCTTCATAGGGACACCCAATTTACTACTCTTGCAAACCTGTGCTAGACTTGCCTAAGGACATGGGTGCTTCCCTGACTTCACTCTTGCCTGTGGTTTGTTGTTTTGTTTTTTGAGATGGAGTCTTGCTGTGTCACCCAGACTGGAATGCGGTGGTACAGTCTCAGCTCATTGCAAACCCTGAGTCCCAGGTTCAGGCAGTTCTCCTGCCTCAGCCTCCCAAGTAGCTGGGCTTACAGGCACCCACCACCACGCCTGGCTAATGTTTGTATTTTTAGTGGAGGTGGGGTTTTGCCACGTGGTCCAAGCTGGTCTTGAACTCCTGACCTCAAGTGATCTGTTTGCCTCAGCCTCCCAAAGTGCTGGGATTACAGGCGTGAGCCGTGGCACCCAGCCCATTCTTGTGTTTATAAAGAAACATTTTGTATAAAACCACCCGCAATTGTTTAAATTTCTCTTTCCAAGTGAAGTAGGATTCAGCTAGAGCACTGAGGATAACTTCTGTCCCCTCTGACCCCTTCCAGCAAGAGGGAGGTTAAAAGCCAGGACCCAAACTGGTGCCACCGGAGCTGTGGACTGCATCCAGACGCTGTGGGAAACCTAGGGGGCAGAGATGTCACCCCCGACAGAAGGCGGCTGTGCAGGAGATGTGCTGAGTTCGTGCCTGGGGAAGGGAGTCTGGCTACCAGCCTGCAGGGCTTCTGAGCCCACGGCGTCTGTGCAGCCACGGGAAGTGGGACTCACTCGGCTTTCAGCACCACAAAGACAATCAAAGAATCTGGCAGGTAAAGAAAAGGTGCTTTTGAGGGAAAAGGAGTGTAAGGAAAGAAAACGAAGGCACATGAGGGGTTTATGATCTAAACCCAAAATATTGTGTCAGCACGGAGGCCCCGGCTGGGCCCTGCTGAGAGCTGGAGCTGTCCTTCCTTGCCAGGCCTCTGTTGCTATGGCTGTTTGGCAATTTTTACTTCTTAAGAACTATAATTACCTGACTTCAAAGGAAAACAGAGGGAGGGTCAAAGAAGAATTGGAAAGAAAATCCACCCGTATGGCTGGCAGGACATTGTGAGCTGGAATTTCTGCCAAGAAGTTGTGTGCAAGTGTATCCATTTGAGTACATGTGTGCCTATGTGAGCACGAGTGTCTTTGTGTTTGAGGGTGTGTGTTTATGTTTATATGAGTGTGTATACGTGTATGTGTATGCATGTGTCTGCAGGTGTGTGACTATGTGTAAGTATGTGCATGCATCTGAGTGTGTCTGCCGGTGTGTGACCATGTGTGTGTAAGTATGTGCATGTACATGTCTATGGGTTTTCCCATGGTGACTGTCTGACTTAGTGCATGTGTACGTGTGAGTGTGTGCATGCATACATCTGAGGGGGTGGGCAGATGGGTGTAGGGGTGTGCCGAATGGAGCAGAAGCAAAGAGAGAACCAGAAGCAGGACCCCTAAGCAGAGGGCTGACGCAGAAGTAGATGTTAAGGCACTATGCTCTCAGGAGGGGGGTTGCCAAAGTCCAAAATCAAAATACCCCCATTTTCTTGCTGTGACATTTGCTGGGAACCAGAGCCTGATGCCAGCATCCGGTGGACAGCTTGGTCCTTTCTCTCCGGCAGAAGTGAGGAGGTGCAGTCCTTTAGCCTAATTGCCTTGACAGCTGGGTCCTGTCCTTCTGCAAGGGACGCAGCCTCCAGACCTTCCCTTTTCTCCGCATCTCCACATCTTGGTGATGTGAGTTTAGCATCTCTGGCCACAGCACATTAAAACTGCTGCACTTCTGCTTTGCTTGCACGGGGCTTTCAGGTTTTAAAGCAGGCACCAGAAACCTTTCAAAGGTTGCCAGGCAAGTTGCCATCTTTGCCTTTCTGTTAGTGTAATGGGGTGTGTGTTGTGTGTGTGTGTGTGTGTGTAGGAGAAGCTGAGAGACAAATGGCACTAACCTTCAAGAGATAGGCAGAGGGACAAAGAAACAACAACCATCCCTCACCTTCATGTTTCTAAAAATCCTCTTGCTGCTGTCTTCACCAGCTTCATATCTAGGTCAAGCGATTTAGGGCCAGGCTACACTGCTTTTAGCCGTAGGAAAGTCAGCATGTCACTCACCTACTGCCACAAAAACACTGTGCAAATATCATGCCAAAGCTGTGTTACTATTTATTTCATTACATTATTTTATTTACTTTCAACAATTGGGCTGACCCAATATCAGTTGCACCCTTACAGAAGACTGGGACCATCTTGGAGACAGGGGTTCAATGATAGCTCCAGCTCTCAGCAGGGCCCAGTCAGGGCCTCCGTGCTGACACAATATTTTGGGTTTAGATCATAAACCCCTCATGTGCCTTGACTTCAGTCGAGGGACATCAAATGCTGGCTTTGGAGACTGAGGGGTCACAGGACAAGGAAACGGCAGCCTCTAGGAGCTGAGGGTGGCCCCTGGCTGACAGTCCTCAGGGAAACAGGGGCCTCAGTCCTGCAGCACAAGGAAGGAAGTTCTGCCAAGAACCTTAATGAGCTTGGAAGTAGATTCTCTCCCAGGGCCGCATGTGTGAGTTGAAGATGGCAGACACCCTGATCTCAGTCTTTTTTTTTTTTTTTTTTTTTTTTGAAACAGAGTCTCACTCCTTGCCCAGGCTGAAGTGCAGTGGCGTGGTCTCAGCTCACTGCAAGCTCAGTGAGGCAAGCTCAGCCTCCCAGGTTCACACCATTCTCCTGCCTCAGCCTCCCGAGTAGCTGGGATTACAGGCACCCGCCACCACACCCGGCTAATTTTTTTGTATTTTTAGTAGATACAAGGTTTCACCATGTTAGCCAGGATGGTCTTTATCTCCTGACCTCGTGATCCACCCACCTCAGCCTCCCAAAGTGCTGGGATTACAGGCGTGAGCCACCTCGCCCGGCCCTGAACTCAGTCTTGTACAACCCTGAGCAGAGAACAGAGCTGAGCCCTACCTGGGCTTCTGACCAACAAATCTGTGAGCTAATATATGGGTTTTGTCTTATGTGGCTGTTTTGGTGGTAATTTGTGACACACCAATACAGTCTGGCTACCTTATTTGAAGGAGAAAGAAAAAAATACAGAGGGAGCAAAATACAAATTAATATCTTACTGAGTTAGCCTGCCACACCAGAATTGATACCTGGTCTCCCACAGTGAATAGAAATTGCTAGCCTAACTTATCATACCTTCACTGGCATTGAGTTTTATAACTTTATTTTAATGGTTGACAAACGAAAATGTCAACTCATCGTTATTTCAATTTGCATTTCTTTGACTTCTAGTGAGAAACACCCCTTTTCCTAGAATTGTTAGTACAGTGGCTGTCAGGAGCAGGCTTTCTTCATTTGTAGCTGGATGGATTTTCTATTTACCTTTTACAGCTAATTTCTGTTTCTACAGAACTTCCTATTCATTAGGTACTTTATAAATATATGCTGATTAAATGTTCGAATTAATAAGTACTGAATGAAGAAATGAGTCTTCAACAACAGGCAGGGGCTTTTGCTGCTGAGAAATTGAGTGTCTTGGTGACAGGACAGGACTTCAGAGTGGCCCAGGGAGTGTCTTGGTGACAGGACAGGACTTCAGAGTGTCCCAGGGAATCCCAGCTCTGTAAAGCAGAGGCCCTCCTGACATTCAACCGTCCTCGGCCATGTCAGCCGGTGAGGTAGGTGGCCAAGCAGTGGCCCTTGAGGAAGAAGCAGTTACAGAGCAGATGAAGAGCTGAGTGTGGAAGGAGCGTTGGAAGTCACGGTGGACAGATGTCTGCAGCCAGTCTGTTTGCTCTGGGCTGAATGGTTGAGAATTAGAGACACAGTGGCTGCTTTAGTCCACTGCTTTATGTCATGAAAGATATAAGATTAGGTCAGAGTTATGATTTGTTGGAAAATACTTTTTTTTTTTTTTTTTTTTTGAGAATCTTGCTCTATTGCCCAGGCTGGAGTGCAATGGTGCCATCTCGGCTCGCTGCAACCTCTGCCTCCCAGGTTCAAGAGATTCTCCTGCTTCAGCCTCCCGAGTAGCTGGGATTACAGGCACCCGCCACCACGCCTAGCTAATTTTTTGTATTTTTAGTAGAGACGGTGTTTCCCCATGTTGGCCAGGATGGTCTCGATCTCCTGACCTCATGATCCACCCGCCTCGACCTCCCAAAGTGCTGGGATTACAGGCGTGAGCCACTGTGCCCGGCCAGAAAATACTTCTTTCTTTTCAACAAGTTCACTTGTTTAGACACTTATTTAAAAAGTAACATATTTGCTATTTAATATACTTCAAACAGTTTAGGAGTGCAGTATATATATTTTTTAAGGCAAAAGAAATCTTTTGACCCCTTAATCTCAATTCCTCCAAAAGTGAGCTTTGATTTATACACATAATATTGAAAGAAAAATGGATCAGCTGGGCACAGTGACTCACGCCTGCAATCCCAGCACTTTGGGAGGCTGAGGCAGGTGGATCACAAGGTCAGGAGATCGATACTATCCTGGCTAACACGGTGAAACCCCGTCTCTACTAAAAAAAAAAATACAAAAAATTAGCTGGGCATGGTGGTGGACGCCTGTAGTCCCAGCTACTCGGGAGGCTGAGGCAGGAGAATGGCGTGAACCTGGGAGGCGGAGCTTGCAGTGAGCCGAGATAGGGCCACTGCACTCCAGCCTGGGTGACAGAGCAAGACTCCGTCTCAAAAAGAAAGAAAGGAAGAAAGAAAGAGAGAGAGAAAGAAAGAAAGAAAGAAAGAAAGAAAGAAAGAAAGAAAGAAAGAAAGAAAGAAAGAAAGAAAGAGAGAGAAAGAGAAAGAAAGAAAGAGAGAGAGAAAGAAAGAAAGAAAAAGAAAAATGGATCAAGCTGTATGTACTGCCTGCGACGTATTTTGTTTTCACATAACAAAATATCTTGGATATATTTTCATAGACACAGGTTTCAGATCAGGAAATCAGGATCCATAGACTCCCAAAGGCCTCCACAGATAAACTTGAGAATCTCATGGACCCTGAAGTTATATGTGCATCTTCAAGGGCTTGCAGGCATTCCGTAAGTATCCAGGCATTCTATCAACCCAAAGATATAAAAACCAAACAGCCCCATACCATTTTCAAGTCTTTTTTTTTTTAAACATTGCTGTGCCTTTTATGAAATTGCCTCTAAATGCTGGATATCCTCAAGCTTAGAATCTCTAACTCTGTAACCTACACAAGCCTTGTTGTTCATCCTGGGAGATTAAGAGTATTTATTAAGTCAAAGCAGAGATAAAAAAATCCCTTTCCTCTCTTCCCTTCCATATGTCTGAGCAGGGGATACTGGGGACTCTTGGGGGATTCATTTTAGATGTGTCTGCCTGTCCTGGTCTTGTTGCTGACTCTCTGCAGATTTGATTGTTTCTGTCTCAGTGTGGGCACCGTTAAACAGGCAATGGGTTAAACATCAAAGCCTGGGTCCTCATCGACCAGGTCAATGAGGACTCTACCCCCTGAGATTTGCACTGCCCCTCACAGGGCAGTGTCTGCATGACTTGGCGGGGGCTGCCCCTCTGTGAACGGCAGCCACGATGTGGACCATCTCTTCCCCACGTGTGGCTGTGCCAGGTTGCAGGGAATGGTGGGGTGAGAGGAGACCTAGCATCTCCTTAGGAAATACTAGTTTGAATAAGTCGTTCAAATTTGAAGTTTGGGTTTTGCTAAACTGCCCTTTGGGGCGACAGAGTGGGATGGTGTGTGAGTGCAGGCATAGGACTGCCAACGCAAGCCATGGGCCCCTATTTGGAAATGAACATGCTTTCTTGCCTTGAATGCCAGTGGCTTGCCTGAGATCCTGGAGTGCATAACAGGGCGCATAAACCAAGGCTCCAAACTCCACAAACTGGAGCAAAGTTGGTGCATCAGTCTGAGTCCTCTGAGAAGCAGAACTCAAGATTGGAATGAGATGCACATGAGATTTATTGGACAAGATGTCAGTGGAGGATAGAGGGGGCAGACAGGAGGAGGCAGAGAGCGCCTTCAGATCTTGAGACAAGTCTGACTCCTTTGGCAGGTGAGAGGGAAGGAAGGAGTGGGTAGAAAGAGCCTTAGACCACAGTCTTGGATGGTCAGGGTTTCCCAGGCAAAGGCTGCTCATCAGAAGAGTCATGCATTGCATGGAATGAACAGTGGACTGTTCAGTAAAAACTGCTCAGTATTGGCTGGGCACGGTGGCTCACGCCTGTAATCCCAGCACTTTGGGAGGCTGCGGTAGGCAGATCACCTAAACTCAAGAGATCAAGACCATCCTGGCCAACATGGCAAAACCCTGTCTCTACTAAAAATACAAAAATTAGCTAGGCATGGTGGCATGTGCCTGCAGTACCAGCCACTCGGGAGGCTGAGGCACAAGAATCGCCTGAACCCGGGAGGCAGAGGTTGCAGTGAGCCGAGATCGTGCCACTGCACTCTAGCCTGGGCGACAGAGTGAGACTCCATCTCAAACAACAACAAAACAAAAACAACATCCCCCAAAAAAAAACCTGCTCAGTATCTAACACATGTTAAAAGAGGCGTCACTAATGAATGCAGAAATGAAAGATTTCTCCATCAAGGATGACGAGCAAGATTTTGAGGGGAAGTATCCACGTTGACTTTATTACACACCAAAATAAAGTGCAGATTGAATAGAACTGAGTTATTTATTTCTTTTTTTTTTTTTGAGACAGAGTCTCGCTCTGTCTTCGAGCTCAGTTATTTTTTAAAATAGAAAAAATTAAGAGAGAATAACTCCTTGGTCTCTGGATGGAGTAAAGATTTTCTGAGCTTAGTAGTGGAAGGCATTAAAAAGAAAAAGATGAATAGATTTGAGTACACACAAAAATTATACATCAAGCATTACAAAATAAATGAAAGGCAAATTATGGGCTTATAAAAACCTCACTCTTCCCTCAATAAAATTGAGAAAGGACTTAGAGTGTTAGCAAATAAATCATTCATATGAATCAATGAGAAAACCTAGAATATTCCATTAAGTAAAGTGGCAAATAAAAAGTTTAGGAAACTCAGAAAGATGAAATATAAACACGTTATAAAGAAATGACAATTGGGCGGGCGTGGTGGCTCACACCTATAATCCTAGCACTTTGAGAGGCTGAGGCGGGCAGATCACCTGAGGTCAGGAGTTCCAGACCAGCCTGGCCAACATGGTGAAACCCCATCTCTACTAAAAATACCAAAAATTAGCCGGGTGTGGTGGTGGACACCTGTAATCCCAGCTACTCAGGAGGCTGAGACAGGAGAATCACTTGAACCCAGGAGGCAGAGGTTGCAGTGAGCCGAGATTGTGCCATTGCACTCCAGCCTGGGCAACAAGAGTGCAACTCTGTCTCAAAAAAAAAAAAAAGGAAATGACAATTTAGTCAACCTTCCTAAGACTCAAAGAAAAACAAAGGTGAAGAAAATATACCAAATTTTGCCTCTTCAACTAGTAATTAATGCTAGCTATTATGAAGATGTGGTAGGAAAGCCATACATTTTCATATCTAATGATTTGGGAAAATAAAATTTTACAATCCATTTGAAAATCCATTTGGCAGCTTGTGTCAAATGCTTAAAACATTTTAATATACTTTAAGTGGAAACAACCACAAAAGTTTAAATTGTATATGTAATCAACGTAGAGTAAATAAAAGTACTGGGAAAAGGGAAGAAAATATTAATATGCCCAAACCTTGCAATATTACACGCTGGATATTTGGTGTTTTCTTTTCCATATTTTTTTTCTAATTTTTAAATTTTTTACAATGACTTTTATTTTCAGCAAAAAAAAAAAAAAAAGATTAATAACACAAAGTGCTAAGTGGATTCCACGCACCACTCCAAAGAAATCACTGTTGCTACATTGTCACAGCATCACAGGCATTAAGATACAATGCTGAAACAAACAAACATATCACTTTGTTCATAATAGAATGACAGCACATTAATCCAATCAATAGATAGTTATTTGGTGATCTCCATGCAATCTCCCACTAAATGGAATTTTCTATATTTTATTCAACAGAAGAGGTCATGTTTAGACTTAAAGGTTAATGAGTAGGGCTTCTTCAGGCAGAAAGGCAAGAGGAGCCCTCCCAACCCAGCCCCCAACTCATCCCCTGGCACAGGAGGACCATGCACCTGGACAGGAAGCCTGGGCCAGCTGTGTGGGCAGAGAAGAAGGTGGATGAATGAGGAGGTACACAGGAAGGTAGGGGATGGATGACTAAGAGCCACAGAGGAGCTCAGAACTGCCCCCTGTGGAAGTCGGGGGCGTGAGTGATAGAAACTCGGGAAGGATTTTGACCCTAAACCTGACATAATTAGCAGTGTCTGTTGAGGAAGGATCAGCAATGCAGAGAATAAACTGAGGGGTGGGGAAAGACTGTACAGAGGGCGACTCCTCTGGAAGATGATGAAATTCTAAACAAGGGCAATTATAGTTGAGACAAAACCAATAATGGATTAGAATTTCAGCTCCCCAGAGGGCTTTCTGGGGGGGCCATTCCTGTTTTCCCCTAAAGAAAATAGTGGGCCAATAGTAGTATATAAATATTTGTTGAATGAATGAATCAGGAAAAAGATACACTATATTTCTTTCTTTCTTTTTTTTTTTAAAGACAGTTTTAGCTCTTGTTGCTCAGGCTGGAGTTCGGTGGTATGATCTCAGCTAACTGCAACCTCTGCCTCTCGGGTTCAAGTGATTCTCCTGCCTCAGCCTCCTGAGTAACTGGGATTACAGGCACCCACCACCATGCCTGGCTAATTTTTTTTGTATTTTTAGTAGAGATGAGGTTTCACCCTGTTGATCAGGCTGATCTTGAACTCCTGATCTCAGGTGATCCACCTGCCTCGGCCTCCCAAAGTGCTGGAATTACAGGCATGATACACTATATTTCTTATAATGTAATGCTGGAAGGGCCTGATGAGTTCCTGAATGTAAAAGGTAGTGATGGAGGATTTCAGAAAGGCCACAAACAATAATTCCTCAAAACAATGACATCTCAATCAGTAAATTCATCCAGTGTTGCCTCATACATTTCTTTAAATATTACTGCATTGCAGTGATTCTGGTTATAACTCTACAGGCCATCAAAATATTTTCAAAGGCCACTGTTTTTCTTGTAAATGTGAACATACGCATTGTATAGAATAAACTCCTTGCTAGGATTAATAAAAAAGCTTTTTTTTTTTCCTGTTTGGTTTTCTTGTAATTTTAGTTTTTTTTTTTTAATACAGAAGTGTTACATTTTTATCCAAACATGACAAAGTATCTCTTTGATATCTGATACTTCCTCAAAACTGAACCATTGTTTCAATGTCAATTTCCTCATGCAAAGTGTTATCACTGGGGGAAACTGGGTGAAGAGTACACAGAATATAATATTTCTTACAACTGCAGGTGAATCTACAAGATCTCAAAATAAAAAGCTATTTTAAAAGCCTGAATGATTCACCTTCCTCACTGATGATCTTTCACACTGTTATGTCAAAAGGAAATCTTGGATTTACATACAGCCCCTGGAGATGGTTCATTGTCTTGTCATTTCTTTTTCATTGAGCCCAGAGGAGAAGATTGTTGCTATGCTGTTGTCATTGCAGCTTTTCTTTTTTTCAGTTGCATTTCCAAAGTAAATATCTCTCTTATTTGCAGCCTCTAAATTGCAAGATTGTCGCCATGGTTATTCTTGCTGCTCCTCTGAGCTTTATCACTTCCTCTCCGGATGCGGTTTGTTCTGCTTGTAGGTTTGCCTTCGCCTCAAAGGAGCGAAAAATGAATCATTTCAGAGTGCTCTGTGCACCAACATAGTGCGATGTTGTCTACCTTTATATGATTCAGTCGAAACGACATGGAAAAGTTCCTGGTTTAATTGATATGGTCCTCTGATTGTTGTTGACAACTACAGATACACTGTCCTAGCCATGTGGATGGCAAAAGCAGCCCCATATATGTCATCTGGGGTGGCGTTCAGGTGGTGAAGATGGGAATTGGTTGTGCAGACAAAAGTTTTGCCTGAGTCTCTTCCTGTCCTTTGCTCTCCTCTTGTTGATTCTGCGAGGATGTCTCTGGTCTTGAGGCATCCTGTGGCTCATATGGTCACCTGTGGCCCTCCAGACTTTATCACCACCAGGCTCATTCCAGAGGCCAAAATGCCAGTGGTTAGAGGGTGTCTGCATCTGACCTGCAGGAGGTGAGATACTCTTGGCTGGGTGTGTCTGGTTGCACGAACACCCTATAGTCCATTGCCCTGTTTATGTGTTTTCTGTCACTGTTGCAGCCACATCCTTCCTGGGAACTGTAGCACAGCCTCCCAGCTGACGCCCCTGAGTGCCCTTTGGCCCTTCTCCAATCCATTCTCCACAGGCAGCTGGAGCAATCACTTTAAAATGCACAATTGATTACATCACACCCTTGCTTACTGCCTTTAGTGACTCCCACATACCTAAAAATAAATCGAACTATGGCACGTGCTCCCCTGTCCCCTCCACCACACATGCCTGCCAGCTAATGGTCCCATCTCTGCAGGACACCCTCCAGCTGTGTGCATCAGGCACATGCAGGCCAGGGCCCCTTCAGAACAACTGTGCAGCAGCCATAGGCGCAGCATGGAGCCCAGGGATTCAGAAATGGGGAGGAGTTGAGCTTGGTGTCCTTGCCAGTGTCCTATGAGTTTAGGAGTGTGATATTATGAGATAAATATTTGGCCTTTGAATCCATTTCCTGACATACACCTCCTAAAATCCTTAGAATCTCCAAAGTGATGTACTTTTGAATGCTGATGAGTTGGCTGATGGCTGGCAGCCCCTAGGTAGCTTCAGGGTGAGGCTGGTCATTGGAAAGACCAAGGCAGGATTAGAGGGTTGAGATTTTCAGCCCCACCCTGAACTCCAGGGAGGGGAGAAAAGCTGAAGGTTAAGTTGACCATCAATGGCCAATCCTGCCTATGTCACAAAGCTTCCATGAAAACCCAAAAGGACACAGTTCTAAGAATTTCTAGGTAGCTGAACCCATGGAGGTTCCCGGAGAGAGTCACACTCAGGGAGAGCATGGAAGCTCCGCACCCCTTCCCCTATACCTCGCCTATCCATCTCTTCATCTGTATCCTTTGTAACATCCTTTATGGTAAACCTAAGGGTTTCCCCGAGTTCTGCGAGCCACCCTAGCAAATTAATAAAGAGGGGGTCTTTATCAATTTATAGCTGGTTGTCAGAAGTTCCCGAGGCCTGTACTAGTGAGTGATGTCTGAAGGTCAGGGGTGGTCTTGGGGGACTAAGCCCCCAACCCCTGGGATCTGACGCTGTCTCCAGGTAGAGAGTGTCAGAACTTAACTGGAGGACCCCCAGTTCATGCCGGTGTCCATGTCTGGGCAGTTTGCTCGGTGGTGGGGAGAAATCCCCACACATTTGGTCGTAGAAGCCTTCTGTGTTGATTGTTGTGGCGCGGCGTGAGAACAGAAGAACTGTTGGAGTTTTTTCACCCTCAGAGAGTGTTCTCACTTCTGGCTCCACTTCCTCCCAAGGTGTCTGGGGCACGAGTTCTGCCGGATGGCAGCGTAACTGGCTTTGGTGTTGATTTATGAGTCACCACTGGGGTGAGATGAGGGAGGCAGACTCAAGTACGTGATTACAGGGCACCAAGAGACCACCTGCCCAACAGATCTTCACTCATTGCCTTACCAAACCTGAAATTACCTTAGCAAAAGCAAGTAAATGTGGCCACTCTAGGGCCCCGACCTGGATTCCTAGCCAGACCAGCCACTGGTGCTCTCTATCTGATGCAGCCAGGTTGGTCTCTCTCAACCTCCCCAAACATGCCCATGCCTTCCTGCTCCTCTCTACCTGGGCATGGGCTATGCCCACCTCCAGGAGGTCCACCATGAAGGCGTGAGCCCAGTAATATGGAAATGTCTGTTATCAGGGCCTTTAGGGTATCCTGTGATGGTGGGAAGGGGATGCTAGCACGGGGCCAGGAACAGCAGGAGGTTTGAGGCTGCATTGGAGAAGGACAGAGCTGGGCTCTTGAATCCTAAGGCTTTCATCTCAGGCATGAATCTGGTGACATCAGGACATTCTCCAGAGCCCATTGGTACAGGCAGATTAGGGCAGGTTTGAGAGATTCTAGAATCAGGTAGATAGTACATTTTGGCATGTCTAGATAATTGAGCTTAGAAATCAAGCAATCCAGCCCCTCACTTTACAGTTAAGGAAATGGAGGTTCAGAGAGATTCTGAGCTCTTCCCCATCTTACATCTGGAAGAGGCCAGGCCAGGGCTCAGATCCAGGGCCTTTCATGAAGCAGCCAGGGCCACATGCCTGGATCACAGCTGGAAAGCTATGCCCTAGCAGGGCTGCTGTTTGCAGCTGTTCAGGCCTTGCCTTGCTTTTTATAGACTGAAGTATGAGCAACACTGCCTGGGGGTGAGCAGTGCACACACTGCACCACTGTCCGGGGAGGCTCTGAGTCAGAGTCAAAGCAAAGGCCTGAGAGCTCCCATCAGAGAGGTCCCATCTCTTGGGCTGGGCTGGGTATGTGGTGAAAATGGAGGCAGGAGGGTGACTCGGAACCTGGACAGCAGTGATGGGTCCCCATCCATGGACACTGGAATTTAGGGTGGAAGACTGGCATTTGGAAAGGCAGGTAAGAACAGACCACTGCCCTGGAGGAAATTTGGGTCTGGGTATAAAGGCATAGAGTGGCAAGATGAGGACCACTCCCCAGAGTCGAGGGTTCATTTGGTCATGAGGGGTCATGAGGGAGGCCCTTGTTACTGCGCCTAGAGTTCAAAGTGCTGCTCACTGAGCCCATGAGCACCTGGCCGGGACACAACATCCTTCCTCCTAGGCTGTGGGCCACACCAGAGCCCAGCCAGCTGGTCAAACTGAGTCAGGAGCAGAGTCCAGCAGGCTTTTACAGCAGACAGACCCTGGAACTCAAAGGGCAGGAGCAGGGCATGGACAGGGGCCACAGTCCCTACAAGCAGGCAGATGCCAAGACCTCTCTGGGAGGTGAAGGTTCAGGTAAAGTGAGCCACGCATCACCTGGGGGTTCAACACTGAATAAAGTATTGACAGAAGTTGGTAATCCCTCAGAGTCACAGGAGTTCAGCTTGCAAGCCATTTGTATGTCACTGTTGTATTTGATTTCGCAAGAACCCCGTGATGAGGTGTTGTCACACGCATGTTACCCACGTGAACTTCACAGGTTACAGGAATGGACAAAACGGGAATTTGAACCTAAGTCCTGGCCTTCCTGGGACGCCCATCCTGCACCACCGCGCCCTCTTCTGGTCACAGAGGGAACTTTTGATGTTAGGCTCAGCTGGTCGTGGGCCCTAACGTAGGGAACAGAGAGGTGTAGGCACTTGACTCAGGTGATGGTGGAGAAGGGCGCGGGGGTGGCTGTAATTAGGGCACAGGTGAAACAGGAGCTTCTAGTAGGTAGATCCTGACCGTGGAGAGAGCATCACGTGTCTGAGCCTGTAAGCAACATTTTGCCGCAACAGGGATGGGAGAACAATTCTCCCAGGCAGCTGCCTCTCACACCGCATCTCTATGTGTTCCCCACAGGCCGTTTCTCCTGCTGGGACACTTTTCCTCTTTCTTATAGGTGAACCTTTTAGTGTTCAGATGTCCTTCCCCGCCCGGCAGGCCAAGGAATAAGCCTAGGCCCACAACTCTATCTTCTGTGTTTCTACAGGCCTTATTTCACATGGTGTTAATTGTAAAGTGTTTTATGATTTTTCTTTCTTAAAAAGCAGCATGGGCTGGGCGCAGTGGCTCACGCCTGTAATCCCAGCACTTTGGGAGGCCAAGGCAGGTGGATCACCTGAGGTCAAGAGTTCAAGACCAGTCTGGCCAACATGGCGAAACCCGGTCTCTACTAAAAATACAAAAATTAGCCAGTCTTGGTGGCAGGCGCCTATAATCCCAGCTACTCAGGAGGCTGAGGCAGGAGAATCACTTGAAGCCAGGAGGCAGAGGTTGCAGTGAGCCAAGATGATGCCATTGCACTCCAGCCTGGGTGACAGAGTGAGACTCCATCTCAAAAAAAAAAAAAAAAAAAAAAAAAGACAACAAACAAAGTAGGATGTTCTCTTTGCAGGTAATGTGGAAAATGTTAAAAAAAATACAGAAGCAAAATAAAAATCACTCTCAATCCAGCTCTCAAGATATAAATGATATAAATCCCATTAGCGTTTGCATGCATCTCCTTTCAAATCATAAGTGCACCATTGGATATGTACTTCACTAATCATGCTATATTCGATGTTGTTGAATAGCATTACCTACGGAAGCGTTATGAAATGTTCTATAAGCCCTCTTTTGCATAGCCTCATCACATTTCATTCTGTGGCTGGCCCATAATTTATATAGTCATTCTTCTTTTATTGGCCATTTCTATTGTCTTTAATCTTACTATTATGAACCATGCTATAAGGAAAAGGTGGTTTGTGAATCTTGATTGCTGGGGTGGAGTCCTGGAAGCAAAATCAAGAGGTCAAAGGATCCAAACAGTTTTAAAGCTCACTATGGTCATGGCCCCACTGCCTCCCAGATGAGCAGCAGCGGTTTCCCCATGGACAGGTGTGAACGTACCCATTGTTCCTGTTCTGCCCTGAACAGCAGGGAAGGTGGGAACACCCTCTCACTTTTTTTTCTTTGAGACAGAATCTTGCTCTTGTTGCCCAGGCTGGAGTGCAGTGGCACGATCTCTGCTCACTGCAACCTCCATGTCCTGGATTCAAGTGATTCTCTTGCCTCAGCCTCCTGAGTAGCTGGGATTACAAGCATGCACCACCATACCTGGCTAATTTTTTAAAAAATTATTTTTAGTAGAGATGGGCTTTTGCCATGTTGGCCAGGCTGGTCTGGAACTCCTGACCTCAGAAGATCCAACCACCTCAGCCTCCCAAAGTGCTAGTATTACAGGCGTCAGCCCCTGCACCTGGGCCTTACTTTTGTTTTAATGTGCCCTTATTTAATTGTCAGTCCAGTTGAGTATCTTCTGCAGATGTGGCTGAAGTCTCTAAAGGAACCCAATGAACAGCAGTTACTTTCCCTACCCACAGAACCAGCAATTTCAGAAATAAGGCCGAAGAGGGACAGAAGGGGCTAAAATACTACCTCAAGTCTTGATAAAACAAAGGCAGAGGCTGCAGCCTCCTGTGGTTGCCAGCTGGGCCTGCTAGATGAGTTATGAATTCAGCAACACCCCCTCTCTCCATCCCAGGCTGACTTCGCTGGACTGACAGCTGGACAGAGAGCTGGCTCGGCCTTCCTTGGTGTGGGAACTGCCTGGGAGACTCAGCATAAAGGAGCAGAGGTGGATCGCTCCTGCAGGCATGTGGTTCCCAAAACAGAAAAGGGGACAGGTGAGCTGAGATCCCAGAGTTTACTTTTCTGAAATGGACTGGCCAGAATTATCTACTTCTCTTAGGGGACAGCTAAGGAATGGGCTGCAAAGAGGTGGTAGGTTTGGAAAAATTTACCAATAAGGCTGTTTGGAGAGTGGGGATGAAGCATTTCTCTACTGCTTTAATCAACCAACTGTATGTTTCTTCTATTAGTGTTATTTTGCATACTATCTACTGGTATTGGCATGTAAAAGTGGTTTGTTAAAGGTCTTTTAAAATGTTTCATTTGTCTTTTCCTCTTATATGAAGTTTTTGAATTATGAGAGTTTTCAATTATTTATTTAGCCACATCTACTATTTTTGACATGCCATTCAATCCTGCAAATCAGCCACCACCATCATCGTCTTTATCGTATTTGTGTGAGTTCTCTGTGCCAAGCAACCCGCGAAGAGTAGTTGCACATGTATCTTGTCATTACATCCTCACAGCAGTTCCTGTGAGGAGGGAATGAGTGCCCAAGACGAGGTTTTGTCAGGTGCAGTGAATCACCAATAACACAGATGAGGTCGTGTCAGGGTGGTCTGACTCTGACTGCCACCCCAGTGGCCACGTCACCCTGGAGTCAAGAATTGTGGCTCAGGGCTCACATACCAGGCCCAAGCGTTTGGGAAATAAAAATACTCATTTATTTGGGTTTCTAATTATTATGCCAGGAAATGAGCATGTTATTGCTGGTAATTCTTTGTAAGAATGATAAGGATTCCAATTTAGGAAAGATAAAAAGCTATGCGAGAGGCTGTGACTCATTTTAATGCTCTGTTTTGAGAAATATCAAAAGCTGCCACAGATTTATCCATCTGCCTAGGAACTCAGCTTTTCCCAGAAGCGTTCTCATGCTTGCTACTGTTGGTGGTCTCTTCTCCACATTTTATGGTTTTTTTCAGTTACAAAAGTAAATTGTATTCATTGAAAAAGTTTGAAAACCGTAGTAATATATTTAAAAAATAGTTAATAGCCAGCTACCCCCTTCTCTCATCAACCTATTAAAATAATACTTAATAGTAATTCCTGAAATAATAAATAACTTGAATATTTAATCAATTAATAATAAGTACAACCATTCATACAGCACTTACAAGGTGCTGGGAACATAGCTTAGCTCATTTAATCCTCAAAATACTACACTGAGGTCAGCACTATCCTTATTCTTGTTTCACAAGTGAGAAAACTGAGGCACAGAGAAGTTGAAAGCTGCCTAAGGTTCTGCAATGAATGAGTGCCACTGTCAGAATTCCAACACAAAGGACCAGCTGCAGAGCCCAGGATCTTAACTACTCTGCTAATCCTTGTGGGCAAAAATTATGCATATGTAAATGCTCTTTGCTTAAATACAGATGTGGATGGATGAACGTATGTAGGTCAGCCTACCACCATTTTTCCCTTTTCCTCTTGCTTTTTTTTTTCTTTACAGGAAAATTACTTGTTTTATTTCATAATATATTTGCATGCTTTTCCAGCTATAAACATAGAGAATTAAGTTCATCTTTGACAATAGTTGTCTCATAATTCATGGTCAAATATGCTATATTTAGCCATTTCATTACTCACAGGCATTTAGATTCTTTCCATTTGTTTTCTCTTGAAATCAATGCTGCAATAAACATCCCTATGCACAAAACTGTATATAGTTTGCTTTTTCAATCAATAGAATGATTGCTAATATTGAGATTTCATATTTAAATTTTTTTTTTTTAGATGGAATCTTGCTCTGTCATTCAGGCTGGAGTGCAGTGGCATTATCTCGGCTCACTGCAACCTCCACCTCCAGGTTCAAGTAATTCTCATTCCTCAGCCTCCTGAGTAGCTGGGACTACAGGCATGCACCACCACACCTGGCTAATTTTTGTATTTTTAGTACAGACGGAGTTTCACCATGTTGGCTAGGCTGATCTCAACTTGAACTCCTGACCTCGTGATTTGCCCGCCTCGGCCTCCCAAAGTGCTGGGATTACAGGCATGAGCCACCGTGCTCAGCCTGACCTCATCACCTCTTAAAGGTCCCACCTCTCAACACTGTTGCTTTGGAGATTAAGTTGCCAACACACGAACTTTGGGGGACACATTCAAACAGCAGCAGTGATGGAAGGTGGTCATGGGATTGTCTTTATGGGGGAATGAGCCTGTAATACACAGACTTTCACTCAGAGGCAGAGGCAAAGCTTTCCTCACTAAATGGATATTAGAGGGCAGGGAAGACAAGAATTCAGATGTGCTGTGATTTCGGCGCCTGTGTGTGCTCATTTAAAATAATGCTCCTAAGGACTAAAGTCAATAGCTTATTACTGAGCTCAAACTCCAGGCAGAAAATATTAAGAAGATAATTCTATTCTCAGTAGCGACAGAAGAATAGTTAGAAATAAGATAAATAAGAAATGAACATGACTTACATGAAGAAAACTATGTATAAACTCTGCTGATGGATATTAAAAGAGAAACAATTAAAGTAGATATAGATTTGGAAACTAATGTGGTAAAAAAATGTCAGGCCAGGCGTGGTGGCTCATGCCTGTAATCCCAGCACTTTGGGAGGCCGAGGCAGGTAGATCATCTGAGGTCAGGAGTTTGAGGCCAGCCTGGCCAACATTATGAAACCCTGTCTCTACCAAAAATACAAAACATTAGCCAGGTGTGGTGGCGGGCGCCTGAAATCCCAGCTGCTTGGAAAGCTGAGGCAGGAGAATTATTTGGGAGGCAGAGGTTGCAGTGAGCCAAGATCGCGCCACTACACTCCAGCTTGGGCAACGAGAGAGAAACTCTGTATCAAAAAAAAAAAATTAATAACAGTTACGCTCATCTGCATATTAGATATAATCCAATCAGTATCCCAATGGGATTTTTTAAAACTTGACCAAATAATTCTAGGTTTTATTTGTAAGAAAAATACTTGTAGAGGCCGGGCGAGGTGGCTTACGTCTGTAATCCCAGCACTTTGGGAGGCTGAGGTGGGTGGATCACCTGAGGTTGGGAGTTCGAGACCAGCCTGACCAACATGGAGAAACTCTACCTCTACTAAAAATACAAAATTAGCCAGGCGTGGTGGTGCAAGCCTGTAATCCCAGCTACTTGGGAGGCTAAGGCAGGAGAATCGCTTGAACCCAGGAGGTGGAGGTTGCAGTGAGCCGAGATTGTGCCACTGCACTATAGCCTGGGAAACAAGAGCAAAACTCTCTCTCAAAAAGAAAAAAAAAAAAGAAAAAGGAAAATACTTGTAGAATAATCCAGACATTTCTGAAAAAGAAATTATACAAGGTATATTTTTTACAAGGTAAAAAGGTTTAATGAACCTTGTAATATTACAAGGTAAAGAGGTTTAATTAATTCACAGTTGCACATCGCTGAGGAGGCCTCACAATCATGGTGGAAGGAGAAGGAAGAACAAGGCAAGTCTTACACAGCAGCAGGCAAGACAGCTTCTGCAGGGGAACTCCCATTTATAAAACCATCAGATCTCACGAGACTTATTCACTACCGCGAGAGCAATATGGGGGAAACCACTCCCATGATTCAATTATCTCCATCTGGCCCCACCCTTGACACGTGGGGATCATTACAATTCAAGGTGAGATTTGGGTGGGGACACAGCCAAATCCTATCAGTGTGTGTGTTTCTTATTAAACATTAATGTTAATTATAAAGCTAAAAATCATGCATTCAATCCATAAAGTACACTGAATGTCTTCTGTGTGGGAGATGCTGTTCTAGGTCTAAGTAACTTGCAGGCAGAAGCAGGAGATACCCATGAGTGGGTCTGCATCCTCCCTTTTTCCCTGCGGTGGGCACCAGGGAGGCCCATGCCTGAGGAGGCAGCTTTAGTTCTGAGAAGCACTGAAATTTGGGGTTATCACCACACCATAATCTAACTTATCTTGACCACTATGTATATCAGTACTAGAAATGGGTGCTACTGTAAACAAAAACCCTGAAGGTCCTGGCATTTGTGTTGGATCAGCAGTGGGCATCAAGGAGACAGAACCTGGAGGCTGCCATCATGGTTGAAGAGGCAGATGGGCACCTAATAAGTTTGTAGTTGTTGTTGGGGAAAGCATGGAAAACAGAACGCTAGAAATGACCTGCATTTGACCATATGTTACAAGAGAGAACAGCTCACGGAGGAACTGGCTAGTCTTCAAACACAAATGCAAGAGAATAGGGAGAACTCAAAAGTTCAAGGTCTTGCTGGGTTGGATCAGCCAGATGCCTCTTCAGCAGAAACACAAAATATGATCAAGAAGAACCTGGAGGAACAGCACCCAGCAAATCCTTCCAGTTGGGTAAAAATCCAGACGAATCTGAAGAAACCCTCAGAGAAGAGAGCCTAAGCGTGTGGGTTTCCCAACAATGTGAATGTAGCCCCTTCACTTAGGAGAGGTAGATACGGGTGTGAGAAAGCCTGAAAGAGAACCCATCCGAGAAGGGTGTGGGAGCAGAACTGCAGATGTGAGGACAGGCTCGCGGAGACCAGTTGGAATCAAATAGATAAGAAGCCTTCAGGCTGGGCGTGGTGGCTAACGCCTGTAATCCCAACACTTGGGGAGGCCGAAGGGGTGGATCACTTGAGGTCAGGAGTTCGAGGCCAGCCTGGCCAACGTGGCGAAACCCTGTCTCTCCTACAAATACAAAAATTACACTGGGCGCTGTGACTCACGCCTGTAATCCCAGCACTTTGGGAGGCTGAGGCGGGCAGATCATGATAGTCAGGAGTTTCAGACCAGCCTGGCCAACATAGTGAAACCCCATCTCTACTAAAAATACAAAAAATTAGCTGGGCATGGTGGCGGGCACCTGTAATCCCAGCTACTTGGGAGGCTGAGGCAGGAGAATCGCTTGACCCTGGGAGGCGGAGGTTGCAGTGAGCCAAGATTGCACTACTGCACTCCAGCCCGGGCGACAGTGCAAGACTCCGTCTCAAAACACATAAACAAACCAAAAAATTAGGCGGGTGTTGTGGCGCATGCCTCTAGTTCCAGCTGCTTAGGAGGCTGAGGTGGGAGAATCACTTGAACCTGGGAGGCAGAGGTTGCAGTGAGCTGCAATCACACCATTGAACTCCAGCCTGGGTGACACAGCAAGACTCTGTCTCAAAAAAAAAAAAAAAAAAAAAAAAAAAGCTTCAGGCTGTGAAGAAAGTTGCGCATTAAGGCAACCACAGGCCCATACTAACAAGGTGCATCTATTCCCAAACCCTTGAACTCCATACTTGCCTCAAGCAGAAAGTGTGCTGGGGACCCCGGAGCCTCCAAGTGGGATCACCTCACTTCAGATGCACGCAAGGAGGATGATGGAAAAGGAAAGGACTCCTGGAGGGCAGAGTCAAGGAACAGTGGGCAAGGCAGCTCCCTCAGAGGGCAGCATCCAAACCTAATCAAGAATCATTCCTGACCCCCAAGAGCTCTGAAGAGTAGGGGGCCTCACATGGTCTGCTTGACCCAGAGTTGGAATTCAGAAATCAGTGATGCCTGTGTCTCCCATGCTTCCCTTTCTAAACGGGAGTGTGTTTTGCTGTTATCCTGTCATCCTTCTCCACCCATTTTGGATGTCTTTGTAGTTCCTAGATCTCCTGGTCAAAAGGTGGTGAAGGCTAAACTTCAGATGTTGTCAACAAGCAGCTTCCTCCTCCGCTGGTATTGCTAAGCTGAGAGAATGCAGAATGGATGCTGGCAGACGTCCTTCTAACCAGGTAGAGAGCACCTACCTGCAAAGTGAAGCCAAGTAGACGTCAGAAATCAGAAAGAAAGAGAGTCCCGATGGTGCTGAGCACTCTAGCCCACCCCCAAGGATCTGGTTGTCACAGTTTTGCTTTCAGCTGTGTGAGGCGGCAGGATTATCCCCAGCATCTGGAGCTAACACTTTTCTGCTTACTTCAATTTTCTTTGTCCCATATTTTTAGCACTTACAGCCAAAGCCCCAACTGAAATAAGGGAAACCAGAATTTAACTGATCTGTTGTCTTGGTCTTACGGTTTATGGGAAGATGAACAGCTTCCACTTGAAATGTGTGCTTAGGAGAAGGTTATCTTGCTTAGCTAGTGATTCATGGCAAAACACCTGGAGGAGCAAGAATCATGTTAACACCCCTCACAGTTCCTATGGATTGGGATTTGGGAAGGGCTCAGCTAGGGGGTTCTGGCTTATCATCACTCGTGGACTGTGGATGGTAGATGGAGAAGGAACAGTGGCAGCTGCCACAGCTGAGGGTGAGCTTGGCGGTTCTCTCTCCCTCTGTGGTCTTCCAACTTCTTCATGAACCTCTCCAAAGGGTACAGTTTGCTCATCCTCACAGTATGGCAGCCTCAGGAAGGTTGAACTATTGACATGATGCCTTCAGCCACTGGACAAAGTCCTGGTGGCTAAAGATCCTAGATCCTCAACTAACCCCTCTGAATCCATTAATATTACTGTCTGGGGAGCACAGGTCTAATTTTAATTATCATTTTAAAATTCAGGCTTTAAATTGTTTTCTTTCCCATATTTCTGATGCTGGTGAGCCCTGAAGAATCAAGGATTATGATCAAGGTAAAAATCTGTCCCATGTGTAGAACAGTCTTGTATTTTGAAGCAGATTCCCGTTATTGGATCCTTCAAACAAGCTAATAAAGGAGGCAAGACCGAACTTTCCATGGACTCCTTCCTGCCAGGTGATTTTTCCAGGACCTCTCACCTGCTTAGCTCAAGAGGTGGAATGAGAGCTCACCTCCAGACTCCAGGCTGGGCGCTCGTGTGGCTAAGAGACTAAACAAACACAAAGGAACGAAGTTTCTGCAGCTGTTGGGTCAGTCCATTTGATCACCAAAAGCAATGCTTGGAGCCCATGATTCTAGGAGCTTACACGCACTTTTATTACCAGCATCCCAGACAGAAAAATTTTGGAAATGAACTAGAAGAGTCAAGAAATGAACAAAAACTGTTGCTGCATTGGTGGGAGGACTCAGTCCCGTGCAGCCCTGCACCAATATGGCAACTGCTTCAAGTTCCTGACCTCTTCCCTGCAGCCTGGGTTCCCTAAACAGGGTGGGGCAGAGACAGCTGGCCCTTCAGGCACAGGAATCCTTAGTGATTCTGGACACACACTTCAGGCCCCAAGGGTTGCTCACCAACCACCTCTTGCTCCCTCTGCATCAGCTGGTCTTGTCCATTAAAGCCAAGTAAGCCAAGATGGGTGTTTTATGCCATTAGGAAAGACTTACTCAGCTTCGGCATCAAGCAACACCAGCCCCAGGCTAGTCTCAAACTCCTGACCTCATGACCCGCCCGCCTCAGCCTCCCAAAGTGCTGGGATTACAAGCATGAGCCACTGTGCCTGGCCTCTACTATCATATTTTGATCAGGATATTAACGATTCTATGTCATGATCCAGAACATTCGGTCACCACAAAGATCCCTCCTGTTGTCTTTTTAGAGCCTCGCCCACTCCTTCCCTCTCCCACCTAATTCCTAACCCCGGGCAAGCACTACTCTGTTTTATTTTTATCATTTCATCACTCTAGGAATGTTGTATAAAGGGAACCATATAGTACAACTTTTTACATGTGGCTTTTCTCACTCAGTATAATTCTCTGGAGATTCGTGCAGGCTTTACAGGTAACTGTGGTTCCTTCTTTTTCATTGCTGAGTAGTATTCCATGATGGAGGCACTGAGTGTGTTTAGCCATTCATGCATTGAAGGACATCAGTTGTTTCCAGCAACTATTACTAATAAAGTTGCTATGAACATTAGCGTACAGGTCTGAGTGTGTGTGTGAACATAAATCTTCATTTCCCTGAGATAAGGGCAAAAGGATTTTCACCTTCAGTGCAGCCGTTGGGGAGAGAGATGTCTTATAGTGCCTGAAAACCAAGAAAAATAACTTCTGAGAAAAAGAAGAAAGAACAGGAAGAACCAAATAACGTGTCAACCTCCTCATGTTGTGATGGTGCAGAAAAAAACCCACAAAAACCATATTGCTGAGTTCATTTGTATTTCACAGTCTACATCTCAGTATTCTCTTCATCTATGCAGACACAAATGGGAATAAAAATAGTTAGAGAAGCAGAAATACAATCTGTGAAACCTCTACTTTAAGATTAATTTTAAGACACAAAACTGAGAACTCTGCAATTACTGTATCACTTATGCTAACAGTAATGACAACAGGGTGGAGATGTCTGGTCATGCCACTATAAGGAGTGCCTCTGGGTATTAATAGGGGGAGTGATTTACATCAGGGACCTGCTATAAAAGCTGACTCATTGACATGGTTTTGATCCGTGTCCCCACCCAAATCTCACGTTCAACTCATGATGGAGGTGGGGTCTGGTGGAAGGTGCTCGAATCATGGGGGTGGATCCTTCCAACATGGTTTAGCGCCATCCCTTTGGTGCTGTTCTCCCGAGAGAGTTTTTCTGAGATCTGGCTGTTTAAAAGTGTGTGGCACCTCCCCCTCCTCTCTCCCTCCTGCTCTGGCCATGTAAGATGGGCCAGCTCCCGCTTTGCCTTCCACCATGATTGTAAGTTTCCTGAGGCCCTCCCAGAAGCCAGGCAGATGTTAGCGTCATGCTTCCTGTATAGCCTGTGGAATTGTGAGCCAATTACACCTCTTTTCTTTATAAATTATCCAGTCTCAGGTATTTCTTTATAGCAGTGTGAGGACAGACTAATATACTCATAGTGTTTATGTAGCAGGTATTAAACTCTCAAAGAAAGGACATCCTTTGAATACAATTTATTTCATTAATTAAAAAAAGAAATTTTAAGAAAATTTTACTTTTCTATTAATTATATAGGACGATGCCTATAAAAAGATAAGCAAAGGGCCTGCCTGCCAATCAAAAGCATAAAAGCTCAATAAAAACTTACATTCAAGGCAATGAGCAGAGATTGGTTCCCTACGGAAAATCAAAATTGTTCTTGTGGAGAAAAAACTTGAGAAACAGCCTCAAAACACAGGAGAAAGGATAAAGAAGTAAAAAGATGATAGATAAGATAATACATGGAAAAATTTTAACAGAAAGCCTAACAATGTTCCCAAAGAGGAAAGAAGACAAATGAAGCAGAAACAGTAATTGAATAGAGAAAAGAATTTTTAAAAAACAGCTTTTCAGATCTAGTAAGACTTGAATGCGAAAAGCAGTATTGCCAATCAAACTCAACAAATTTAACTGAAAGGCAGCAACATCTACACTTATCTGACTACATTTTTAAAAAATCAAATGCTAGAACAGAATTTCATAGGTGTTCACGGGAAAAAACCCAAATGTGTAATGTGTGAATAAATAAAAATCAGATTAACCACAGAATCCTTTGCAATTTCAACCTGAAGAAAATTAACTTCTCTTGAAAAACAAAAGCAATACTATATAACCTTTAATAATTTTTATAAACATGAATTTTCAAAATTCATAATTGCTATTATAAATATAATTTATATTACAAATCCTAAAAGCAGGAGTCTGAAAAGCATTTTTTTTGAGATGGAGTCTTTTTTTTATTATTATTATACTTTAAGTTTTAGGGTACATGTGCACAACGTGCAGGTTTGTTACATATGTATACACGTGCCATGTTGGTGTGCTGCACCCATTAACTCGTCATTTAGCATTAGGTATATCTCCTAATGCTATCCCTCCCCCATACCCCACCCCACAACAGTCCCCGGTGTGTGATGTTCCCCTTCCTGTGTCCATGTGTTCTCATTGTTCAATTCCCACCTATGAGTGAGAACATGAGTTGTTTGGTTTTTTGTCCTTGCGACAGTTTGCTGAGAATGATGGTTTCCAGCTTCATCCATGTCCCTACAAAGGACATGAACTTATCATTTTTTGAGATAGAGTCTTGCACTGTCACCCAGGCTGGTGTGCAATGACGCCATCTCAGCTCACTGCAACCTCCACCTCCCAGGTTCAAGCAACTCCTGCCTCAGCCTCCCGAGTAGCTGGGATTACATACGCCCACCACCAGGCCTGGCTAATTTTTTGTATTTTTAGGAGAGACAGGGTTTCACTATGTTGGTTAGGCTGGTCTCAAACTCCTGACCTCGTGGTCTGCCTGCCTCGGCCTCCCAAAGTGCTGTGATTACAGGCGTGAGCCACCGCACCTGGCCGAAAAGCATTTTTAATGCAAACCTCTCTTGTAATACAATATCATATTGCACTTTCTAAAATAATAACTTGTAAGTGTTTTTAAGATTCCAGACACAGAATCACATTAAAGAAAGAGGAAGCTTTGTTAAAGAATGTTGGATAGGTGATGAGTGTTAATATCAGATAATAAACAGAAAATAATAATTCCTTTAAATTTTTCACATGAATTTAAAATCATACTTAAATCATAATGATAAGGTGTGGTTACAATCTCAGATAAAATTATAGAAGATCGGATGATGTTAGAGTAATAAGTCAAAGCTTTAAAATTCTCATCTTCCATAAAAAAGAAAAATATATTTGGCTGTTATTTCACCATAAACATTTGTAAACACAGCTTCGATTTTTTTTTTGTAAAAGCTATAAATACTGGTAAAACTAAAATAAGATTTTTTAATTCCAAGTTCTTAAAGAAGTAAATAAAAATAAAGCACAGAGTTTACAACAACAACAAAAAACAGAGGAAAAGTGGGGAAGGCAGAATGAGAAAATATATACAAGATTAGAAAAGATCTAGCAAAATACCATGGCAGTAAAAGTGCTTTAATCCTCTTATTGAATTCCATAATTTGTACTCTATTAAAAATCATTAACTAGTTTTCTATAAGAAACCCACTCAAAGAGAAATAGAGAATTAAACTTTTAAAAACCCTGGACCAAAAATGATAATAACAATAATGAGAAAAAGACAGACATTGCAAAATTAATATGCAATTAATGAGACAAAGGGTTTTAGGCAGAAAACATAAACCAGGACACAGAGTCACTTTACAGATAGATTAAAAAGCCATTAATGGCTGAGCTACAACACACAAAATAATCTGTGCACCAAATAACATAGGTGTAAAAATTCAGAAAAATAATTTTTTTTAGTTATACCTGAGTGGGAGACTTTAGTGCTGCTCTAAAGAGCTGTCATCATTCAGTGAAAAATAAAGACCGTATTTGAGCCATAGAGGGAGTGAGGTAAAATAATAGATACATGCTTTCTTACACCTGGTGCTCCATATGGTTTCAAAGTAAATATTCATTTTGTAAGCACTAAACTTTTGCCTGGGAGGTTTGGGCAAAGGGCCATGCAAAAATGAACTCTGATTCTCCTTGGCCTAATCAGTCACACAGTTTCCCTGGCAGGTGCTCTCTCTGGGGTTCATACAGAATTCCCATGGCTTGCTTACCATTCCTCAGGCACTGAGGCAGATAGGATCATGCTGGGACACTCTGATCATGCAGCAGGAGGCGACTGGGATTTGAAAGGACCTTCAGCCACTTCAGAATTTGGTGGCTATTTTTGCAGCAGGTCCAGAGGCTTCCTAAAGCTTCTATGCTAGTGTAATTATCACCAACTTAACTACTTTATATAACCAATCAGTGCCCATAAGGGCCACTGTATGTTTGACCTTGGGGTGAAAATGTGTTTTATTAATTTATGCCTGAACAACTCAGTTGGTCTGGGAGAGTTGGAAATCAATTTTTTTGGGGGTGGGGAGAGTAAAGAAATTGTCTTTTTTTCTTAAAATACACAACATGACATATGAATACATTCTTATAGAAAAAGATTCAAGGATACATAAATACACTGAGCAAGACTCACCTTTCGTTTCTCTGCCTAATCCTATTCATCATCTTATACTTATCCACTGCCAATGTCATGACTTAACACCTTTTCAAGGTCTTTTCTAGACATATACACACACTTAAAAAAAAACTTCATTTTTAGATAATTGTAGGTTTACATGCAGTTGTAAGAAACAAATAGAGAGACCCCAGTTGTTACCCAAATGGTAACATGTTGCCTTTTTTTTTTTTTTTTTTTTTTTTTTTGAGACAGAGTCTCACTTTGTCACCCGGGCTGGAGTGCAACGTCGCAATCTCGGCTCACTCCAACCTCCACCTCCCAGGCTCAAGGGATTATCCTGCCTCAGCCTCCGGAGTAGCTGGGATTACAGGCACCCACCACCATGTCTGGCTAATTTTTTTTTGTATTTTTAGTAGAGACGGGGTTTCAACGTGTTGGTCAAGCTGTCTCGAACTCCTGACTTCAGGTGATCCACCTGCCTTAGCCTCTCAAAATGCTGGGATTACAGGTGTGAGCCACCACGTCTGGCATCTTGCATAATTTTAATACAGCATAACAACCATGAAATTGACAATGACAATGATGGGGCTCAGGGCATATCTCCCCAAAACATGCCTCTTTGGCATAAGGATTATTTTGTGCTGATTATTTTGGGAAAAGGCAGGCACAGGAAAAGCTTTGAAAGCAGAGTTCCTTTTGTAAGGAAATTGATGTCTATAAAGGAAATCTCTATTTGTAAGGGCGTCTCCCTCTGTGCACCAGGAAGAGGAGGATGACTAAATCACTAGAGACTCTAATCAATGGAGAAGACTTAAATTTGATAACAAACCTTACCCTGGGTTTATGGTGCTCTTCCTGGCCATCTCACCTTAACCAGAACTTTGCCCACATCCTCCTATGTTTCAGCGAGTAATGGCATTTAAGCCTGAAGACAACTCTTTGAGATCTACTCTAATTTACTCATCTCTCTGGGTATCTCTTACATATACAGGAGGTATTTGTGTTATTAAACTTGTAACCACCCAGTGGGTTCACCTTGCCTGCTGCCTAGACAGAGTTGATTTATCAAGACAGGGGAATTGCAATAGAGAAAGAGTAATTCACGCAGAGGCGGCTGTGCGGGAGACTGGAGTTTTATTATTACTCAAATCAGTCTCCCAGGGCATTTGGGGATCAGAATTTTTAAGGGCAACTTGGTGGGTGGGGGGAAGCCAGTGAGCCAAGAGTGCTGATTGGTTAGGTAGGAGATGAAATCATGGGAAATTGAAGCTGTCCCCTTGCACTGAGTCGGTTCCTGGGTGGGGGCCACAAGATCGGATAAACCAGTTCATCGATCTGGGCGGGGCCAGCTGGTCCATCAAGTGCTGGGTCTGCAAAATATCTCAAGCCCTGATCTCAGGAGCAGTTTAGGGAGGGTCAGAATCTTGTAGCCTCCAGCTGCATGACTCCTAAACCTTAATTTCTAATCTTGTGGCTAATTTGTTATTCCTACAGAGGCAGTCTAGTCCCCAGGCAAGAAGGTTTGTTCTAGGAAAGGGCTGTTTTTGTCTTTGTTTTAAACTATAAACCAAGTTCCTACCAAAGTTAGTTCAGCCTAAGCCCAGGAAGGAACAAGGACAGCTTAAAGGTTAGAAGTAAGATGGAGTCAGTTAGGTTAGATCTCCTTCATTGTCTCAGTCATAATTTTGCAAAGGCGGTTCCAAACTTGTTTGTTTTTCTCTTGTTAATCTGTCTTCCATCACAGGGAGTTCCGGCTAAGAACTCATGAAGAATGGAGGAAAAAAGTTATTTTCAATGTACCCACTTCCTCAGATTTCTCCAGTTTTATGTGCTCTCTGTTGTGTGTGTGGGTATTTAGTTCCATGCAACTTTATCACATAGGTAGATTTCTTTGACCACCACCAAGGTTGAGGCACACAGCAGTTCCGCACACCTTGTTTAAGCTTTTTATTGAAGTGTGTCAACCTAAAATAACAACAGGCAGAGTGGTTCTGTAAAGAAATTAGTTTACTGAGAAATGGCAGAGGAATTATAATTTGGAATACATGTGCTATAGCAAACTATAGATGCATCTGGGGAAGTTGAGGCTAGGGAAACTTTTAAAGGCAAAGAGGGGAAGTATATGCAGGTTGCTTTGAAGCAAAAGTTCATTGTCTACAGAGGCTTATCACAGGCAGTGATGTGTGTACTGGCCATTTTTAGGAGAGGGTCTTCACAGAAGTGACACTGACTTAGAACTTAAAGTATTATGTGTGTATATGTATATATATATATATATGGCTACTTAAAAGGTTTCAGTTAGGACTGGCTGTTATTGGAAAGGTGCTCTCATAAGAATGACCTTAACTGCAAGGTGTGGTTTGTCCATTCTCTGTGATCGTTCTTGCTATCAGGGAAATATGCATGAAGACCCTCTCTTCAAGGCCTCCCAACTCCATTTTATTAGGGTTTGTCACAAGTGACTCCATTTTGATTCTGAGAATTTTCACAAGTATAATATACATTTAGAAAAGCACCCATATCCTAAGTGGGCAACTAGATGCATTTTCACCAATGGAAATTCACCATGTAACCAGCAAAGAGGTTAAGAAACAAGCACCCGCAGAAGACATTTTCATACTCCTACCAGTCACTATTTGTTAAGGGTAACCACAATCCCACATAGAGCATAACAGCACTGATGAAGTTTTGCCGTTTCTTAAAGTAAAAATAGAATTGTGATATATTCTCTTTTCTCTCAGTATTGACTTCCTTCTGTGAAAGGAAAATAGATCTTGGGACCCCAAACTCACTAAGTCAAAGGGAAGAGTCAAGCTGGGAACCGGGTCATGCAAACCTGCCTCCGATTTTGGTTCCTAGATAAGATGGCCACAAAGATGAAAAGCTACATACCTCCCTCACATTTTACCCACCAGGAAATTCCTGTTGGGCCCCAAGATTCTTACCCTAAAGTGTTTCTGTTAAATTTCACCATGGCAATGTAAATTGATGGCTTGTCTTCACAGGTGCGAGGACATAGGACAGAACTCAAAGCCATCCCTCTGCCCAGCTGAGACAAATGCATGTCTGGTTCTTCCCTCTGCCCTATTGTCTGTATTGTCTTATGTATAACTGCAAATTCACTGAGTCAGACAGAGGCATGAATGGCTATTTTCCCCTAATCCCCCTTTCACAAGAAAATTGTGTATTTTTCAATATCCAGCCCTTTCCCCTTTAAATATTGAAGCCCTCGAAATCGTCTTCAGAGAAAGCACAGACCTGTCTCCTTGGCATGTCCTTAGCTTTGGCAAATAAACCTTCTAAAATGATTGAGACTTCACTCGGTCATTTTCCTTGATTGACACTTCAAATATGACTTCTTTCATTCAACATTATGTTTGTGAGATTTTAATGATATTCTTGCATGGAGCTGTAGATTATTCATTCAGTAACTGTGTGGTATTAGGTATTATACTCTGTGAATATACTACAATTTATTGATCCATTCTATTGTTGCTGAGCCTGTGGACAGGTTCCAATTTGGGGCTATTTTGAATAGAGCTGCTATGAATATTTTAGTAAAAGTATTTTGGTAAACTCGTGTGTACATTTCTGCTGAATATGTACCGAGGACTGTGATTTCTGGGTAATGAGGTGTACGTATTCAGCTTATTAAATACTGATGATCAGTTTTCCAGTGTCGATGTACACCCTCACCAGCAGGGTATGAGAGTGTATGTATTCAGCTTATTAAATACTGATGATCAGTTTTCCAGTGCTGATGTACACCCTCACCAGCAGGGTATGAGCTCCAAGCTGCTTTGTTTGCTTGCCAAACACTGAGTATTTCAGTCTTTTTTATTTTCCCCATTCTGTTGTGCACATAGTAGTATCTCTTTGTGATTTCACTTTTTGTTTTCTTGATAATGTAGCTGCACAGCTTTTTATATATATGGGTGCCAACTGAATACCCTCATTTATGAAGTACCTATTCAAGTCTTTCGGTGATTTTTCCATTGAATTGTCCCTTTAACTTACTGATTTGTAGGTGCTATTTATTGCTGATACAAGTCCTTTGTTGGGTATAATGTAATGCCAATATCTTCAAGTCTCCATGCCACCTTTTCACTCTTCTAATGAGGTGTTTGATGAAAAGAGATTCTTAATTTTAATATAGTTTAATATTATTTTTGCTGTAGGTTAATGCTTTCTCTATCCTATTTAAGAAATCTTTGACTGTTCTACTCATAAAGATCTAGTCTTTTTTTTCTAAAAGTGTGATTATATTGCCCTTCTTGTGTAGATTTGAAATGTGTGTGGAATTGATTTTTTTTTGTATATGGCATGATAGCTGTCAAGACACATTTTTTTCTATATGGAAAGCCAATCCATCAAGCAACGCTTCTTGAAAAGTTTATTCACCTCCTAACTTCCATGCTTGTCACGTCACTTTTATCATAAATCAAATGGCTTCATATGTGTGGTCTGTTTCTGGATCTTATCCTATGCTGGCAGTCCACTGTCTATCGGTTCATATGTCAATATTGCATCCCCTTCATGCTTGCAGTGTAGCAGGTTTTGAGAGCTGTAGTTCAAGTCTCCTGGTTTGGTTCTTCATGATTGCCTTATGTATTAGTCTGTTCTCACACTACTATAAAGACATACCTGAGACTGGGTCATTTATTTAAAAAAGAGGTTTAATTGGTTTACAGTTCTGCCGGCTATACAGGCTTCTGCTTCTGGGAGGCCTCAGGAAACTTACAATCGTGATGGAAGGCCAAGGGGAAGCAGGCATGTCTTCACACAGTGGAGTAGCAGAGAGAGAACAAAGCAGGAGGTGCTACGCACATTTAAACAACCAGGTCTTATGAGAACTCTATCGTAAGAACAGCAAAGGGGCTGTCTGTCCCCATGATTCAGTCAACTCCCACTAGGCTCCTCCTTTAACACTGGCAATTGCAGTTTGACATGAGATTTGGGTGAGGACACAGAGCCAAACCATATCACCTTGGCTATTGTTGAGGGCCGGGCCAGGCAGGGCTGGAGCAGGGTGTGAAGGCCTTAGTGGACATCAAGGAAGAGGTGGATCTGAACAGATTAAAATTTTAAAAAGTTGGCTTTGGTCACAGTGCAGGGTATGTGGAGTGGTTAGACCAGCTGGGCAGCTACTGCTACAGTCCATAAAGGCTGTAATAGTCATAGAGTATATGCTTCCTCTCCAGACACTGAGCTCCCTGCTTTCTGTTCAGCGGCACTGACTTTTCTTAGCACCTCATTCTCCCTATATGCTCCTTCCTGCCTCTAGGCCTTTGCCCTTGTGGTTCCATCTGCCTGAAACTCCACCCATCACTTTTGGCCTCGTTCCTGCCCCTCACCCTTCATATCTCAGCTCAGATGACTTTTCCACAAGAAGCCTTTCTTGGGAAGTATGATGCAATGACAATGATAACAACAACAGTAATAAAAGTAATGCACATTTTTATTCAATGGCTACCAAGTACCAGGTCTATTCTAGATGCCAGGGAAACAGTCGTAAATAAAACAGAGAAGTTCTTGCTGATAGGGGGTTATATTCTAAAGAGAGAGAGAGAGAGAGAGAAAATAAACAAAAGAATGTGCAATATGTTGAATATTGATCAGTCCAAAAGGAAAACTTAATCATGCTTTCACTTCTGTGTGACTTTAAGCAAATTACTTAGCTCTTCTGAAATAAAGATACCTTTCCTGCACACGTGACAAACTCATATTGGGGATAAAAATTAATAGCATATGTGTAGGTGTTTAAAGAGTGACCAAGTGCTGGCCGGGCATGGTGGCTCACTTCTGCAATCCCAGCACTTTGGGAGGCTGAGGCAGGCAGATCATGAGGTCAGGAGTTCAAGACCAGCCTTGTCAACATGGTGAAACCTCATCTCTACTAAAAATACAAAAATTAGCTGGCGTGGTGGTGCATGCTTGTAATCCCAGCTATTTGGGAGGCTGAGGCAGGAGAATTGCTTGAACCCAGGAGGCAGAGGTTACAGTGAGCCGAGATCGCGCCACTGAACTCCAGCCTGGGTGACAGAGCAAGACTCCATCTCAGAAACAACAACAACAACAACAACCAAAAAAAACCCCAAAGAGTGACCAAGTGCTATACTCAAGTTACCATTAGCTAAGTGTCAGTGTTTTTTTGTTTTTTTTTTTTTTTGAGACGGAGTCTTGCTCTGTCGCCCAGGCTGGAGTGCAGTGGCGTGATCTTGGCTCACTGCAAGCTCTGCCTCCCGGATTCACACCATTCTTCTGCCTCACCCTCCCGAGTAGCTGGGACCACAGGTGCCCGCCACCATGCCCAGCTAATTTTTTGTATTTTTAGTAGAGACGGGGTTTCACCGTGTTAGCCAGGATGGTCTCGATCTCCTGACGTTGTGATCCGCCCGCCTCGGCCTCCCAAAGTGCTGGGATTACAGGCATGAGCCACTGCACCTCGCCCTGTCAGTGCTTCTTAACTCTGTGTTTCACTTGCTAATCCCTCTGTAATTGAAGGGTGTTAAGATCACATATCCATCCAGAATTTTGGGGGACAGTGCTGCAGTAGACAGGCATGCCCCTGCCCTTGCAGTGTTCCCAGCTTACAAACCAGCCACTAGCTATGATTCCTACAGAAGCAAGGGGTTCTCGCCTGCAATGACCGCGCATGACACCTCCCATCTGAGCTGAGCTGGGGAAGAAGCAGCTTATATGCTCTTTTATTTTCATTTACTGCCTGTCTCTTACAGGGGATGGAAAACCTTAATTGCTGAGTGTGCATATTTATTTTTCTGTTTTTCCCTGCTATGAGATATTTTAAGATATTCTTTGAGGAGAAAAATAATTCCAAGAAAGAACCTTCTGGTATTGCAAAATCTGGGATTTTCATGAGATAAGATGTGGCATGAAAGCAAAAAGTCTCAGTCTGTCACCCAGGCTGGAGTGCAGAGGCACGATCTCGGCTCACTGCAAGCTCCACCTCCTGGGTTCAAACGATTCTCCTGTCTCAGCCTCCTGAGTAGCTGGCACTACAAGCACGTGCCACCACTGCTGGCTAATTTTTGTATTTTTAGTAGAGATGGGGTTTCACCATGCTGGCCAGGATGGTCTCGATCTCCTGACCTCATGATACGCCCGCCTAGGCCTCCCAAAGTGCCAATATTACAGGTGTGAGCCACCACGCCCGGCCAAAAAATTCTTTTTAAAAATGTTCATTGTTTTTAACCTTCTCCAAGAAATATCCATTAGTATGTGTAGTTTTAGGAGTGGAGTTGCCAGTGCCCACTAACGATCAATAGGCTGCCCCTGCTGACGGTTCAAGATTCTTGGAAACACTTACTACAAGGAGAAGCCAGAAGGAACCTTCGAGATAATGGAGGGCAGGGGCCTCTGTCCAGTGTGGGGTCAGGGGGAGCAAGCCCTGTTTCAGGTCCCCCTTCCCTCATGCCACTACCTCAGTGTGGTTTCCTCCCCAACTCCTGCTAACAGGCTTAGGCCTTTCTGAACCTGGCCTTGACTGAGCATCTGTAGTGTTTCCACTTCCTGGGCCACTTCAGAAACCAAACCTGATTCCTGAGAGCCCAGATAGGGGGTTATCAGCTGCACCCTGCTGAGGAGGAGCCAGGGTTAAGGTGGCCCTGTGGCTTTCACATGGTTTAATGGCACCTGTCCTGTCCACCCAGCTGGATCTGTCTCCATCTATGCACAAGGAAAATAAGCTGCTTTTCACATGGAGCAATTCTCCAGGGGACACCCACTGGGTGTGTTACTATTTCATTCAATTCTGACACTATCTGCCTGGAGTTTAGAGTCAGAGCCTACAGGTGAAGGACTCAGTCCCATAACACTGCCCCCAACTTCAGACATCAATTGCAGTGGAAGCTTATCACCTGTACTTCTGACCAACTGGCTGTATATCAGGGTTCCCCCTACTCCCTCCTTGAGTCCAATTAGTTTGCTAGGATGGATCACAGAACTCAGGGAAGCACTCACTTATGTTTACCATTTTATTATGAATGATACTAAAAGATAAAGATGAACAGCCAGATGAAGAGATGGATGGGAGGTGGGGCTTCCAGGCCCTCCCTGGGTGAGCCACCCCAACCCAGTACCTCCAGCAACCCACAAGCTCATCACGTTTTGCTGTTCAAGAGTTTTCATAGAGCTTGACCTCCAGCCCACCTGCATGCTTCCCAGAGGTTGGTGAGTGGGGCTGAAAGTTCCAGTGTTCTAACCACTTGGCTTTTCTGGTAACCAGTCCCATCCTGAGGCTATCTGGGTGCTCCATCCTAAGTCACCTCAAAAAGACACTCCCATCCCTCAGAAAGTCACAATAGTTTCAAGACATGAACTGGTGACAAAGACCAAATATATTTTACATTATATCACAATCTACTTATGTCTTGTTCTTTTGTTTTGGAGATCACTCATCATACCTATTCTGAATTTCAAATTAAATTATAGAAAGCAAAAAAGAAAAACCACTTACCCCTTCTAATCTGTTGCCTCATACATAGCTGCTCTTAACAGTTAATGGGTAGTCTTCCTGAGTCTGTTCTAAATCCATTCAGATCTATTTATACTCATAGAAAGACACATTTGTATATATCAAAATCATTATTTATATGTGTGTGTATGGTGTGTATGTACATATATAATTTTTTTAAATTTATATGTCATCAACATATTTCCACATCAGTATAAGTAGATCTCTTTTTTTTTTTTTTTTTTTTTTTTTTTGAGACAGAATCTCCCTCTGTCACCCAGGCTGGAGTTCAGTGTCGTGATTTCGGCTCACTGCAAGCTCCGCCTCCCAGGTTCATGCCAGTCTCCTGCCTCACCCTCCTGAGTAGCTGGGACTACAGGTGCCCGCCACCATGCCCAGCTAATTTTTTGTATTTTTAGTGGACACGGGGTTTCCCTGTGTTAGCCAGGATGGTCTCAATCTCCTGACCTCATAATCCACCCACCTCAGCCTCCCAAAGTGCTGGGATTACAGGCGTGAGCCACCGCGCCCGGCCCAGATCTATCTCATTTTTAATGGTTTCATAGTGTTCCTCTATTCAACTGTTTAGTAATGTACTCAGATATTCTTCTCTGTTAGAGATGGAGTGCTTCCCCATTTTTGTCTCCTAATTTTTTCTATTTTATTTTTTAGCAATACTAATAATACTGAACATCCTGGAATATATCTGTGCTATTACTTCTATACAACAGATTCTTGGAGTGTCATTATTATTGGGTCAAGGAAATAGTATTTTAGGGGTGAAGGGAAAACTTCCTTTCCATTCTTTCTGATGTTTTGCTGGAATAAACTGACAACAGAGAGATCAATAGGAGAAAAGGCAGATAATTTTTAAAATGTGAGTAAGTACAGTAGCCATTTAAATATGAGACTCAAAGAAAGGCCAGAGAGTTGAAGCTTACATATCCTCTTCATAAGGGAGAGGGAAATGGGGGAAATGTAGCCAATTGTGAGGGGTAGTAAATGATTTTTGGGGAAAATTAATGAGCCCAAGGAACAATGGCCTTGGACAAAGAGTTCCTGTGAGCTCTGGGGGAGGTGGTGTGAAGGTGAGAGGCAAAACTTCACTGTGAACAAAGGTTGTCTTATACAGATAATGTCTCCCAGGTGATTTCTTGGAGCTATCTCCAGAAAAATACATGAAAAGTCTATCTAGATGTGACAAGTTTTAATCTCTTCTCTTCTTGTGGTTAATCTTTCCTGGTTATTTGTTCATATTACTAGAGACAGAGTTTTAAGACAATTGCATTTCTTCTGGAAGAACTTCCCTTAATTAGATAAGGGAACTTAAGAGAAAGTCACTCTAGTGCTTTGGGGAAAAAAGGGATCAGAGAAGCAGAAAGAAGGAGAAGGTCAGAGGGAGACCTTGGTTCTGAGGATTACTTCAGAGGCTTTCCAGTTTCCTTTAATTCAAAGCACTCAGCATGCCAAGGCGCCATGCTTTGGGATCTCGTTCTCTGTGCCTCAACAAAACATTCTGGCAATAACCCAAGAATAGACAGTAAGTGGAAGACAATATTCAAACAAATCTAAAGCACAACAATTTAACATTGTGAAAATATGATGATATGGTTTGGCTCTGTGTCCCTCCCCAAGTCTCATCATTGTAATCCCCACATGTGGATGGAGGGACCTGGTGGGAGGTAATTGGATCATGGGGGCAGTTTCCTCCATGCTGTTCACATGATAGTGAGTTATCACAATATTTGATGGTTTAAAAGTGTGGCATTTTCCTTCTTTCTCTCTCTCTCCTGCCACGATTAAAATGTGTCTTTCTTCCCTTTTGCCTTCTGCCATAACTGTAAGTTTCCTGAGGCCTCCTCAGCCATGTGAAACTGTGAGTCAATTAAACCTTTTCTCTTCATTAATTACCCAGTCTCAGGTAGTTCTATATAGCAGTGTGAAAATGAACTAAAACATGTGGAAGTTTTAAACATTGAAGGATAAGTTATCAAATATATATCATTTTTATAATTAACTATCTATTTGAAAAGATGTAATTAGATACCCTCCTCAGGTGATATCCAAAACAATTTCCATGAGGATTAGAGATCCAAATTCCATAGCAACTATATAAGCATTAACAGAGAAAACAGAAGATTTACTTTCCTAACCAAGGAAGGGAATGGGGTGGGGTGGGGATGGGGAACAGATATGGGAAGCCAACCTTAATAAAGAGCAAGCTTATAATGGACACATTTGATTTAATGCAAGTTAGGGTTGTGAAAATTGGTATATTTATACACTTTAAATTGGTGTACTTTATAAAATAATCATGAAGGATCTATTTAGATTTCACATGCACTAACCTTCCTCTTGATAAAGTGATTTTCACTTGGACTCCAGCCATAGTCTAGGCCCAAGGAGCTGGGCTACAGGTGCTGTGTATAGCTACCTGTCCCAATGCAGTTGATGGATACCAATGTCACTGATGCCATGGAGGGGGGCACCTGTCACCGGCCAGCTAACCCTACCCATGCTCATACTATTCAAGCAAACTGCCCTCGTCTGAGACAACTCCCATGTAGGAGTTGGAGGTGCCCATTTGCCTGTAATTCCTTGGCTTTTGAGCTCCAACTATATTCCAGGCACTATTCTTGGCACTTGTATACAATTAAATAAATCGCCCAGGTGCCATGGCTCATGCCTGTAATCCCAGCACTTTGGGAGGCTGAGGCAGGTGGATCACCTGAGGTTGGGAGTTCAAGACCAGCCTGAACAACATGGAGAAACTCCGTGTCTACTAGACATACAAAATTAGCTGGGCATGGTGGCACATGCCTGTAATCCCAGCTACTCGAGAGGCTGAGGCAGGATAATTGCTTGAACCTGGGAGGCGGAGGTTGCAGTGAGCCGAGATAATGCCATTGCACTGCAGCCTGGGCAACAAGAGTGAGCAAAACTCTGTCCCCCTCCGCCAAAAAAAGAAAAAGAAAGAAAGGAAGGAAGAAAGAAAGAGAGAGAGAGAGAGAGAAAGAAAGAAAGAAAGAAAGAAAGAAAGAAAGAAAGAAAGAAAGAAAGAAAGAAAGGAAGAAAGGAAGAAATCAATGAGTTAAAAAACTATTTAAAATAAGCATCATGTTCTTGGTTTAGAAACATCCATTTAAGATCTGATTAGTACTTTCTAGAATACTTAAAAGTGACAAGAAAGCACAGTGATCACCAGGTATTCTCTTTACAATTATTCTTGGTTACAGTAAATAATGGTTTTTCTATTTTATTAATTTTTTCAAAGAACTGCTACTTAGATTTATTCGCCAATTATATTGCTTTTTCATTCTCTCAATTAATTTCTCCTTCGTTTTTCCTTTTTTCCTCACTTCTTGAGTTCAGCGTGTAGTTTTTAATGCATTTTTAAGTTAATGAACATGTTGAAGGCTACAAATTTATCCCTAAGGGCAACTTTGGCTGAATTACATCTATTTAGACATGAGGCATTCTTATTGCTATTTTATGAATATTTTGCACTGAAATTGTGATTTGCCTTTGATGGAAGCAGGCTTTTCCTTGCTCCAATTGTTTGCATTTTTATTGTTGGTACTTGTGTTAGTCCATTTGTATTACTATTAAGGAATACCTGAGACTGAATAATTTATAAAGAAAAAAGATTTAATTGGCTCACGGCTCTGCAGGCTGTACAGGAAGCATGGTGCTGGCATCTGCTCAGGTTCTATTGAGGCCTCAGGTAGCTTTTACTCATGGCAGGAGGTAAAGCAGGAGCAGGCATCTTCACATAGTAAGAGAGGGAGCAGGATAGGGAGGAGCCACACTCTTAAACAATCATAACTTGTGTGAACTACCAGAAGGAGACTCAGTTACTACCAAAGGGATGGCGCTTAGCCACTTACGAGGGATCCACTCCCATGATCCAAACCCCGCCTCCACTCCTTGCCCCCAGGCCTCACCTCCAACACTGCGGATTACAGTTCAACATAAGATTTGGAGGGGACAAACATTCAAATCATATCAGTACTTTATTGGTATAGTTTATTTTCTTTTTCATTGTAGTTAGACAAGGCAGATTGTTTTTATTATTTGAAATTCATTGAGGTTTTTCATGCATATATAGTATTTAAGAATGTAATGGAACAATCAATAAAATGAAAATGAATTAGTTATAGATGCCAATAAATTTGAGAATTGAGTATGAGACAAAGGTATGAGACAAATAGTTCAAGCCCATCTGAAAAACAATCATTGCTCAATATAAGGTGCTGGCACCACTGACTCTCTATCCAGAAGAAAATAAAACTGGATCCTTCCCTTCCTGATAGAATAGTCACTGTGGGCCAAGGAGAACAAGGAGACAGCTGTATAAATGGAGGACAAGGATAACAACGTATTTGACAGAATAACGGATGGGAGAGACAGAAACACACAGTCATGAAGAGGAGAGGTACTGGGCCACATTCGTCTATCTGCTAGAGGAAAAAATGTCTGTTTAGGGACCAGACTGTAAGTATCAAAAAGGGAAGAAATTGCTGTAGATCGGGTGGCCACACATACCAGTTTCCTGGGTCAATCCTCACGTGTACCTGCTGTGTCAGTATTCAGTGGAGTTGGTGCCCTGTTTGACTTTCCAAAGTGTCTTGGTGAAGACAACAAATTGTGCTGTCACCCTTCCTATGAAACATCTTCCTGGAGAGTGTGGTCCAAACTCCAGGTGAAGGCAATGACCTTAAACAGTAAGAGGGGCATCTTGTCTTCCAATATATGAAAGAAAAAAAATGGCAGAAGTGATGCTGAAGTCTTCAGTATAGGATGCCCAAGACTCCACAGTCAGCTTTAGCTCCTTGTTCAGTGGGAAGAGAACAGGCTGAGGCATGCCCTACCTGTAACATTCTTCAAAACATGTCAGGAGCTTCCACAGTGTAAAACTTCCACCCTTTCCCATCGGGGTTTTGGGGAGGCAACTGAAGAAAGAATGCTATTGTGCTCTGTGAGCACCTATCTTGATATAGAACAAGGATCAAAGTTAATTTTCTGAAATAGTAAATGTTAGTCATTACGCCAGGTAGATTAATTCCAAATCAAGAGACATATGACTTGATAAGAAGGAGGCAAAAGGAAGAATTAAAGATAACAGGGACAGACATGGCTTATAATTTATCCCAGGACTCAAGAGGTGGGATACCAAATCTATTCCTTTTTTTAGCAACTCCTTTAATGAGAATGCCCTAGATCCTGACCCTCTAGCAATATTACAGACTAGTTAATGCATACAAATAAAATGTTTCAAAAATCAGTGAGGGGATATAGCTGGTGTTGTAAGGGGTAGAACTGGAAAAAAACTGGCTCTATGGTAATGGAAATAGAAGCCGCATGTAAAGTTTGAGGATAGTATGTAAGGAAGTGAAGATTGCGAGGGTACACAACTCTTTCAAGACCAACAGGAAAGAATGTGATAGAAAGTGAATGGACAGGAGGGTGCAGTCAGAAAAGAAATTTTTTTTTTTTTTTTTTGAGATGGAGTCTCATTCTATTGCCCAGGTTGGAGTGCAGTGGCGTGATTTCAGCTCACCACAACCTCCGCCTCCTGGGTTCAAGCGATTCTCCTGCCTCAGCCTTCTGAGTAGCTGGGATTACAGGCATGTGCCACCATGCCCAGCTAATTTTTGTATTTTTAGTAGAGACATGGTTTCACTATGTTGGCCAGGCTGGTCTCGAACTCCTAACCTCATGTTCCTCCTGCCTCAGCCTCCTAAAGTGCTGGGATTACAGGCGTGAGGCACCGCACCCAGCGAGAGAAATTTCTTTTACATTAGAAATAACTAAGTGCATTTAAATGTGAATTGATAAGAGCCAGTGAGAGGAAATGGTGATGGCAGAGAAGTGGAAGGAGATACAGCAGAATGAGGTACCCAGTGTGAAAGGTGAAGGGAACCTGAGCACTCACCCAGGGCTCCTTTCAACCCAGGACTCACTCTGGCCGTGTTGCTCCAGCTGCCTCTGGAGACATCGCAGATCCTCAGCCCACTGCTGAGCCCCTCGATTCTGTGTCTGCGCATCCCCACCACCCTGCTGGAGCTCGCCAGGTTTCTATGTTCTGGATTCACTGGGTCCTACAGGAGGAAAGTAGACAACACTGCCTCCCAGCATGCAGAGCTTCCATCTTTGCAGGGGGAAACTAGACAACACTGCCTCCCAGCATGCAGACCCTCTATCCTTGCAGGGTTGCTCTTGGCTCTGCCTTGGGCTGAGCCTGCTGGCTCGGTCCAGCCATGGGAGAAAAGGGGTTCATCCAGAGGCAGGCTCAGTTCAAGTTTTAAGGGAAACCACACACGCCTGCTTGAAACAGAGGTCTCTGATTCCCCCGCCCTCCCTGATCCCTGGTCCGAAGCCTGCAATGGCTCCCCACTGGTATCACAATGCGTAAACCCTTCCAGTGGCACCTGAGGTCTTCTATGACAGCTACAATTAGGCATTTATGTGTCTTTCTAGTGTGCTGTTTCTCTAGGTCGCTATAATATATCCTCCATTTTCCTTTGCTCATGCCTTTAGTAGTAGAATTCTATCTTTCCTGCAAACTTACCGCAAGGAAGGCTGAGGTGAAGCTGAGGTGAGGCTGAGGCTGAGACTGAGGCTGAGGTGAGGCTGAGGCTGAAGTGAGGCTGAGGCTGAGGTGAGGCTGAAGTGAGGCTGAGGCTGAGGCTGGGGCTGGGGCTGGGGCTGGGGCTGAGGCTGAGGCTGAGGTGAGGCTGAGGCTGGGACTGAGGTGAGGCTGAGGCTGGGGCTGAGGTGAGGCTGAGGCTGAGGTGAGGCTGGGGCTGAGGTGAGGCTGAGGCTGAGGCTGAGGTGAGGCTGAAGCTGAGGCTGAAGTGAGGCTGAGGTGAGGCTGAGGCTGAGGTGAGACTGAGGCCGAGGCCGAGGCTGAGGCTGGGGCTGAGGTGAGGGTGAGGGTGAGGCTGAGGCTGGGGCTGAGGTGAGGCTGAGGGTGAGGCTGAGGCTGAGGCTGGGGCTGAGGTGAGGGTGAGGCTGGGGCTAAGGCTGAGAGGTCACCAAGCAGAGCTCCGGTGATGGCTTTTCCTCTCCTGAATAGTTTCTATACCCAGTGACCAAGGCCTGAGTAAAATGCATAATACCACTTTGTGCTACAGATATTTGTAGATGAATTTACATTCTTTACTAAATTATCACCTCCCTGACAGCAGGACCTGTTTCTGATTCAGCTTTGGATTTCTCAGAGAACATAGTACACCTCATAGAAAATAAATGCAAAAGATGTAAATGTTGGTCAAATGAACGAATTTTTATTCTGGTCAAGAGGCCCAACTTTACCTTCCTATCCAACACTCTGTTATTATTTGGCATGTGTTTATTTTTATTTATTTATTTATTTTTTAGACGGAGTCTTGCTCTGTCACCCAGGCTGGAGTGCAATGGCGCAATCTCGGCTCACTGCAACCTCCACTTCCCAGGTTCAAGTGATTCTCCCGCCTCAGCCTCTCGAGCAGCTGGGACTACAGGCATCCGCCACCACACCTGGTTAATTTTTTTGTATTTTTAGTAGAGATGGGGTTTCACTATGTTGGCCAGGCTGGTCTCCAACTCCTGACCTCGTGATCCGCCCGCCTCGGCCTCCTAAAGTGCTGGGATTACAGGCGTGAGCCACCTCGCCTGGCCTGGCATGTGTTTATCTTTAGCCCCAAGTCAGCGATGGTGCTTGCTGCTTAGTACATGGTGCCTGTTGCATAGTGCTGGGTGCATGGTACACGGATCTCTGTTTGTGGTCCCATATGAACTGTGCTGTCAATGGATACTATACAAATTCAACTATAAAGAAACTTTCATCCTCATATTGCATTCTGTGGCTTGCAAAGAACCTCATTCAACAGGATCTCAGGGTATTTCCAGGTGGGGCATGGATGGCTCAGAGATCTACTGATAAGCAGCAGGGGCAGCCCCAACACCTGGGTGTTCTTACCTATAGCTCGGGGCCTGTTTCCGCACATCTCACTGCCTGCAGGAAAGGTGATTCCAGGTGAATTACTTCTTTTTGAAGTGATTAAAGTTTTTGCCCATAGCTCCTTGGTTTTTGCTGTAAACTACAGCTTTTCTAGCGTGCAACCATGTTTCACCATTAGATTACTCACAGGCTCAGACCAATCACTACAAACCACAAATGGCAAATTGAAATATGGATTGTGAGTTGAATTTTCACCTTGTTATCTTTGGATTTCTGCAATCAAAGGATCCAATGCTTCATGAGCTCTAGGGAAATATACTTGGTAGCCAACCCATTTTATTGCAAAATTGCCTATATAGGTTAAAAATTAAGAGAAATAAGGCATCCCCCTCTCTCCTTTGCTGCAGCCTCTGGAGCGCCTTGCCCTCTCCCTACCCTCTGCCTCCTCACTGTCTCATATCCTGTGACTCACAGGACATGTGCTCCGAGCCACAGAATCCCACAGTGAATGTGTCTGGCAGCTGCCAGGTATTCTCCCCACCAGGAGGCTCCACACATGCTCCCTGAAACGTGCTGCAGCAAGCACTGTGAAAAATGCACTTTCTCGTCGCTTGACTTGGAGAGAGTCCTATGTGTTTGAAGACTTAACAGATGCCACAGAAGCCTCAGAAATGCTCTCTCCGAGGTTAAGCTCCCTCCTCCAGCAAGTGGGACATTTTCACATCCACCGTCTTAGCTTAGGGCAGTAGGGATTTCCTAAAGATGAACAACCCTGTCTGGTTACAGGTAGATTGTTCTTGAGACACAGGCCACACCCCTCCCGGCCTTCCCATCCTTGGCAGGGTCCTAGAATGCTGTTTCCACTTTTCCAGATGCAATGGTGAGAAATTTGGTGGTGATTACTGAGAAAACCAACTCTGGTTATTTCTGACAAAATCAAAGTTGTTTGGTTAGGGTTAGGGTTAGGGGGTATACTAGTCCGTTTTCACGCTGCTGATAAAGACACACCCAAGACTGGATAATTTACAAAGGAAAGAGGTTTAATTGACTCACAGTTCCACATGGCTGAGGAGGCCTCACAATTATGGCAGAAAACGAAAAAGGAGCAAGAGGCTATCTTACATGGTGACCGGCAAATAGAGAATAAGAGCCAAGCAAAAGGGGTTTCCCTTTATAAAACCATCAGATCTGTGAGACTTACTCACTACCATGAGAACAGCATGGGGGAAACTGCTCCCATGATTCAATTACCTCCCACCAGGTTCCTCTCACAGCACGTGGAAATTATGGGAGCTACGATACAAGATAAATTTGGGTGGGGACACAGCCAAACCATATCGGGGGGATTTGCAAAAGTCACCCCTATCATAATGCCTGAGGGTTTGTACTGCTACATCAATTACATTTTATTTTTTCTTTCCCTCCCTCCCTGTCTCCCTTCTTTCCTTTCTTTCTTTATTAAAATGTAAGCTTCCTGAGGGTAGGGACACTGACTGTCTTACCCAACTCCTGGAATTTGTGCCTGACACCTAATAAGAACTCACTATATACTTGTTTTGTTGAATGACATTTCAAAATTGATATTGACATGAACTGAGACCTGAAAGGTAATAGAACTCTGTTGCCTTTCCTCATCCTGAATTGCTCTCTATGTTTATAAAATGGTGCTTTTTTACCAAATCAGACCCAGTGTTACACATTTACATTGGATTAGCTCATTCAGTCCATATAAAATTCTATTGTCATTGTTATTATCTGCATCTTTATAGACAATGAAACAGGTTTTTAGAGTAAGTAAATTTTCCAGGCTCTCTTGCCCACAAGTGGATGAGTAGGGATTTGAACCCAGGTCCTCCTGACTTCCAAGTCCATATCTATCCCTAGGTATCTGTCAACAGGTGAAATCTACCATCCCACATGATGATCTGAGAGAAGTGGCTTTTCATTAGAATTTTACCTGGGATGAATGCAGGGGTATCACATCAAGGTTATCAGGACTTTGATTGCCAGTAACAAAGAAGCCCATGAGGGTGGCCAACTCAAGGCAGGCGACACCCACAATCTCTTGAGTAGACAGGACCAGGAACAGGACTCCACGAGGATAGCAGTTATTTCAGGAATGCTCACCTGGTAGGATCAGCAAAGCTGGGTCACATGAGGCCAGAATTATCCTCACCTTGACAAGAATGCAGGCTTGCCCCTTCCCTCTCTGGTTAGAGCAGCGAACTCAGGAGTCATCTAATTCCTCCATCCCCCCAGCTTGCACTGGGTGAGGAATAGGTGTGCCTTGTACCCCTGCCCTGAGCAAACACCCCAATCTCTTAGTATGGGCAGTCTCTCTCTTAGTTGCACTTAGACAAGAAGGACATTTAAAAAATAGATTTCATTAAAGATGAAAAAGATTTCAAATGCACACACACACACACAGACACACACACCCCTACTGAACTCAGAGTTCTTTGCCCAATTCAACTAAAGACTGGCGGCATCCACCTATATATAGTTTGACCACACCTAAGAGCAAATGCCAGGTGCTTAGACCAAAATTATTCTTCTTCAACCTTGACCTGGCTGAAATCCTGACTTGTTTGAAGTAACGACAGGTCCACGGCTGATGGTCTTGGGGCACTCATTACATGAATATTTGCTTAGCTTTTGGAATGTCTGCACCTCAGTAAAAAACTTCATGGATTGCTCAGGTGTTTTCCAAATGATTTGGTTTAGAAAGAAGTTTCTGTTTGGATTTGTAAGGGCCTCTTCTGGTGTTGACCTGGTTTGCCACTTTGACCTGCTGGGATGACTAGACTGGGCCATTCTATCCAGGAATCCGGTATTGCTAATGGAAGTCATATTTATGCTTACATTTTGAATGAGTGACTCTGACTTCTTCGTTTCTATAAGCCTGTATTTCAAGTACCAATAATTATGTAGTTGCTAAATCAATAGGTCTAATACTTTCTTATAAAAAGTGTTAACATTGAATAAGGAAGGCTATTCTGGTTTATGTATATTGCATACATTTTCTCATCATATCATACAGATTCTAGAAAATCCAATCACTTTGATTTTTGAAGCTAATATTTCTTTCACTGTGTATAGTTTTGAAGGTTCAGGAAAAACCTATTTTGGTCTCACATATATTTCTACTTAGCCCCAAACAGACCCAAAATCCTGATTGTGCTCCAAGCCAAAATTCTGATATAAAGATAAATCACTTCTTTGTTGATACTTACTTTAGTGTCTTTAAAGAAATCTCCTTTCTCCACTAAAATACCAGAGAGCAGAAATTGGCATGCAGCAAGCATGTATATAAGCAGGCTCCTTTTGTGTAGTTGAAGCACAATGCCATCTGTACCCTCTTTTGTTTAGCCAAAGTACCTCAGTTTCTTTCCATCAATAACAATATACAACGAAACCTCCTCTGCTTAGGGGATGGCAAACGTGGACTTTGAATTCAATTACGTGTTATACTTATTAATCATCTAATTCATTTGGCTGAGGAATAGCGTTGCCTAGAGCAATGTAAATTGTTTCAACCAAACAGTATTTGCTTCATCAGGTTTACCAAATCAGCTAATGGAAAAATACAGAAAGATGCAGAAGGCTCTCTACTGGGCATCTCTGGGAAGCACTAGGTAAGTAAAACCTGTCCTGTGTTTGAGGATCTTACAATCTGGTTGAGGATCTGAGATGTGGGGTTTCTGAGACAGGTAGAAGGACCTCAAGGGAGCATGGGGTTCCTTCTCCCTCCCCATTGTTCTCATGTAAACAACCACAGCATAAACCACCTCAAATTGTCTTCAAAGCGACTATCAATCTATATGTCCACATCTGTCTCTATGTTCATAGACACATGTACCTCCAAAACATAAAACAGAAAACATGTGCATCTTCATTACAAAGTGAAACCAGAAATTAACCACATCCCAGCATCCATGAGGGATTTTTGCAAATGCAGTGTGGACAGGACTACACAGAACACATCACTGATTGCTAGGAAATGCTTCACATCCAGAGACAAATAATGCCTGGAAAGGAAGCTTGGCTGTGCCACACAATAGCCCACTAGCACCCTCTCATTCAAAAGCATGGGCTCACAGGCACGGTGGTGCACACCTATAATCCTCAGCTACTCGGGAAGCTGAGATGGGAGGACTGTTTAAGCCCAGGAGATCAAGACCAGCCTGGGCAACATAGCAAGACCCCTGTCTCTCTTAAAAAAAAAAAAAAAAAAAAACCTTAGCTGAGCATGGTGGCACATGGCTGATGGCTGTAGTCCCAGCTACTCGGGAGGCTGAGTGGGAGGATCTCTTAAGCCTAGGAGTTTGAGACTTCAAAGAGCTATGATCACACCATTGCACTCCAGTCTTGGCAATAGAGTGAGACCTTGTCTTTAACAAAAACAAAAATAAAAGCATAGGCTCTTAGGAGATGGGGCCTACAGCCTGCCTGGAGTGCTCTAAAGCTCCTAAGTTGCCTTTCCCTCCCACCTGCACAGCAGAGGCACTAAGCTTCACCAGGGCATGCAACTTGCTCCTGATGAGTCGGACATTCTAGGTAGAGAGCCAGGGGTGTGTATATGGTGTGTGTGTGTGTGTGTGCGCACATGGGAATGCATGCAGAGGGCACAAACACTTCCCCTGGAGTCCCATCAGCATCTCTTCTAGGAAGTCAGACTGGTGGTCAAGATGAGAAGACGCTCCAAGCTGCTTCTACCAACCTGCCTGTCTTGACTGACATCCATCTCTCATCCCCAGGTCACCCCAACTCCCAGATTCCTGGATCTCCAAACTAGTCATCTACTACCAATGCTAGGCTGACAAATCAAATACAATATGCCCAGTTAAATTTGAATTTCAGATAAGCAACACAAATTTTTAAGTGAAAGTATGTCCCAAATATCCCACGGGATATGCTTATACTAAAAAATATTGTTATTTATGTAAAATTCAAATTTTACTGGGCATCCTGTTTCGGTTTGTTTGTTGTTTTCCTAAAACCCATCTCTGAATGATTGATCTGGCATATACACTAATCTCAGCAAGGCATAGCCATTAACAACAGCACAGGGCTGTGGAACAAGCCGTCTGGTTTCTAACCCTAACCCCACCACTTTCAGGCCACAGAACACTGAGCAAGTCACTTAACCTTGCTGGGCCTCAGTTTTCTCATCTGTAAAATAGGGATAATACTGAATCCCCCTAGTATTTTCATTTATTTATTTATTTTTGAGATGCAGTCTCACTCTGTCACCCAGGCTGGAATGCAGTGGCATGATCTCTGCCCACTGCAACCTCTGCCGCCCGGGTTCAAGTGATTCTCCTGCCTCAGCCTGCCGAGTAGCTGGGATTACCGGCGCCTGCCACCATGCCCGGCTAATTTTTGTATTTTTAGTAGAGATGGGGTTTCACCATCTTGGCCAGGCTGGTCTTGAACTCCTGACCTTGTGACCCACCTACCTCGGCCTCCCAAAGTGTTGGGATTACAGGCGTGAGCCACTGTGCCCGGCCATATTTTTAGGTATTCAAATACTGAGAGGAGGAGAAGAGGATGACGCTCAGGCTGGGTGAGTCTGGGGAAGAACGATGTGAGCAGATCTGGACAGCCAAAATAGTCATCATCTTTACCATCCACCCTTCCTAATGCAGATGAACTTTCAAAAGAATGCCAAGGTAATATAACCTAGGGGGGCTCTTCTGTTTTTTTTTTTTTCTGAACAGTCATAAAAACACAGAATTCATGCATTATAAACAGATAAAATCTTCCGACAAGCTGGCAGAATTGTAGCCCCCAAACAGCAACATATTAATGGGAAAATAGCAGGTGCACGGTTCCCACGTCAGCTTCTACTCCTGCTCCTGCTGGTTTACTTGGCAGCCACCCTGGCAGTCGTGAAAATGACTGACACGTCTATTTTCACATGTTTGTATGCCAAGAATAAGACTGGAAGCCTTGACTGAAACAATTGGCTTTTCTCACTGCAGGACATGATTGTCCAGTGTGCAGAGGGAATGGGAGGTAGGAGGAGGTGTTGGTGCCTCTCCTCCGCTGCACTGACAGGCCCCTCTCCCTTTCCAGACCGGACCGTCCCTTGGGGATACAGATTTTGTTGTTAGTTCCCTTCCGACCCATAAACACATGTTTGTAAATTCTACTGCCTCATCCCTTTCTCCTTCCCCATCCAGATGGGTGCTGAAAAGCCAATTTTAGTGAATGTCAAGGGCAATGTGATTTGGAAAGAGAGTTGTCACCCCACCTGAGTAATGCTCATGGACAAGACACGGGCAGAAGTGACATCCAGTTTCCTCATCCACGACTTCCTAATCGAGCCTCTACTATGTGCAGATGCTTCATGTGGGCAACATGGAGTGAACTGGACAGACGAGTGCCTGCCCTCGGGAGCTTACATTCTAGTTGGTCAGAAAGAAAACAGACAAGGAAAGAACCAACTGAAAGAATATAGCTGCATATTTGCAATGTTCCTGGGAGAACCACTTGTTATTGAGTGGTGGGGCCTGGGAGACAATGGGTTGCATTTCGGAAAAACCATAGACAAGTTTCTTGCTCACTGGGGACAGAGCTCAGAGTTCTCAGTTCTCCACACAGGATCTCCTTCCAAAAAGGAAGGGATCTGCAGACTATGTATTATGGTTAAGTAACCAGATTGTAAACTGTCACATGCAGCTCATAAAACCAGCCTCGAGGTTGTGCATCATGGATGGAGGAAGTCCAGGTTCACATTCCAGAGTGACCACTGATGTTTTGTGTTCAGCAACTGGGCTTCCCATTTCACACCAGGGTTCTTTGTTTCATATGTTGACATTCGAGAGAGGATTCTTGGAATTAACTGTGATGTTTGCTTGAATCTTGTTGAGAACATGAATCACACAGTTTCTCAAAGGTTATTCTTTTTCAGAAGAAAAGTTATTTCACAGGAAGGCAGGACCTCAGGATTTTCCAGAGCCTGGAGTCTCCTTTGCTGGCACAGAGCTGAATTGTCATGGCTTGAAGATTTTCATTTCTTACTCAATTTATTGGAGCAAGCCTTACGCTTGACCAGCATCGGCAAACAGATAGGCGGGTGTTCAGCTGGGACCCTGCAGAGATGACTGTAGATTCCACCAATGTCTCTCACAGAAGGAACTCCAGGTCCAGTCCCAGGAAGGCAGGGAGAGGAGGAACAGAAAAGGCAGGGAAGTTGTCAATCAGCTCAGGACAAGGAAGCTGGGGATGAGGGGCCAAGCTGGAGTCAGAGCTTCAGTGGGAGCTTCATCCTCAGCTCTTGATAGGGCCAGGGGTCTAAGAAAAACTATTTTGCCATGCTCACCTCTCAGCATGGTGTGGTTGATCATGTCAGGAGCGCACACGAGCTGAGGAATTCTGAAGCTGCCTGTCATCAAAGGAGGTCCGTGGAGTAGGGAGTAATCTGGTGGGCTTCCTGTTGGGCTGCTGGGTGTCACATGCTTTGCCTGCAGCAGGGCAGCTCTCATTGCTCTGGGAGAATTTAGGGGCATCAGGGATGGTCACTGGGCTTCTCCCAGGATTTCTGGGTTTTTCCTCTTTTCTGTTCTATTCAGTTGCTGATCTTTGCTTTTGCTTAAGGCCCTGAAGTGAAATTGGAGTTGAGGTGAATCTTGTCACAAATTGAATTAAGACCACACCTTCATCCTTGTGAACAAACGTTGCAATTCTGCAACTGTGGCGACTTGGAAGCATTCAGGGCATTCTGTTAGCTGCCTGGGAACTGATTATGCATTGGCACAAAAATCAATAGCAGTGACTTGGAATCATTCTTTCCCCATGATTTTCTTCTTTTAAAACATTGTGTTTTAATTACATTGTACATACTCTGGAAAATATAACTCAATTTTTAAAATCACATATAAATGACCACCTAGAGCTAACCACACAAGACTTTGCTACTTAGCATTTTCTATCATCCATCTATTTGTATTTTTATTCAAAAATGGATCATAGTTTACATATTATTTTGTAACTGTAGACTAATACTTGACAAGGATTGCTTCTAGCAGTGGTTTAATTAATTCTGCCCCAATTTGCTTAGTTACAGACATATTATACTCAGTTGTAGATCAGAAGATGGTTCTTAGGAAGACTTTGAGGCAAAGAGGTAGAGTGGATTATTGGAAAAGGGTCACGACTCCCCACAAGAGATTGGCCACCCTGTAATGAACTATTTGCGTTTGCAAATACCTCTATCTCTGAGATCCTAGGGTCTCATAGAGTCTTCTCATTTCCTACTTACATGTCTTTGTGGAAACCACATCATCGATAGCATTTTCAGGATAAGCAACTATTCCAGGAGACAAGTATGGAGGTAACTGAATATACTTATATTTTCCCCTCTCTCTTTTTTAATGTTGAGGACATAGCAACAAAATCTATTGATTTTGTGTATGCTGACATCAGTTGATTAAAGTTAGCCAGTAATCCTAATCCACACTGTAATGTGATTCTTTGTTAGTCCTTTTCCCTGTCTCAAGTGTATTTGAGCCTCAGAAAACCTCACGTTTAGGGGTCAACTTTTGCAGGCTTGTAGATCCAAAGTCAGGCCCCTTGTGGGTTCTGGTCAACTTTCTGCATCAGAATAATGAGCCTGAGATGTAAGAGTTGGGGTTGGCATAGAGGGACGAAGAGTGACTACAATGAATAACAAGGTCAAAACAGGCTTCCAAGGTTTCCAGAACCAACCAGCCTCGGGGCTCCAGTAAGTGATTCACATTCCCTTCCCCTTTGTTACAAATGTTTCTCATTGTTGAATACCTTTGACTTGTTAGGGCTGAGCCCTTTTCTCTAAATAGCTGACAGATGAGTTGTCAGTCGAAAAAAATCTTTAATGAGAGAAAGTACTGTTGCCTGGCTTCATGTTCTTAAATTATGATGGTATCTCCTGTCTAATCAGGGCAGAAAGAACGAAAATCTCGGAAAGTTTCTTGACAGGGGACTAAATGGCATGGCACACAGGTGCTCTTGTCGTGCCAAGTCAGAGTTCTTCTCCAAATGCTCTGAGATTGAGTCCGCTCTGCAATTAACCTTCTCCCCTAGCTGTCACTACTACATGTCACATCCAGTCTATGCTGTTATCTGCTGTGTATTTGTGCTGAATGGCTTTCTAGAGGTGGTCCCAGGAAGAACGGTGCAAGCATCCCAAAGCCCTCTGCTCTGATGGGCAATAAATGAAATAGCCAGCATATGCCCTAGAGAGGGCGAAAAAAGTCCATTGCAGGGGACAGTTTCTTAGAGCAATTGACCAAGAACTTGGCACCAGGGAGGAGAACTTTACTGATTCCAGAGTCAGAAGACATGGATGGATGATCTGTTTACATATTACTGAACATTTTATTTTCAATAATTTGCTAACAGTTTTGTAATAAGCATATTTATGCATAAACTTTATGATAAGGATTATTTCCTTGGAAAAAGGCCCAAGAAGGGTTATATACTAGAAAGTATTTTGAGATTATTTATTTAATTACCAGGAGAGTACTGATTTCCTCCTAGCCATTACTTCTTGCCATAAATAAAATATTACTCAATGGCTCCTCAAAATCTTCAGGGATCCGGGCTACATTTATTTTTCTGCTTTGCCATCTTTATTTTTAGCTTGTGCCTTTCTGTCTCATGACCACAAGATGGCTGCTGTGCCTTCCAGGATATGGTATCTCCGTTCCAGATGGGGTGAAAGGTAGGGTTGAGGGCAAAGCTTAGTTTATTACCCCAGGTAAGCCTTCCCCAAGGTCTTTTGCTTATACCCTGTATTAGTCCGTCCTTGCATTGCTATAAAGGCATACCTGAGACTAGGTAATTTATAAAGAAAAGAGGTTTAATTGACTCATGGTTCTGCAGGCTATACAGGCTTCTGCTTCTGGGGAGGCCTCTGGCAACTTACAATCATGGTGGAAGGTGAAGGACAAGCAAGCATCTCTTACCTGGCAGGAGCAGGAGGAAGAGAGCGAAGAGGAAGGTGTCACACACTTTTAAACAACCAGATCTCGCGGGAATTCTATCACAAGACAGCACTAGGGGGATGGTGCTAGACCATGAGAAACACTCCCATTGTGTCTGGAATTGGTGGGTTCTTGGTCTCACTGACTTCAAGAATGAAGCCGCGGACCTTCGCGGTGAGTGTTACGGGTCTCAGAGATGGTGTGTCCAGAATTTGTTCCTTCTGATGTTCGGACATATTCAGAGTTTCTTCCTTCTGGTGGGTTCCTGGTGGGTTTCTGGTCTCGCTGGCCTCAGGAGTGAACCTGCAGACCTTCCCGGTGAGTGTTACAGCTAATAAGGGCAGTGGGGACCCAAAGAGTGACCAGCAGGAAGATTCATGGCAAAGAGCCAAAAAAATCACAGCTTCCACACTGTGGAACAAGACCCCACTGGGTTGCCACAGCTGGTTCCGGCAGCCCGCATTTATTCCCTAATCCGACCCCACCCACATCCTGCTGATTGGTCCATTTTACAGAGCGCTGATTGGTCCATTTTACAGAGCGCTGATTGGTCCATTTTGACAGGGTACTGATTGGTGCCTTTACAAACCTTTGGCTAGACACAAAAGTTCTCCAAGTCCCCACTAGATGAGCTAGACACAGAGCACTGACTGGTGCGTTTACAAACCTTGAGCTAGACACAGGGTACTGGTTGGTGTGTTTACATTCCTCTAGCTAGACATAAAAGTTCTCCAAGTCCCCACTAGACTCAGGAGTCCAGCTGGCTTCACCTCGGGGATCCCGCACCAGGACCGCAGGCGGAGCTGCCCACCAGTCCCGCCCATGCTCCTGCACTTCTCAGCCCTTGGGCGGTCGAGGGGACCGGAGGCCGCAGAGGAGGAGGGGGCGGTGCTCGTCGGGGAGGCTCGGGCAGCGCAGGAGCCCACGGAGTGGGGGAGGCTCAGGCATAGTGGGCTGCAGGGCCCTAGCCCTGCCCCATGGGGAGGCAGCTGAAGCCCGGCGAGAATTCCAGCACAGCGCCAGCGGGCTGGCACTGCTGGGGGACCCGGCACACCCTCTGCAGCTGCCGGGCCCGGGTGCTACGCCCCTCACTGCCCGGCCGGCAGCGCCAGTGGGCCGCTCAGAGTGCAGGGCCCGCAGAGCCCACGGCCACCCAGAACTCGTGCTGGTCTGCCAGTGCCACACGCAGCCCCAGTTTCTGCCCGCGCCTCTCCCTCCACAACTCCCTGCAAGCAGAGGGAGCTGGCTCTGGCCTCGGCCAGCCCGGAGAGGGGCTCCCACAGTGCAGCAGCGGGCTGAAGGGCTCCACAAGCGCGGCCAGAGTGGGCACTGAGGCCGAGGAGGTGCCGAGAGCGAGGGCTGTCAGCACGCTGTCACCTCTCACCATGATCCAGGCACCTCCCATCAGGCCTCACCTCCAACAGTGGGGATTACAAGTCAACATGAGACTTGGATGGGGATACAGAGGCAAACCATATCATACCCCATGGCCAGAAGTGAGTCACACAGACACTCTCGGCTGCAAAAAGGGGACAATGACAAACAAGCACATTGCCTTTCTGAATAAAATCTGTTGGAGTGGAAGAAAAGGCAAATCTGTATTGGATAGACATCAGTACTATCTGCCACACGTATAACTGTGCTGTGTTAAAACTGCTAATATTTTTTCCAAAGCCAGTTTAAAGAAATGCAGTTTTTTAGATGTTTTGAACAATTGATTTAATAATATGCAACGATAGATGGAATTTTATATTTACCATAAAAATCTTGGAATTCTGGCCGGGTGTGGTGGCTCATGCCTGGAATCCCAGCACTTTGGGAGGCCGAGGCAGGTGGATCACCTGAGGTCAGGAGTTCGAGACCAGCCTGGCCAACACGGTGAAACCCCATCTCTAATAAAAATACACAAATTAGCCGGGCATGGTGGTGAGCACCTGTAACCCCAGCTACTCGGGAGGCTGAGGCAGGAGAATTACTTGAACCTGGGAGGCAGAGGTTGCAGTCAGCCAAGATCATGACACTGCACTCCAGCCTGGGCAACAGAGCAAGACTCCATCTCAAAAAAAAAAAAAATTGGAATTCTAGTGCTGGGAAAAGTCCTAGAGACTCTCGTCATATTTGTACACACATGAACCCAGAGAACAGAAGTGACTTCCCTAAGCCCTGCAAGAAGTCTGTGGCAGAGCTGAGATGAGAACACAGGTCTTGACCAGCCAACACAGACCTCGTTTTGCCAGTACTATGTCCTGGGCTTTACTCATTAAGAAACTCACTCTTGATTTCAATGATAACTAAAAAATTAAAGTTATTAAAATTTTCATTTCTACTAATGATGGCATCCATTATTCCAATAGAAAAAAAAGATCCTTTTTTATCAAGCTACTCAGTATACACAAAGATTACATAAGATTATTCCATTTCTTGTCATATTGTTAGATCTAATATTATTAGGTTTAAATATTCATTGGGCATAATTTCTCCTCTATTAAAATAATTTATAATACGTTTTTGAGATCCTCTTGTGTGGTTAGATAATGTTAAGTTGAACGTTATACAAAAATCAACCTTGAAACTATTGAGACTTTCCTCTGGATATTGGCTTCTTTCAGTTATGTTGCCGGAGAAAAGTAGTTTGTGAGTCATCAATTTATATGCCATCATGTATAAAGAATGCTTCTGTGTGTATTGTTTTACCATACAGACGGGATTTTTTTTTTCCTTTTAGTCTCATCCTGCAAGTGTGGCTTTCTCAGGAAATCAGTAATGCACTCTTCATGCTGCCTTAGCCAAGACTCAAAGTCATCCTGAGCACCAGGTCCCGCAAAGTCTTGGAAAACCCACGAATAAGCAATGAATGCTCTGGGTAACTTTGTTCAAAGACCAGCTGTGTCTTTTTTTTTTTTTTTCCATGTTTTCAGCTTCTCTTCAGTGAAACTCATTTTGCAAGGTGGGGGAAGGGAAGCTTGCCATGAGCCTGAAAAGTGGGGAGCAAACGAGGCAGGCCCAGATTGGTGATGCCCCTAGCTCCCAGCAGAAGCAAATCCTCTGTGGACAAAAGCCTCAGCAGACAGCTTTGGGATTGCCTCATATTACATGCAGATTAACAGGAATTCAAAATTAATTACAAAACATGCAAAGAAGTAGGCTGCTATGAGTGAGAGTCAGCAGCAAACAACAGAATTCCCCAAGTTTCTTAATGATGGGAATTATACGTGGACTAAAAAATCACCATTTTTATTTGGAGAAATAAAAGCTAGATTAAAAATAACCAGAAATAGAGGGTGGAGGAGACAGGACAGGAGGTGGATTTTGGTACAAACTTTCAGTCATAAGTTGAATAGATTCTGGACATCTAATGCACAACATGATAACTGTAGTTAATAGCAATGTATTGTATACTTGAGGTTTGCTGAGAGTAGATCTGACACTGTTCTCACCACACACACACACACACACACACACACACAAATACACACACACAAAGATGAAGTAATGGATATGTTCATTGTGGTAATCATTTCACAATGTATATGTATACAAAAACATCACATTTTACACCTTAAATATATAATTTTAATGTGTCAAAAAATAAAAATAAATAATAATAATTAACTTTTTTAAATGACCAGAAAATGAGAGACAGTCAGAAATTTCAGGAATTTTTTAAAGATAATTGTCAAGTTTTACAAATGAAAATTATTTAATGAAATAGAAAACTCCGTAGATGAGTTATAAGTAGATGATTAAATACAGTTGAAGAAAGAACAGAAAAGCAAATTTGAAGAAATTAGCCAATAGCACAGAGAAAGAGGAGAGAGAAAATATGGAAAAGAAGTGAAGAAAAAGAAAGTGGAAAGTGAAAAAGCATAACGTGCATCTTCTCAGAATCCCAGAGAATGAAAGAGGAGAAATATTTGAAAAGATCATGGTTCAGAACTTTCCAGAACTGATAAGAACATGAATTCTTAGTTACAGAAAACACAATGAATCCCAAGTTGCTTAATTTTTTTTAATCCACACGTTAGATTATGATGAAATTACAGAAAATCCAACAAAAATAAAAAGATCTTTAAAATAGCCAAAGGGAAGAAATAGATCACCTACAAGTGAAAATTAGATTTAAAATAGGCTTGCTATTAGCTGCAATGAAAACCAGAGAGAATAAAACAATACCTAAAAGGGCTAATTTAGGATTGTCAACCCAGCGAACTAAGGTTTAAAAGCAATGGCAAATTGGAGATAATTTGACAAACAAAAATCGTTTTACCGCTAAAGAGACTTTAAACAAAAGGACTCCTAGGTATGTTTCCCAGAAAGAGGAAATGATCCCAGAAAGAAGGTCTGATTTTGAAGACATAGGGAGTCAAGTAACTTTCAAAGAACTGGGTGCATTTTTTAAAGTACATGTAAAATAATAATAATAATTTTAGTGAAGAGCAAATGCTGGGATGCAAGAGCAGATAAGTCTGGAGGTTGAACAACTGTTCAGGAGTGGTCAAGATACTGATTAACTTTAGAGATGAGGTTCAGTAAGCCTGAATTCCAGATGTAACAATCAAAAATAAATAAATAAGAGTATAACTTTCAAACTAAGGCAGGAAATAGGGTCTGGAGGCAGGGAAACTAAGGACTTCCTAGAACTAAATTAAACAGAAAAAAACAAACCTTCTAAGCCCAAGTAAATAACTTTATAGCTTTGCTTCAGCTATGACAGGAAACATCCTCTTCATTTGCATAGGGTGTACACCAAGTAAATAATTTTGTGTCTGCACTTCATCCTCTTTGTTTACATAGGGCTTATACCAAGTTATCAGTGGGAAACCTCTAGAAGGGTATTTAAACCCCAGAAAATTCTGTAACCAGTGCCCTTGAACTACTTGCTCAGGGCCGCTCCCACCCTGTGGAGTGTGCTTTCATTTTCAATACATCTCTGCTTCTGTTGCTTCATTCTGTCCTTGTTTTCTTAGTGCATTTTGTCCGATTCTTTGTTCAAAACCCCAAGAAACTGGACACTCTCCACTGGGAAAAAAACTAGTAGAAGAGAAAATGGAATGATAATAATTACAGTAGTAGAAGAAGAGCAAGAACAAATCAACTTATTCAAAAAAAAAAAGAAAAAAGAAAAAATCAGAGAATTAGCAGGGTAAATAGAAACCACAATGTAAGATGAGATAAAAAAGGAGACTTAGTATATAATAATTACAATAGATAAAAATAAACTAAACTTTCTACTCAAAATACAGAGTATCAGTTTTGATTGAGGAAAAAATATCTACTATTTAAACGAGCCACATCTAAAACATGAAGACACTGGAAGTTAAAAGTAAAAGAATCAAAGATAATAGGCAAATATTAAAGAAAGCTCACACAGCTATGAAAATACCAGATAAAATAAATTATTCGGGATAAGAATGGTTACTACATATTGATGTAACAATTTTAAATTTGTATGATCTTAAATGGTTTCAAAATATATAAAGCAAAAATTGCTTAAACTACAGGGGGAAATTGACATATTCTTTGCCAGGGTAGAAGATTTCAATATACCTTTTTCAATTATTGATAGGCCAAACAGACAAAAACATTAGTATAGGTATAGAAGATCTGTCCAATACTATTTAACAAATTCAATTTGACAGATATTCAGGTACCAGCTTGCAACAATGGGAAAATACACATTCTTCTTTCACACAAATGGAGTATTTACAAAAATATGTAGTAGACCATAAAAAAAATTCAAAACTTAAAAAACACACAGAACGTCTTATAGAATATGTTATTTGACAATAATATAAATTAGCTAGAAATTATGTGTGTGTATTTATATATATATAAATACACACACACACACACACACACATATATACATGTATGTATTTTTTAGAAAATGTAAAGTCCCACTTGTTCCACGGGCAAAGGTGTCTGCAAAACATTGGGTTAAGCCAAGTTAAGTAATAATGAGGAGGGGGAGAGGAGGTGAGAGAATATTGTGCTGCAGGAGTTCCCATATGCCTTAATATATAATGTAGATGATGAATTTATAAGTGAAGAAATGCAGTGTTTTATGCAGTGTTTTTATATCTCTATTTTGCCATGCAGTTTTCTATCCGTGGAGTAGCTCATGGGACTTGTGTTCTATGGAACGTACTTTGGGAAACACTGTTCCACAGCAACCCCAAGGCATACTTCATGTAAACCCTACTCTTTTTATTAACCCTATTTAACTTCCTATAACAACTACAAGCCTGGATATTACATCTCACAGTGTGCATTCTAATAAAACCATGAGTTTTTATTATCACTCCTGATGAGGGTGATAAGATTAAATCTTTCACAGCACACTGCAATGAACAGGAAAGAATCAATTTGGCAAGAAGGCATTCGAAGATAGGAATATTTGTATTTTAGTATCCTCATTTTAAAAAAAAAAAAAAAACACGTGAGCTACTTCGTAATCCACGTCAAAACTCTGAGACCTGCTATAAAATGCTCTAAACTACTTTTCAAACTTTTCAGGACAGCTGTGACCCTGTGGGGGTTGACCCTCATCCAAAAAGTCTCATTTTCTAGACGGTTAGGAGACCTGAATTCCTTTCCAGATCAGTGAGGCTGTGACCGGGCGATGAATCACTGTGGATGAGGAGTTAATTCATTATGTTCCCTGAAGCAATGAACCATTTCTGCCCCCTTTCCAGCTTTCTCATACATGCTTCCCTTTGCATTGAAACAATTCATTAGTTCCGCTTTGTCAGGGGCCCACCTGTACCATGTTAATGAGCAGCCAGAGGGGATCAGGGAGGATGAGTAAGTAGCCAGCCCACTCTGCGGCTGGCACAGCTCTAAGGAGCAGTTTTTATTCTACAGAAATCTTTCATTCTAAGATGTAATGCAAGCTCCTACGTTAGGAGTTCACCTGACAGTATTTTCATACACCTGAAAAGGTCTGTTTGATAACCCAACCTGGTGATTTTTAAAATGTGTCCAAAAATTCTTCCTACTTCTTCTTCAAGAGATGGAGCTTCATTCACTTTTCCTCAGGTGTGGGTGGACTTAGTGACTCACCTCAAATGAATAGGATACGGCAAAAGTCATGGGATGGCATTTCTTTCTTTTTTTTACTTATTTATTTATTTATTTTTTTGAGACAGAGTCTTGCTCTGTCACTCAGGCTGGAGTGCAGTGGCATGATCTCGGCTCACGGCAGCCTCTGCCTCCCGAGTTCCAGCAATTCTCCTGCCTCAGCCTCCTGGGTAGCTGGGATTACAGGCACACGCCACAACGCCCCGCTAATTTTTGTAGTTTTAGTAGAGATGGGGTTTCACCATATTGGCCAGGCTGGTCTTGAACTCCTGACCTCAGGGGATCCACCCGCCTCGGCCTCACAAAGTGCTGGGATTACAGGTGTGAGCCACTGTGCTCGGCCATGGGATGGCATTTCTGAGATTAGGTTATAAGGATGCTGGAGCCTCTACCTTGGGTGTGCACTCTTGCTGTCTCCTGAATCACTTACTCTGGGGGAAGTGGTAGCATGAGAACTGTGGAGAAGTCCATCCATACAGCAAGAAATGGAATCCTCCTGCCACAGCCATGTATGTGAGCTTGGAAGTGGAACCTTCAGTCCCCGTCAGTCTTCAGAAGTAATGGCTGGACTGCCAAGACCCTGAGTCAGAACCACCTAATCTAGAAGCTGAGCTGCTCCCAGATGTGTGACCCTCCGAAATTGTGTGAGCTAATAAGTGCCTGTTGTTTTATGGCATTAAGTTTTGGAGTAATTTTTATGCAGCAGTAGATGACTAACACACCCATTGATCAAAACTGCTCAGGATATAGGGAAGCCAGGGTGAGATCATCCCAGATGATCTGTATCCACCCCACATGGCTGGGATTGGACTGGGTTGGTGGGAGAAGGAGTTTTCCTATGGCTGGAAGGCTAGACTACTGGGGAGGAGGCAAGGATAGAGCTTTGCTCTGGAACTGAAAATTGCCCACAACCTTAGACCTGTGCGGTTGAATAAACAGTGATACATCCACACAATGGAGGACTCTGCATCTGGAAAAAGAATAAGGCAAGCCTTGGTCAGGCACAGTGGCTCACGCCTGTAATCCCAGCACTTTGGGAGGCTGAGGTGGGTGGATCGCCTGAGGTCAGGGGTTCGAGACCAGCCTGGCCAACATGGTGAAACCCCGTCTCCACTAAAAATACAAAAATTAGGCCAGGCGCCCAGTGGCTCACGCCTGTAATCCCAACACTTTGGGGGGCCAAGGTGGGCAGATTAAGAGGTCAGGAGATCGAGACCATCCTGGCTAACACGGTGAAACCCCATCTCTACTAAAAATATAAAAAAATTAGCTGGGCGTGGTGGCGGGCACCTGTAGTCTCAGCTACTCAGGAGGCTGAGGCAGGAGAATGGCATGAACCCAGGAGGCAGAGCTTGCAGTGAGCCGAGATCGTGCCACTGCACTCCAGCCTGGACAACAGAGCGAGACTCTGTCTCAAAAAAAAAAAAAAATACAAAAATTAGCTGGGCGTGGTGGCTGGAGCCTGTAATCCCGGCTACTTGGGAGGCTAAGGCAGGACAATTGCTTGAATTGGGGAGGCAGAGGTTGCAGTGAGCCAAGATCTGAGATCACACCACTGCACTCCAGCCCGGGTGACAAGAGCGAGGCTTCATCTAAAAAAATAAATAAATAAATAAATAAGGAAAGCCTCTATGAATTGACATGGAGTGTTTCCCAGGAAATGTTTTTAAGTGAAAGAGTAAAGTGCGAGAGATTATAGTATGCTATGTTTTGTTTAAGAAAGAAGGAATTATAAGAAATACTTGCATATGCTCATTAATGCAAAAGGCCATGCATAACAGATAAACCACAGCCTAGTGAAACTGGTTACGTACATGGAGTGGGTTGGAACAGGGTATAAAGGATGGGGGAAAGGGAATAGACCCAAGGGGATGGGGTAAAGAGGCATCTCTTTCTCAATACAACTTTGTGTCTAGTTTTAATGTTTAGAATCATGTGATCTTTCACATGCTAAAAATAAATAAATAAAATAAGCAAGATTGGGAATAAAAAAATAGAAAATGAAATACAAATAGAAACAAACCAAATGGTATTTCAAATGAAAAGCAATCACATTGAAGTAGAGGGAAAAACAAACTAACTACATAATCTTGGTAATATATTCTCAGGCTAAAGGCAAAAGTAACTATACATAATTATTGAACTCTGATTAATATATTTGTTTTGCACAGTGGTAAGGGTTAGCAGTTAGCAATTCTGAAACAACTTAACGTATTCTGGAATTAAGCAAATAAATAAATATACTATGGATATTGAGAGTCATGTTTCTCACCATTGGAGATGCAAGTAACAAATATGTAAAAAGAGAAGGAGAGAATTAACTTTGTGGTTAGGACTGGTTATGAACTCATAGTTTTAGGTTAAAAAAAGTGTGTGTGTGTGTGTGTGTGTGTGTGTGTTTCTGGAGGTATGTATGCACATATGCACAAATAGATACACACAAATACATATACTTATTTTTTAGCTGTATCCACTGGGGGCCTAGAAGCAATGGCATCCCAGTAGCAATGAGCACACCTAGAGTCTAGAGCTTGGTTTCTAGATACCATTCTCTACCTGAAGGAACCAGGGCTCTTTGGAGAAGTGTTTGATTCCAAGATTGGGTCTGGGAAAATACATGTGAGCCTGAAACTTGCAGTTTACCAGAAAGTAAGGAAGTGCTCAAAGAATTATCAGTGCATGTCAAAGGGCACAGAAAACTGATTTAAGGGGATCACACTTGCCAGATCTGAAACAACATGAGCATCAAAAAATGATAGTAATGGGTTATAACGCATTGAATAAAATAAGAATATATAAATCCATGATTAATGAATTAAGTGAGAAGGAAGGGAAAACAAGAGCAAGCTCTTCCCTGGAACAGAATTTCAATCAATGTATGCAGAAGAAATGATGGAATTAGAAAATCATCATTTAGCAACAACTAGAATAGCAATTATTGCAGGCAGGAATCATCAGGGAATGCTAAAACTAGTAGGTGACAAAGTATAATGAAAAACAGACACTCACATGGCCTCAGAGTGTCTCTCCACAATGTACTTATTAATTCCAAAACAAAAAAATGATAACTTTACATTGGAGCAACCTGGCAGGAAGTAGTATAACTAAGTGATCAATCAATGATTCAACTTTTGGCAGAGAGAGAGAATGATAAATAAAATCAAATATATTGAAGGGTATGCAGGAATTCTTTGTACTATTTTTGCAACTTTTCTGTCTGAATTTATTTAAAATTCAAAATAAAAAAGTACCTTTTCATTGAGTGCTGTATCTTTTGAGGAAATCAAAATCACTTTATTCCCATTGCGCCAGCTGCTAATCAGGAAGGATGGGCACTTATCTGCAGCTTCCATGTAAACAACTGAATTTTTATCTTAACCCTCTTCTTGCCCTTGTGAGAGGGCTATTCAAAGCTTCTTATCAGGAATACAAAGTGTCACTAAAACATATCCACTGTTGTCTTCCTTGCTTCTTCTGGGAGGAGAGTAAAGAAACTCACAAGATACAGGAACGATCTCTGCAGCTTAGCTCCCTACCGAAAGCATACAGGAGAGGGGAAATCCCCACCATATGGGCACTGCAGTAGGGTTGGCAAAATCTCAGGGATGGAGATAGCATTGGCCAACGTGTCAAAGATGACTGTTTTCGCTGCTGCAGAAGAGAAAGACCCTGGTGTGATAGAGGCATGGAGAAACCTGAGCGCCAATATTAGGTTTGTTTGGCTGGGGACAGTAGCTATGTCTGGTCTGGGGGAAACTGGAGTAATTCCAATGGGATTCACCAAAATCTTGCCTTTAGTAAAAAATGGCAGGAGGTCCAAGTGCTGGGGCATTAGCAGTGATGGTATAAGAACAAAAACTGGCCAGGTGCAGTGGCTCACGCCTGTAATCCCAGCACTTTGGGAGGCCGAGGCAGGTGGATCACCTGAGATCAGGAGTTCAAGGCCAGCCTGGCCAGCATGTTGAAACTCTGTCTCTACTAAAAATACAAAAAATTAGCCAGTCATGGTGGCAGGCGCCTATAGTCTCAGCTACTCAGGAGGCTAAGGCAGGAGAATGGCGTGAACCCAGGAGGCAGAGCTTGCAGTGAGCCGAGATTGTGCCACTGCACTCCAGCCTGGGTGACAGAGCGACACTCTGTCTCAAAAATAATAATAATAATAATAATGATAATAATGGAATTCTCAAGTATCTCTTAGATTATGATACGCATACTGGTGGACTTATGAGTTGCAGTCTCAGTGTACTTTTCATTCCTGTGATATCTTGTTTCATTTTGTCCTGGGAATTACGGGAAAGTCATTGCATTAAAAAATTGTAATAAAATACTGTATTTGAGAAGCTCACTGAAAATTCATGAAAGTTAGACAATAAAGATGTCTTAGTCCATTTTCTGTTGCTTATAACAGAATACCTGAAACTAGGTAATTTATGAAGAAAGGAATTTATTTCTTACAGTCATGGAGGCTGAGAAGTCCAAGGTCAAGGGTAAGGGCCTTCTTGCAGAAAGGAACTCTCTGCAGAGTCCTGAGGTAGCACGGGGCATCATACAGTTAGGAGCCTGAGGGTGCTAGCTCAGGCCTCTCTTCCCCTTCTTATAAAGCTACCAGTACCACTCCCATGACAAGCCATTAATCCGTTAACTTGTTAATCCACAAATTCATGGGTGAATTAACCCATTCATCAAGGCAGAACCCCCATTACCCAATCACCTGTTAGAGACCCTACCTCTCAATACTGCTGCATTAGGGATTAGTTTCAACATAGTTTTGGAGGGGACAAACGTTCAAACCAAGGCAGAGCCCAGAGGCCAGCTGTAAATATAAGAAAAATTATCAAAAACATAAAATGTTGCACAAAGAGTACATGCAATAATCACATGAATGACACAATGAAATTTCCGTTAGCTGAACACAGAAGTCTTCATATTGAAAGGCCCACAATGCTAAGAAAAGTTGAGTGAAAAGAGATTTATAGTCAATGATAAAGTTTTTAAGGATAAAGAAAATTTTTTTCTAGGTCCTAAAAAAACATTTTAAAGGTTGCTTCAAAAGGAGAACACATTATCAGGTTAGTATCAAATTAACTTCTGCAGCACGAAGTGCTAAAAATCAATAAATAGTCTCTACACTTTTGAGAAAAAATTATTGTAACCCAAGAATTCTATCATTTAACAAGTTATTGTTTATAGAGAATGACCCCAACATAAACTCTCAGACCCACAGCTTGACTGTGCTTGGGGACATTAACTACAGCAGGGGCTGCCCGTGCAGTTATGGAAGGTCTCAGGCAGGTGCATGCCACCAACCCAGGCAAGGGCCACAGGAGTGTAAATGCTTCACCTGCCCATGTTGATACTGCCATGGAAAGGGCCATAACTGAATTTGCAATAGTTAAGCGTGAGTTGAAGGACTCTGCTGGATCAGTACATAGGATGGGGTGGAAAGGGAGGGAGGAAGGTAGGGAAGGTTCCGTAGTGAACACAAGGTCCCATGCCAGTGTGGAGAGGGAACCCTGGGGAACTGCATATCCTGCTGTATTCCTTCTGGAAGCTCTAGGAAAGAATTTGTTTCCTTGCCTTTTTCAGCTCCTAGAGTTCACCCGTGTTCCTTGGCTTGTGGCCCCTTCTTCCGTCTTCTAAGCCATCCAAGTTGCAGCTCGTTGATCCTTCTTTGATAGCCACACCTCCCTCTGACTCTCCTGTTCCTTCCATAACTGCATGGGCAGCCTCTGCTCTAGTTATTGTCCCCAAGCACAGTCAAGCTCTTTTCTCTGAGTTTGAAAGATTGACAGCAAGTAAGTTCCACTTTTTCTCTTCCTCTGAGGAATATTTTGGGGGTTCCTTACTCCTTGGATATCAATAATCACATCTACATAGTCCCATTTTTCTTTTCTTTTTTTTTTTTTTTTTTTTTTTTTTAAGACAGAGTCTTGCTCTGTTGCCCAGGCTGCCTCCTGGGTTCATGTGATTCTCCTGTCTTAGGCTCCCGAGTAGCTGGGACTACAGATGCATGTCACCATGCCCAGCTAATTTTTTGTATTTTTAGTAGAGTTGGGGTTTCACCGTGTTAGCCAGGATGGTCTCGATCTCCTGAGCTCGTGATTCGCCTACCTCGGCCTCTCAAAGTGCTGGGATTACAGGCGTGAGCTACCGCACCTGGCCTCCATTTTTCATATAAGGGAACGCATTAGCAAGTTCTGGGGATTTGGATGTAGACATTTTTGTTTGTTTTTGGAGGTGGTAGGACAATATTTGAAATATCACAGGAAAAATGGAGGGACATGTGAATCCTTTAGCTAAACTTGAAATGTAAAACAAATACTTTTAGATATACTCTGAATCATTATAGCATTTGACATTCCAACAGCCTATGGTTTTTATCTCTAGTTAGATGTTTACACCTTTGAAGAACAGGCTTATCACTTCCCCTGGGGGAATTAAGTCTTGGCATTTAAAAAATGAATTAGCTGCTGCTTAGCCAGAAGGGCCAAAGGCAGAAATACATTTAAAATAAATTAACCCCTGACATAATTAAAATATTAATGCCATCTCTGGGGCATGCAGGCACACCCACACACACTCACACATTCACATATAGACACACAGTCTCCTCCAAAAATTAGGCATCATTTTTCCCTGACAACATTTTAACCTCAAATGACCACAACACGTCCATATTTAGACTCAAAGTTGAAAACGTTAGGCGATTCTAATGCACAGTCTCCTCTTGCCAGTTCTTGTCACCAGGGTGTCACCTACCTGCAGTTGAACTTGCACCATTACTTGCCCCCAGCCCTACCACTTCAACCATGAGTGTGTATTTTTTCATTAAATTATTTAAGTGTGATTTACTTGAATCACAAAAGTAATGCCATTTTTTGGTAGAAAATTCAGAAAAGCCAGCATAATCAAAATCCTTCAGAATCCTCCAAGAGCGAGTACTGTTAATGTTTTAATGAATGTCCTATTCATCTTTGATGGGGATAATTTTCTTTCAAAGATAGGATTACACTGCTGTTGGAAACCTATCTTTTTTTTTTTTTACCATTGAGTATTCAATGAATGTGTTTCATGAAATTATATGTTTTAAATTATTTTTAATGAGATATTTGCTCCATTACATGGGTTATTATAATTTATGTAACTTAACCTTTACCTGTGAAATGTTTTCTGCTTTTTATTTTTTATGATTTTGTCCAACCCAGCTAAATCCTTGTGCACATCCATGCTTACTTACCTAGGATAAATTTCTAGAAGTAAAATTTTCAAGCTTTATATACTTAAAAAATGTTTTACTGTTATTATTATTAGCAAAGTTATCCTCTGAAGGACTGTAACAATGTGTACTCCAGTGTGTGAAATGCGCTTGTTCCCCTGCATCCTTACCAACCCTGAGTATTGTGTTTCAATCTTGCCTCTTTAGACAGGCCAAGTGTTCGCACACATTTTGTTAATGATTCTACTCTTTAGGAACAGTGTTTCAAATTAATAATATAAATTTTATGTTTTACATTCTTTATACACTCATCAAAGAGATGTAGAATAAAACAATGGTACAATTTTATATATAAAAGTAAGAATCAGCCTGGTGCAGTGGCTCCTGCCTGTAATTCCAGCACCCTGGGAGGCTGAGGTGGGAGGATCACTTGAGCCTGGGAGTTCAAGACCAGCCCTGACAACACAATGAGATGCCATCTCTACAAAAAATACAAAAATCAGCCTGACGTAGTGGCGCATGCCTGTGGTCCCAGCTACTTGGAAGGCTGAGGTGGGAGGATCACTTGAGCTCGGGAGGTCAAGGCTGCATGCAGTAAGCCGAGATCATGCCACTGCACTCCAGCCTGAGTGACAGGGCAAGACCCTGTCTCAAAAAAAAAAGAAGAAGAAAAAGGGAGGGGGTAGAATTAATAGTTCACATTGATTTGCTGACCTTGATATCATCTTTGAATGGCAATGACAGTGAAGTCATGATCATATTTACCTGGTTCCTTCTGAAAATGATGAAGAAAGGGAGACACTCCCTTAGTCACAATTCTGTAAGTAAAACTATAACTCTTTAAGAAACGAAGTAGTAGGAAATGGGCAGTGCGATTTGCCTAAACATAGCTAACACTGATTTACATTTGTTTCTAAAAGTTCAAAAATAGGGATGATGAGTTCCTGATGTGCAAAACTTCACTCTCTGACTCAGGTACTTCTATGGAAAGAATACAAAGGGATAAATAAACCCTGGTAAATAACATAATAACACCTAATATCAATATTTAAACACTTAAGGTATTGGAAAAACACACAAAATGCTGCTATTATCTTTTTTAAGAGAATGTGAAATTTGAAATGTTGTACAGCGTTTTTTTCCCAGCAAGCTAAGAAAAAATTCTTTAAATTAGAAAAAAGTCTCCAGATCATTCAGTCGCTCAACAACCTTTTATTCAGGACTTCCTATATGCCAGGCTCTCTAAATAGCTTCTGCCTTTAAAGAGCACACAGTCCCATGGAAATAAATAAGTGTTCCACCCAAATAAGTGTGTTCCTTGATGGGACAGGCCAAGTGGAATAAACTGGGAAGAAATCAGGAAGTGCAGTTACCAAACTCAAGTGGCCAGAACCACATAGCAGAAGTCTGGGTACCGAATGCCTGCACGTACAAGGTGGAGAATGCGTCTCAAAGGTATGAGAGCATGCATGTACACTCTGGTCCTGGATCTTGCAAATGTTTAAGAAACCACTGGCCAACACAGACAATGGCTGGGGTCAGCTGAGTTCTGCTTCCCATGGTTGGGTGGGAAGCATAGCTCAGCGGACCCTAGTCATTTTCTATGGTGGCTGTAAGCTACAAGTTGGGTCTGGGCCTGCTCCACATGTTTCTCATCCTCCTTGACCAAGAAGCTAGTTAAAGTATGTTCCCTTCATGGAACAAGGGGCACGTAAAATCATGAGACCTCGTAAGACCTAAGCTTGGACCTAGGCTGTAACTCTCACTTCACCCACTGTATTTCCTGGGAGAAGGTAAGCAGGTGTTGTTTGCCTCATCCCGAACCATTTAAATTGAGCGTCTCTGGCTGGGCACGGTGGCTCACCCCTGTAATCCCAGCACTTTGGAAGGACAAGTCAGGCAGACCACAAGGTCAGGAGTTCGAGACCAGCCTAGCCAACATGGTGAAACCCTGTCTCTACTAAAGATACAAAAAAGTAGCTGGGCAAGGTGGCGCACACCTGTAATCCCAGCTACTCTGGAGGCTGAGGCAGGAGAATCGCTCGAACCTGGGAGGCAGAAGTTGCAGTGAGCCGAGATCACGCCATTGCACTCCAGCTTGGGTGACAGGGCAAGACTACCAGCTCAAAAAAAATTAGAAAATAAATAAATTGAGCATCTCCTACCTGTGATAAGATCCTCAGCAAATCAAAGCTGCCAGGGAAAATAATCCTGCCTCAGGTAATTGCAACTCTCAGTTCATTCTTACCCTGTCAGTGGTTCCGTGTTCATCTCTTTAGTTTATAATTTGTGTTGTAACTCTGCACCCAAACTTCTGCTATATGGTTCTGACCACTTGAGTTTGATCAGTGCACTTCCTGATCTCTTCCCAGTTTATTGTATTTGGCTTCGTGCTCAACTCTGACCTGCACGTATCTCAGATGCTAGAATATTATGCAGTCCATCCACAAAATACCTGTTCCCTCCCTGTCCCTGACCTCCAGACAAGGAAGGGACCTCATTATGAAAAGTGGGGATGATATGGGTTCAAGCAATTCTCCCTGCCTCAGCTTCCTAAATAGCTGGGACTACAGGTGCCCACCACCACGCCTGGCTAATTTTTATATTTTTTAGTAGAGACAGGGTTTTGCCATGTTGGCCAGGCTGGCCTTGAATTCCTGACCTCAGGTGATCTGCCTACCTCGGCCTCCCAAAGTGCTGGGATTACAGGCATGAGCCACTGCGCCTGGCCGGGATGATACTTTATAATCCTTGAACAAAATTGAACTGGTTTCTTGGATTAAAAGATTAAAAAGAAAAAGAGAACTCAATTCCAGTGAGCAGTAGATCCAAGGACTTTAGGTATATGCCCAGTCTGTGATGTCTTACATTAGGCAACATTAATAGAAGAAAGTAGTACGTCAGTTCCTACAGCTGACTAACAAGATGGGCAGCTGTGTGTGCTGAGATGCATGCTGAAGAGAGGTGGAAATGCAAATCAGCATTACCCTTAACAAAGCTGCATAAGAGTAGCAGAGGCTCCAGAATTCTTTTCCATGATCCTTCAGGTTCTTGGCTAAATTAAGCTTCCTGTTGCTAACCTGAAGAAGTGCCTGTGCAGAGGTGGTGTGCTGGGTGATGCCATCCTCCACAGGCCCTGATGCCAGCCTGCTCCACCTCCAAACATTGCTTCTCCTCATCTCTCTCAGATTTCATGTCTTCGCTGATCCTGAGAATAGATCTCCCTTTTTAAAGTGGAAACTGATATTGTAAGATATACTCATCATTACATTCAAATACACCAAGAGCCATTTCTGACCCTCCACAGGCAGCAAGAAGGCTTTAGGATATTTTCATGTAACTATTCATCAAAACAGAAAAAAAGAAAACTTCAGTAAGTTTGCATGCTTATCTATAATTGATCCAGCTCCACATTCTCATTAGAATAAAATTATTCTCTTTTTCATTTGGCTAAGCTGTCTTCTTACATATCCACTGCTTTTCCATTGTGAAGGGGTGGGGAAGACTTGATTGCTTGCTTCAATGTAAGGTATGTAATTTTCCGAAAAGCCTACTTACACAGATGCACTTTCAATCAGGGCTTCAGAACTCGGGAAAAAATGTTTGATTAATATTCCATCAAGGGTTTCAACACATGGTTCTGTGTTGAAAGGATTTTAGATAAATCCATTGAGGAGAATGTAACTCTGGGTATGAAGATTATAGTATCTGACCCTCCTGTGCAAATGCAGCTGCTTTAATATTAAAACAACTGATCCTCTGGGGTCCATAGCTGTAGAGCCTTGAAGGAAGGAACCTGGTGTCATTCAGTGAGATCTCATTGCCCGGGACACAGTGACAACACAATCAGCGTTTAAATAAAGTCATTTGGTGCCTAATGAAATCCATAGAAACTGTGGACCAAAAAAAAACTACTTTTTGAAAGATTCTCTGAAGGCCATATTTGTGTGGGTGCTGCCCATTGCTACGTACAATTCCTAAATTTTTAAATAGACCCATTTGTCCAGCAAAGATATTGAGCACTCACTCCTATTCATATTTGTTGAGCACTCACTCCTGTTTGTCTGCTGGACAAATAGCTGTTATCTGGCAAGTGGCTCTTAGCCCAAGCTCATTTCTCTTCTCCCTGAGGACACCGACAGACCTCCTTTCCCAGCCTCCCTTGCAGGGTGCATGGCCAGGTGCCTGGGTTCCAGCCAACGGAATGTGAAGACAAGGGTGTTTCTTCCTAACATCTTCCTCAGTGCACTCCTGCATGCTCCTTCTCCATTTCCATTGGCCGGAATGGAACCAGCCATGGTAGCTTTGGAAACCATGTGTTGAGGATGATAGAAACTTCTTCATCCTGGGCCCTTGAAGGATTGCCTAACCTGAACCTGTAATTGAACAAGAATAGAGCTTCTAGTGGGCTACGCCAACCCCAAGGAACACACTGGAGATGCAAAGTCAGAGGAGAGGCAGCCCCTCCCCTCAGGGAGCATCCAAACCTACCTTTATGCCACTACAGAAGAGAGCCACATATATAGAGAGACTATCCACAATACATGCTTAGTATGTGATCAGAATGGAGTGGATGATGAGTGATTAACTATCAGCAGGTCCTTCAGAAGGCTTCAGGAGAAGGCCCTGGTTGGAGACAACCAGCAGTATACAGCCACAGATCCACTGCCCTCAGGGCTAATGGGATGCTGCCACCGGCCAGGCGCAGAACCTGAGCATCAAGGGGTGGATTTCCAGAAGGCAGCTAACCATGGCCTCTGAGTCTTCAAGCCTAAACAAGGCACATGGGCCGGTGCTTGCAAGGACAGGACCCCCATCCACAGAAGCGATTTCTGGCACATGCTTAGCTCCAAAGCATAAAGGATGATGCTTGCTAGAAGGCAACCTATTTCCAGTAGGTTCATTTAAAGGGCTTTGGAATCCTCAGATTTTAAGGTACTGTTATTAGTCCGTTTTCACACTCCTATAAAGAACTGCCCGAGACTAGGTAATTTATAAAGGAAAGAGGTTTAATTGACTCACAGTTTAGCATGGCTGGGGAGGCCTCAGGAAACTTACAATCATGGCAGAAGGCAAAGGGCCCCTTCTTCATGAGACAGCAGGAAGGAGAAGTGCTGAGCAAAGGGGAAGAGTCCCTTAGAAAACCATCAGCTCTCGTGAGAACTCACTATCACCAGAACAGCAGGGGAGAAAACACCACTACGATTCAATTACCTCCACCGGGTCCCGGGTCTCTCCCTTGACATGTGGAGATTATGAGGATTACAATTCAAGATGACATTTGGGTGGTGATACAAAGCCTAAGCATATTAGTACCTTTATATGTGTTTCTCATTTAAACCTCAAAACGGCCTTGCTGCCCAGTAAGACAACCTGGAGAAGTTAGAACACACATCTCTGACACCTGACTCTGTCCTTTCCCACAGGGTTGAGCTCTAGCTTATGTCAGGGATTAAGACACTCTTTCCTCAAAGAGTCCCTAGTATTTCTTTTTCTTTTTTTTTTTTTTTTTTGAGATGGAGTTTCACTCTTGTTGCCCAGGCTGGAGTGCCATGGCGCAATCTCAGCTCACCACAGCCTCCGCCTCCCGGGTTCAAGCAATTCTCCTGCCTCAGCCTCCCAAGTAGCTGGGATTACAGGCATGCGACACCATGTCTGGCTAATTTTGTATTTTCAGTAGAGATGGGGTTTCTCCATGTTGGTCAGGCTGGTCTTGAACTCCTGACCTCAAGTGATCTGCCCACCTTGGCCTCCCAAAGTGCTGGGATTACAGGTGTGAACCACTGTGCCCAGCAGTGGTTTTTCTTTTTCCTTTTTTTGAGACAGCTTCACTCTGTCACCCAGGCTGGAGTGCAGTGGTGCAATCTTGGCTCAAGTTCTCTCTATTGTGGATAGAGAGACTATCCACAATACACGCTCAACACGTGATCGGAATGGAGTGGATGATGAGTGATTAACTATCAGCAGGTCCTTCAGAAGGTTGCTGGTTGTCTCCAACCAGGGCCTTCTCCTGACCCAAGTTCAAGCGATTCTCGTGCCTCAGCCTCCAGAGTAGCTGGGATTACAGGCGCATGCCACCATGCCCAGCTAATTTTTTGTTGTTGTTGTATTTTTAGTAGAAACAGGGTTTCTCCATGTTAGGCAGGCTGGTCTCAACCTCCTGACCTCAAGTGATCTGCCCACCTTGGCCTCCCAAAGTGCTGGGATTACAGGTGTGAACCACTGCGCCCAGCCAGACCCTAGTATTTCTTAACAGCCCATTTGAGCCCACAGACTAGCAGCAGATTAAAGCTCAATCTGAGACCAGGACCCCATGGCAGATGCTCTGCCCCATCTCAACTAGCCTAGCACCCTTGAGGCGGCACTGCAGCCATGCAGTACAGTGAGAAATCATCACAGGGTCAAGAACAGAATGTCATGATATCAATCAGAGTCTCATATTCAGTTCCCCAGGCAGAATATGTATGAAAAGGACCTGAGAATTATGAAGAGGAGTGTTGAGATATTTGCTATGATTGTCAGGGTGGTGCTGGGTCTGAGGTTGAACCTGTATATTTGAATCTCAATTTCTGTAGAAGTTAGAACTTCAGATACCCCATTCGCCTCCTTTCTATACATTACAAACATCCCCTGCATGCCTGACACGGTGGCTCATACCTGTAATCCCAGCACTTTGGGAGGCTGAGGTGGGAGGATCACCTGAGGCCAGGAATTCGAGACCAGCCTGGCCAACATGGTGAAACCCTGTCTCTACTAAAAATACAAAAATTAGCCAGGCGTAGTGGCAGATGCCTGTAATCCCAGCTACTTGGGAGGCTGAGGCAGGAGAATCACTTGAACCTGGGAGGTGGAGGTTGCAGTGAGCCAAGATCGCACCACTGCACTTCTGCCTGGGCGACAGAGCGAGACTCTGTCTCAAACAACAACAACAACAAAACAAAAATAATAAAAAAAAATTCCCTGCACATTATTTATTTCGATTCAGCAGGTATTTACTGAGCACCTCCTAAGGGAAGGGCTAGCTGACATCCGTATGTTGTCTGTATCTTTGATGGTATGAATTTTTAGATTGAAAGTTATGAAAATATTCTACAGATGGAAGATTAAACTCTATCCCTGACCAGGGACTTCCAATCTGAAATAAGGATCCTTATCTCTTCTCACCTTGAACTAGGAATTATTTAAGACATAATCAATTAAATTCAGCTTGCCTGATTGTCAAAGTGAAGTAAAATAATCTCAAATATGGGTTTATGTCAGAAGCACACAGATGCTCTTTGGACACACACATTCTATGGCTTGTGTTTATTTTCACATAGAACTCTTAAAACTGGGAGTGTCCATATCCTGAATTTGGGGTTGAGGGAGAAGCAAGAATCTTAAAATAGGCTACTTGAAAGTGTTGCTTTTGTAAATAATCGTATGATAATTTAATGAAATGAAATCATATGAACCAAAATTGTTAAACTTGAGTGGTTTTATTATTTAAAAAGTGAAATATCACCAAGCTCTTGAAAGCTCTAAATTATAGAATACTTCTGAAAGAGTATAGTTTTATTATATTTCAATATATGGGACCATATGTCATGACAGATTATGTAGTATGATAGAAAATTACCTGGAAACAAATTTGGAGACCGAGTTTATAAACTTTGGATTATCTCTGGATTGTTGAGACTTCACCCTTCTGTACCTCACTTTTTTTGTCAAGTTCTTTTTACAAGAGTTTTAGATTTATAGAAAAATGGAGAAAATACTACTGTGAGTAACTCACATCTGGTTTCCCCTATTACTGACATTTTACATCAGTATACTCTCTCATTAGTGAATGAATATTGGTGCATGATTATTAACTCAAATCCACTTAATTCAGATTTCCTAATTTTTTCATAATGATCTTTTTCTGTCTCAGGATCCCATCCCAGATACCACATTACTTTTAGTTATCATGGTCTTTTTAGGCTCCTCTTGTCTGTGACACTTTCTCAGACTTTTCTTGTCTTTGGTGACCTTGAAAGTTTTGAGGACGACTGGTCAGGCTTCTTATAGGATGTCCCTCAATTGGGGTTTGTCTGATACTTTCCTCACGGTCAGAGTTATTGGTCACCTCACATTTTGTAACTGTAAAATGATTACACTTACGAGATCAAATGAGGATGGGATGCGGAGAGGATGCCTGGAAAACAGTGGCAAACGGGAGCTGTCCTGAGCACATGATGACAGGGAGTCCCCCCATTTCTCAAGTCCTTTTTACTGTAAAAATGTCCTTGACCCTCCGTACAAGTACACATAACTGAACCAAGCTGAAGGAAATGTTCCACATAGCTTCTTATGAAATTCATTCTAATGTCATGAATAAATTAGATATCTGTTAGCAATTATAAAGGACTTCAAAAGCTATTTGTTTGTAATTGCTTGCTTTTTCAACCATAGGAAGGGTGATCCTTTCTCTTAAAGATTCATTAATACCTTAATTTGTGCAGGGAATACTTTTTCAATCTTCTGCACCAAGTAGGACAACTCAATCCCTATCAAAGTTATCTAACTATGTGGAGGTACCAGGAGTTTAATATTGGAATAATTGATTCCAAATGCCGAAATGCCATCCTTTCTAAAAGCAACTAAAGTCAACTGTATCTATCGCTTCTGTGTTGCTGAAAATCTAGAAAGATGGGGAGGAAACATTGACTGACCACTGTGGTTTGTACATGCATTTAGTGAGTCTCCCCACCTCAGTGCCAAGCTCAGTGTAGCCACTGAGACTCTGCATGGCTTCAGCTCATTCCTTCAGTGATGAGCTCTTGTATTTCATGTGAGAATGCAGATCAGGGTGTGTAAGAGCAAAGCGAAGACCTTCCAGCAGACCAGGGCCTCCTCACTTGGAAGAAAATTGTGGCTATCACTTTTTAGTGTATAGCAGTCGTTTTTAAGTTTTGGTTGGAAATGGGGATGTAAATCTCCCATTGTATCTTTCATTTCTGACTGCTGGTGGGAGAGGGAAGTGGCTCCCTTAATCTAAGCACTAAGAAAAATTTAGACACTTATTCCCACTCGTTTCATCCCACGTCCAAACTGTTAGTAAGTCCCATACCATCTACCATCTAAAATGTGCACCAAATCCATCTACTTCTACCTACCCCTTCCATGACCACCCTAGTTGAAGCTGCCAACATCTTTCCTCTGAAGGACTTGCTTTCCCACTGTAGCCCCACTCAATTCACTGCCAGATATCAGTTAGCGTGGTCCCTTCAAAATGAAAATCAGAACAGGTTACCCTCCCCTACTGAAAACTACTCAGTGGCTTTCAGTTGAGATGGAAATAAAATCCAATCACTCACCACCACAGCTTGGGAGGCTTCGTGTGGTCTAGGCCCTGATTCCAGTTTCCTATACTCATCCTTCACATGCCAGGCTGCTCCCAGCCCAGGGCCTTTGCACCAGCAAAGGTGGTGATCTTTGCATAGCTGGCTTCTATTTGTTACTGAGCTCTTGGCTCAAATATCCCTCCTCCAAAAGGTCTTTCTTGCCAATCTAATTCAGAGTAGCCCTTAAATTACTCTATCACCCTCTCTTAAAATAATTCTCTATGTATTGCAACCAGCTATATCTCTTACTTGTTTATCACGTGTTTCAACGCCTTGAATGAACTGAGAACAGAGACCTTGATTGTCTTCGTCACAGCTACTTCGGCAGCACCCACAATGGGGCCCAGCACATCATATAATAGGTGCTCAATTAGTTTTTGTGGAATGAACTAACATAGAGCTAGAGCTACTCTGCACACTGAAGTAAAAGGCTGTTTTCCTTGGGAGAAGGGCACGTGTATATTTGTTTTGTTTTGCTAAGTCCTGGGAGAGGCATTCCAAAAGATCCAGAATCTGCAGAAAGAGAGGGGATGCGAAAAAAGACTTTGAGGTAAGATGAACTGCAGCAAAATTTAAAGCTCCTGTCAATCAACACCATTGAGAATAGAAAAAGGCAAGCCACCAACTGGGAAAAATATTTGCAATATATATATATATATCTACCAAAAGATACAAGCGCATATAAGAATTGCTAAAAATTAACAGAAAAAACAATTCTATCAAACATGGGCAAATGGCTTTAATTGAAGCTTCTCAACAGAAGATATAGGAATAGCCAATAAGCTCATGAAAATGTGCTAAACATCATTAGACATTAGGAAAATACAAATTCAAACCACAATGAGATATGACTTCATACACACTAGAATCTCTAAAATTTAAAGGCTTGTCAGTAAAGTCAAGGTGTATAAAAAACTTAAAATTATAAAGACTGACAGACCCAAATGTTGACAAAGGTGCAGAGCAACTAGAACCGTCATCTATGACCAATGGAAGCGTAAAATGCTATAACCACTTTGCAAAACCATTTGGTAGATTCTTATGAATTTAAATATGTATAATACGAATCCATTTATCTGTGTTTACTCAAGAGTAGTGAAAATATATTTAAACAAAAGACTTGTACAAGAATGTTTACAGAAGTTATTCATAATGGACAAAAGCAAATACCCAAATATCCATCAACAACTGCACTTCTCAGCAATAAAGACAGATAAAACACGAATTCATATATCAACATGAAAGCATCTCAAAAACATTCGTTGCACAAAAGAAGCCAAACAAAAAGTGTGCGCTATTGACTTTATTTATATGACATTTGTGACAGGTTAAATGAATCTATGGTGAATGACATAAGAAAACGTGTTGTCTGTGAGAAAGGTGTTGGGCATTGACTGGAAGAGGGGCACAAAGGGAACTTACTTGGGTGATGGAAATGTTCTATATTTTGTTTATATGTTGGTAACATGAGAGAATACTGTCAAAACGCATCAAGTACACTTAGGATATTTGCCTTTCACTTACTATATGTAAATTTTACCTGAAAAAATCTAATATGAAAGATAACTATAAAAAAATGATGGAAACTGATTGCCCCTGAGTTATGTGGTCTTTTGGGGGCCTTTTCTGTTCATGTCCAAATGGAACTGCTTGAGCTCCTTCCCCATTAACTGTGGGAAGTCCAGTACTCTACTTGGGATTTGAGGGTTGATGGATAAACAGCAAAAAGGGTCCTATTGCTACTGTCTATAAATGTCTGTTATCAGCCCAGCTCTCAAATCCAAAGCATTCCCTGTCCTCCTGCAGCTGCTGTGTGCTGTTCATTCTTGTATTTATTCAACAAATGTTTATTGAGTTTGAATTAGTTTCCTAGTACGATTCTACATGATGATCATGACAAGGCCCCTGGTTTCATGACAGTGTTCCTTATAATCCAGTGAGGGATCCAGCCAATTAGCCAACCGATAGTTATCCAGGATAAGAGCCACTCTCATTTCATCTGAAACACAAACACAATCACTCCTTTATTTCTACAGGCTCCACCAGCACAAGTGATATGGTTTGGCTCTGGGTCCCCACCCAAATCTCATCTCGAATTGTAATCCCTGCTTGTTGAGGGAGGGAGATGATTGGATCCTAGGGGCTGTTTCCCCCATATTGTTCTCATGATAATGAGTGAGTTCTCATGAGATCCAATGGTTTTATAAGTGTTTGGAAGTTCCTCCTTTGCACTTCTCTCTTTCCTGCTGCTTTGTGAAGAAGGTACTTGCTTCTTCTTCACCTCCTGCCATGATTGTAAGGTTCCTGAGGCCTTCCCAGCCATGTGGAACTGTGAGTCAATTACACCTCTTTCATTTATAAATTACCTAGTCTTGGGTAGTTCTTTATATTAATAGCAGTGTGAAAATGGACTAATACAACAAAGCTGTTACACACAAGGCTTTTATTAAAGGCTTGGGGAAAAAGAAAGTGATTATAGATTAAAACTAGGAACTCCTTCAATTTCTTTTTCTTTCTTTTCTGTTTTTTTTTTTTTTTTTTTTTTTTTTTTTTTTTGAGATAGAGTCAGTATCACCCAGGCTGCAGTGCAGTGGCACTATCTCAGTTCACCGCAACCTCCCCATCCCAGGTTCAAGCAATTCTCCTGCCTCAGCCTCCGAAGTAGCTGAGATTACAAGCATGCACCATCATGCCCAGCAAATTTTTGTATTTTTAGTGGAGATGGGGTTTCATCATGTTGGCCAGGCTGGCCTTGAACTCCTGATCTCAAATGATATATCTGCCTCAGCCTCCCAAATTGCTAGGATTACAGGCATGAGCCACCATGCCCAACCAGGATTTCCTTCAAATTTAATAGCAGACTTCCCCATTTGTAACAATTTTCTGGCCATTCTTCACCAAAGGGCTTGCTCTCATGAGATCCCAACCTCTTAATCTCTTGCCTCTTGAGCATTTCCTTCATCTCCTCTTGTAACAGATTAAACTGTGTGCCCCCAAAAGGTATGTTGAATCCTAATCTGCAGCACCTCAGAATATGACTTTATTAGGAAATAGGGTCACTGTGGAGGTTAAGGCCATTAGAGTGGGCTCTAATCCAATAAGACTGGTGTCTTTGTCAAAAGAGAAAATTGGAATACAGACACAGACCTGTTTAGAGGGAGGATGACATGAAAAGACATGGTAAGAAGGCCATGTGAACACAGAGGATTGAGTGATGTTGTTTACAAGCCAAGGAATGCCAAAGATTGTTGGCCAATCATCAGGGGCTAGGAAGTGGTAAGAAAGGATTCTCCCCTAGAGGTGTCAGAGGGAGTATGGTCCTGTCAACACCTTGATTTTGGACTGCTAGCCTCCATAACTGTGAGGCAATGCATTTCTGTTAAGTCACCCAGTTTTTGGTACTTTTTAGTGGCAGCCCTAGAAACCTAATATACCCTCATCATTGAGATACAAGCTCTTCACCCTCAGTCCACTGGGCTGCCTGCGGAAAATGCAAACATTCTGCTACTTCACCATATAAGGCAAAATAATTCCTTTTTATCTCCTATAGCCTGACCCACCTTGAAGGGTTTTCCAAAGCAAAAATGTCATTTGCCCCTATGATGAATTGTGTCACTTCCCTACACATAAGGAGTGACGGCAAATCATTTCAAAGAGATGAGCCTGGAAGGTCTTGTTGAAATAGGGGCTGCTGGCCTGGATCTGCCCACCAGAAGGCCACTCACACCCATGGAACACTGGGGCTCTTCAGAACCAGTTGGGAAACTCTGGACTAGAGAGGCGACTCCCTGAGTTAGGACATACTCAGGCTTCCAGATTTGATGTTCAGTTCCTAAAAATCTAAGAGAGAGTACACTGATCCCCCATTTGGGGGTTCTCCCGGGATGCCAGTGCACATGCAGCCACCCTTTATGTCCCCCGCTCCCCTTCCTTAAAGGGCCTGCATCAGAGGAGCAGCAATGGAGTGGGCGAAAGGGGGGAAGAGACGAAAGACAGCATAAAAGAGCCAAGAGAAGTTTTGCAACAAATGGGTATGGTGGAGACAGGGGAGAGAATAAGAAGACAAAGATGGCACTGAGGGCTTCATTCTTGGTGATGGGTGAAAACAAAATAAGAACAGACATCCTAAGTCACAGCAGAGGCCCAGATCTGAGGGGAAAGGAGGTGGTCTTCATTTGGGATTCATGGTGTTACTTTTCCTTCCTTGCCCTTGAGTTTCAATATCTGACTCCAAAAGAGGAAAATGATGTCCATATCCATGGCCTCTCTATAACTGCAAAGGGAGTCAGATAACACGTCTCCTCATCAAAATCTCATTTTGCAAAATCTTTTTTGCAAAAAGAATTCCTGATTTCTGAATTCAATGGCTAATAGAGAATTTAAATGTAGAAAAACATCAAGCATCTTAGAAAATTCACAAGAACTAATGAGCCACCCACAGAATTGATCTCCAAAGCCCAACACAGGTCAGTGACAGTTCAGTTAAAGGTCATGAACAAATACAAATTGTGATCAATTATTTAAATATAATTTAAGACAAATGTAGTACAAAGCCTTCCCAAACCAGACACAATCGATTTACTGAAAATAATGTTGTAGTTCCAAGAGACCAGCCAGGCCCCAAATCAATAAAATTACTCCTAACCATAAACCTTTTATTCAAGGCCAATTTATCATCATCAATACCTTTTAACAAAACCAGCGTTTGATGTGCCACGAAGAATTCTTTGTGGTTATTTTCCTGAAAAAGGTGATAAACAGAATAATCTGTCCCTCAGTTCACGCATACCATCCCCTCTGGGTGAGGTTTTTGTTCAAAGGAATGAAAGGGAATCCATTTTTCTATCTCTACTCTTCTGTTCTGAATAGAAACTGCAAGATTCAGTGTTCAATTCAACTCAGTAATCACTTATTGAGCATCTACAACAGTGGATCTTAACTTTTTTCTTCCCACTGCAAGACAAATGATGACTGGTGCTCAAATGTGCAAAACCTTTCCTGGATGTCCAAGGACAACTCTTGATTCTACCATTTCCTCTCACACTTATGAACATGCAGCAGAACGCAGAAGAGTGACTGTGACGATAATATAAGGACAATCTCAAATCCATTCTAATTCTTGCAAACAAAAACAAAATGCTCACAGTTTGGTGCCTAAACTACTATTAGAGCCACTTTAACGGTACATTAGTGGTTGAAGACCACAGATGTCAAAGATGCTCAGTGTTTGTGATCAAACCCCTTTCCCCAACAGATTATTATTATGACTTTTACAAGGAATACACATTCATAGAAAAGAGAGAAATGTGACCTTGAAACCTGTTCATTACACAAATGAGCATCTGGTTCCTCCATTAATAGCTGAGAACTCATTCTGCCTCTGCAGTGAGGTTCTGTAAATCTTCATTCAGATCTGCAGTTAATTTAACTCTTCATGGGGCAAATCTGATTTTCCTGTCAAGTCCTTGGGAGGATCCCCCCTGTTGCCCCAATATTCCAATCAGCTTAAGAGGAGGAGATGGGGATGGAGGGAGAGACCCAGGGGTCAGGTGATAGACAGAGGGAACAAAAGGGTCTGGTCACAAGATTCACTTCTCCTTTGGCCATTTCAACAAAGCAGGCAGTCTGGGGAGGCAGTGGAAATGTGGGCTACAGGCAGACTGGTGGGTTTGAATCCCTGCTGCACCAGGGCTGGGCCTCAGCCAGAATGCACAGGTGTGGGCCTCCCAGTCATTTATAATCTACAGCCTCTGATTGTTCAGCATCCTCACCAAACTGCTTGCTCAACACACTCTTTAACTTTTTATTATGGAAATTTCCAAACATGAAAAAGAGAATAGAGGGAATGGTATAATGTGCCCCATCTGCTCAGACCAGCCTCTAACAATGATCAACTCATGGTCAATCTTGTCCATCTACAGCCCCAACTCCCCCACTCTACTGGGCTAAGAGTTCTAATTTACCCCAGATGCATCCATTACTGCTTGATGAACTTTGGCAAATTACTTACATTTGTGATTGTCTCCGCATCTCTGAGTTAAGAGCGTCTTCTCCCAGGGAGCTGTGAAGGATAAATGAGATAATATTTAACCTGTGAAGGTTAAAAGTGAAAGTCTTAAGAGCGGAGCTCGAAAAAAATGTAACATTAGCTTACTACTATTTCTCTCCTGGAATTCTAAATGTAACCAGCACATCGAACCAGAGTATTCACTAGGTGTAAGGATCACATTGTTTGGTCTTCTGATATTCCTTGCAATGAATTCCATGCACTGGGTTTTTCTCTGCCCCAATAAAAAGCTGGGCAGTTTCTTGGCTTTTCTGGCCATTCTTAAGTAACACACAGTCTCCTGCTAGTCATTAGAATGTCAGTTCCATCTAGAAGTCGAAGTTTACAGCTTCATTCAGACAACCAGCCCCTCCTCCTCCCAGCCCAGGCCTGTGCAGGAAGCAGACTGCACTTGAGCTGGAGATGGTACTGCTCCTCTTCTGCTCTACTTCCCTCTCATCTGTTCCCACTTAACACCCCACCCCAAACACGCGCGCACACGCGCGTGCACAAACACACACACACACCCCCTTTAGGATCTACTTTAGAGCTGCAGGAAGAGTGAAAATTTGAGCTGGGGATGTTCCAATTTGATCAGCAGATATTTGCACTGACTCTTTTTTGCAGAAGGATTTCTAGATTCTTTGGAGAAATCTTCCCCCGTCCCTGAGGATTTCTTGCCTGTCGTTCCCATCATATGGACAAATGCCAGCTGGCTTCTTACCCCTTTGCCACTCCCTAGGAATCCAGCAATACCTCAAACTTCTCTGATTAAGGTTTTTCCCTCTAAGGACTCTATTTTGCAAGACCTAACATCTCCCCACTGTGGTATCACCCATGTGGACCAAATGGGAATGCTCATGACTTCTTTACCCCAAGAAACTGTGTGTGTACACCCCAGTTCCTATGTGCCCGCCTGTCAGCTCACTGACAGCAGCTGGTCAGCGTCTCTCTGCCTTTTTTTTTTTTTTTTTTTTTTTTTTTTTTTAGATGGAGTCTAGCTTTGTCGCCCAGGCTGCTGGAGTGCAGTGGCTCAATCTCGGCTCACTGCAACCTCCACCTCCCAGGTTCAAGCGATTCTCCTGCCTCAGCCTCCTGCATAGCTGGGATTACAGGCGCACGCCACCATGCCCAGCTAATTTTTGTATTTTTAGTAGAGATGGGTTTTCCCTGTGTTGGCCAGGCTGGTCTCGAACTCCTGACCTCGTGATCCACCTGCCTCGGCCTCCCAAAGTGCTGGGATTACAAGCACGAACCACAGCACCTGGCCGTTTCTCTGCCTTTTCTACCCAAGAAACTCTGTGTGCACACCCCAGTTCCTATGTGCCTGTTCTCGGTCAGCTCACCAACAGCAGCTGGTCAGCATCTCTCTGCCTTTCTACTTCTCAGGTGGAAGTCAGAGGCCAGTTCAGCCCCACACTGTGGGGAACATGCCTCAAGTTCTCCAAAGAGTCTCTGTGAAAATCCTCAAACTAACCTCACAGTGGGAGCAGATATCCTCACCCTGTACCTGGCAAAGGGTTGGGACTAACAGCCACAATAGCCTGCTCCTGAAGGGTATAATGCATCCCATTGCTAACACCAGCCTTCAACAATTATCAGCTCATGGTCAATCTTGTCCATTAGTCCATGAGTCCTGGTGTTAAGGATTCACATGGACTAGAAGGGTCTGTCCTGCCTCCCAATGCCAGGTGGAAGGAAAACTGGAGCATCTGCCCAGGCAAGAACACTGCGACTTTTATTGCTGCCACAGGGCCACATGTGAAAACCTGTTCAGCACATTTGAAAGGTATCCACCCAACAATGGCTGCAGCCTCCTTAGTCCCAGCAGGGACTGGATGGTGTCCCACCTTTGGGCTCCCAGCTCTGCTTTCATGGGTCATGGTCAGATGCTCAGTTTCTCTTCCCAGGAGAAACCACCCGGCAGGTTGGCTGGGTCTAGAAAGCTTCCAAATTTGGCCACATGCTTTGCCAGGTCCAAGATATTCATTGGTTGTAAAATGCTATAACCACACATTAAAATGAGACTCAACCCATTGGTTCACCTGAGGCTCAAGACACTACATTCCCATGAGACCTCTGTACAGAAATTTCAATGCAGATTTTAAAATCTATTTGTGCAGTTTTTAAACACCCTCATCCATTTTGGGGTTGAGACTTGGAAATTGAGAGGGAAGGTTTATGAAGGGGATTTTTGGATTTTTATGGGATTTTTGCCATTAAAAATAATGGCAAAACTACAATTACTTTTGCTCCAACCTAATAAAACATAAGGGAAGAAAATGCAAGTGAATCTTCATAAAATATTCAGGTAGAATAACATGACATAAAAGGCAGAAATAAAGGAAAGTAATATCATGAATGATCTTATAAATTTCTGTGAAAAACAGGAAAACCACCACCACAAACTAATAACATTGACATCCTGGGGGAAATATTCTCAATCTGTATGAACTTTACTATATAAAGATCTCTTAAAAATAAGAAAAATATTCTAAGGGGAAGATAAAGAGACATTTAATTCAAAAAAGAATAAAATATGTAAAGTTTTAATCTCAGAATTAACAAACTGAAGGTTAAATAACCACATCATGTTATTTTTCATCTACATGTTGAAGGATAAAAAAGAAGAAGAAGTGTGAGACTGGGGAACTCTCATGTATTTCTTCTGGGAATGTAATTTGGTACAACATTCCCTAAAAGACATTTCTTCCATATGAATTAGAAACTCTAAAAAAAGTACATGCCACTCGATGCAGTAATGGCTGCTCTGGTTTAGGATAAGGGCTGTATTTCAGACCAGGATGTGTACTCCGAGTTCGTGGGGAAACATAGGTTAGGCAAGAGCTGTCACAGGGAGGATGACACCATGTTTGGAGGTGTGGCCCCACCAGACTCTCTGGGCAAATTTCAATGGACCATGCTAGACCTGATACCCATATAAAGACCACATCCTAGGACCCCAGGGCTCCATCCTAATTTGCCTTTCTGTAGTCATCATTTTTCACTTCCCCTGCAAATACGTATTTGTCCCTCATCTCCAGAAGGTTAATTTAGAAACTAGAATAAAAGCAAAGGAACATACAAGCAAGTGTTTATTATAATGAGACTGGATTAAATTTGCTTCTATTTACTCATATTTCTTTATTACAAATATAGACATTCGGGCAGGGTGCAGTGGCTCACGCCTGTAATCCCAGCAGTTTGGGAGGCCGAGGTGGGTGGATCACCTGAGGTCAGGAGTTAAGACCAGCCTGGCCAACATGGTGAAACCCCATCTCTACTAAAATTACAAAAATTAGCTGGGCATGGTGGCGGGCGCCTGTAATCCTAGCTTCTAGGGAGGCTGAGGCAGGAGAATTGCTTGAACCTGGGAGGCGGAGGTTGCAGTGAGCCGAGATTGTGCTACTGCACTCCAGCCTGGGCTACAGAGCAAGACTCCATCTCAAAAAATAAAATAAAATAAAATAAAAAGGCAAATATAGACATTGAAACACATTCTGAGGATTCCCTACATTTTCCCCAGTAGCAGAAAAGTACCTGCCAATGAGATGGCATTAGCTTAGGGGAGAGTCTGTCAATAAACACCAGTCTGCTCTTCACTGTCTGCATTTTGAAGCAGAGATATAGAGAAGAGCCAGGCAGGAGATGAAAATACCAGCCTTATCGCTGACCAAAGCCCACTGGAGATATGGCTTAAGATCTCAGCGAGGAGCACTTACTAATATTTTGCCATTGAATTAGCACTCACCTGGCCGGGACACAGCTGGACACCCACAGGGTGTGGTCCTTATAGGCAGTCCCTGACAGACTGGAGCACACTCTCCCTGCAGGTGGGCAGGCTCAAGAAGAAGAAAGTAAAGAGCTGGGCTGGAAACATCTAGGTCGTCCTCCAGTAGTCACCTGGAGCAACTGACTTCTCTTCCTCCTGGAAGGAGTGAGTGACAGATGAAGTTAGGAGGTCTCCGCCCGGCTTAGTTGTTCTCAGGCCCATTCTACCTGCACACCAGAGCTGTCTGAGGCTCCTTAAACAGCATAGACACCAAAACACTATCCCCAGAGGTTCTGATCAGCTGGCCCAGGTGGAAACCAGGCACCAGCTTTTAAACGCTCCACAGGTGATTCTGATGTGCAATCCCTATTCTAGCCAAAGTCCTCCCTCGTGGAAACCTCATGTGTCAGGAATCAGCGCAACAGTTTGAATGAGGAGGTGCAAAATACAGCTCCGAGGACAACTTGTTGAAAACATCCTACTAAGCCATCCTAGAAATGATTCTAGAAGCTCCATTATCAATTTTTCCTGTGATTAGCAGATGATCTACCTATATTGCTCCAACTCATGGTTCCCGCCAGGCTTCCTGGATGATGAAAGAATGTGTGAAGAGCAGGTGCAAACAGTGGAGCTGTTGCATTTTTCCCAACTCATTCAAGTACTGCTGGGGATCTCCACAGGACTGGCTCCTGACGCTGACATGTCATATACAGAGAAACACCGTGGATCTCTCACTCTAAGGCAGAGCTTTTTTTGAGGATCTACCCCAAGCTTGCATTCAATAGGGTCTAACAGAGACAGCTCACATGAGGTTCCTAATCACACAGTATTTATTTTTTATTATTTATTTATTTATTTATTATTTTTTGAGATGGAGTCTTGCTCTGTTGCCCAGGCTGGAGTGCAGTGGCATGATCTTGGCTCACTGCCACCTCCGTGTCCCGGTTTCAAGCAATTCTCCTGCCTCAGCCTCCCACCTATCTGGGATTACAGGTGTGCTCCACCACGCCTGGCTAATTTTTGTATTTTTTAGTGGAGACAAGGTTTCACCATGTTGGCCAGGCTGGTCTCGAACTCCTGACCTCGGGTGATCCACCTGCCTCGGGCTCCCAAAGTGCTGGGATTAGAGGCTTGAGCCACTGCACCAGGCCGCTAATCACACAGTATTTAAATTAAAGGGAGGTAGATCCAGAGACATCACTGTTTAACAATATGTGGGTTGTAAATAATTAGTGTTGATTTGTGCGGGGAAATGGCAATGATTTATAGGCATTCACCATAACAAAGAAGGCCTTTCATTAGAGCTTGCTACAACTAAAACAAGTATTTAGAAACTGATCCATGCTAATGATCTGTTCATGTACTTGGAGGTCAGGGTTAACTGTTATGCACTTCACTCAGATGTGCAAAAATACACACTAGTGTTCTTTTTTTTTTTTTTTTTTTTTTTTTTTTTTTGAGACAAGAGTCTGGCTCTGTCGCCCAGGCTGGAGTGCAGTGGCTCACTGCAAGCTCCGCCTCCCAGGTTCACGCCATTCTCCCGCCTCAGCCTCCCGAGTAGCTGGGACTACAGGCGCGCGCCATCATGCCCGGCTAATTTTTTTTGTATTTTTTAGTAGAGACGGGGTTTCACCGTGTTAGCCACGATGCTCTCGATCTCCTGACCTCATGATCCGCCCGTCTCGGCCTCCCAAAGTGCTGGGATTACAGGTGTGAGCCACCATGCCTGGACACACTAGTGTTATTTTCTATCATTCCTCCCCCTGTAGGTCAGAATCCCTGAACTGAGACTGATGAGCTTGGTGGGACCAGGAAATGGGGCTCCTTTTTTTGGTGGTCTCTGGCCCCCTCTTCCAGCTTGATGACATCTGAGGGAGAGGAAGGTAACTTAACCTCACTGCATCAGGGGGCCAGGAAGTGGCAAATTTCCTAATGAAAGGTGTCTGGGGCTCCTTTTCCGTGGTCCTTGGCCCTTTCTAGCTTGATGACATCTGGGTAGAGAGGAAAGTGACTTAACCTCACCGCATTGGGGCAGGGAGGACCTTGAGCCCACATGCTGGTCCCTGTGTGTCACCTCTCTCCCCGCTTCACGCCGAACCTCTTCTGATTTTGAGTTTTGAGAAGCTGACCTGTAAGGGCCACGTCCATAGGGGCATCGCAGGAGATGGGAGAGAGGGGGTGACTTGCCCTCGTTTTTTTCTCTCAAGTGTCACTGGGGGCTGCCTTGTCCTTTGTCAAGGTCTCAGCTGGTGGGAGGTACCCTCTCCATACACCATTCCCCTCTCCATGCACCCTCCCCCTCTCCATACACCCTCCCTGTCTCTGGCTTCAGTGACCGAGGATGCTGAACTGCCCCCTGCGGGGCTCCTGCCCTCAGATGCACCTTTGGAAATAGTTCCTTTCTCCCCCTCTAGTCCAGGTGTCTTTAACTTCGGTGTTCTCTGTCCCTGGAAGGAATTCTGATGAGAATCTGGGGCCCCCTCAGGCCTCCGAGCCACGTCCTGATTCCACTGGTGCCCGTCTGGCCCTACTGCTAACTCCTGAACTACGGAAACTCAGGCAGCTCCCCCAGCACACCCTGGGACCTGTGGGCCCCATGCTGGTTCTCACTAGAGCTGCTGGTCCTCAGGGTCTCAGTCACAGACAGCAGCTCACCCAGCAGCCTTGGCCATGGTGTCTGCCCACATCTGCCACGGGCCCTGGGTGGGCGTGACTTCGGACTCTCAGCCCCTCCCTCTGGACCACTCCCTGCTGCTGTGGTGACAGGGGCAAGCTGTTCTCCTCCTGGAGCCCCAGTGGGACAAAAGCGCCCTGCTTACCCCTTTCCTTCCTGTTTTTCCAGGGTCTGTAGCCTTTTCCTACCCCCAGGGAGCTCAGTCCGAGGAGGCCTCAGGACTCTGACTTTCCACTTCTTTGCCCTCCTCGCCTCCCCGCAGCCTGCCAACTCGAGTGGGCTTTCTCCTCCCTTGCATGCCCCATGGGGGTCTCCTCTAGGTCAAACGTGCCCCTTTCCCCATCCTATGAACCTCTTTGCTCTGGAGGGCTCACCCTCTTCTTCCTTGGGACGCTAAGCCGTATGCTGCGTCTTATATAGGGCACAAGGAGAGAAGCATCAATACTGGAATTCCCCCACACCAGTGAAGGTTCAGAAAATCATCTTTGGTTAACATTTGGGAAGTATTTTGCTGAGAACTTCAGGCTATAATGGCGGTAATAGCCCTCCTAAAAAATAACTTGGGAAAACAAAGACAGGCTCCTCCCCATCCCCTGCACCCACCGCAGGACTTCTCAGAGCCTTTACTACCCTGCTGTGCTTCAAGGCTCTCTTGGGGGTATGTAGCTCGAAGTATTTGACCACAGATCTTTTTTTTTTTTTTTTTTTTAAAGAACGTCTCATGAGATGAGTGTTCTGCCAAACACTCTCTGGAAAGCACTGTTCTAATAGGATTAAATTTAGAATGTCAAAGTTCAAAACCATTTCAGAAGATAAGAGCAAGCTAAACATATTTCTCTAAGGCAAAGGGCAGACAGGAAAGTGAGCAGGAGGCAGCATTAAAGCTGAGAGCATAAAACACGGCAGCATAGCAGGACAACAAATGGATTAAACCCACTTATTAAAATTCCAAGAGTCTCCCTGACATGGTACTTATAAAAATACGCCCAAAGAGGGAAAAACAGGGAAATGAAAAATGAAAGGATGAACAAATATATGACATGCAAATGTTAGCATACATAAAGAAGATAGAAACATAACTGAAGAGAAATTAAATTTCAAGCAAATACTGTTGAATGGGACAAATAAGACCATTTTAGTGGATGCAAAACCCAAAGCAATGTAAGAAAATAATTGTGTTAGAGCTTTGGTGTTGAATCAAAACCAGTAAAGCAAAAATGATTTTAATTCCAAAGAATGCTGAACAGAAAAGCAGTGGTAAAATTTTAAACTAATATTGTTAGTCCAAGAAAGCTTAAACACCCAGAAAATACATATGAGCACAGCAGATTTGATCAATGTAATTAATAAAGAAAAATTTATAGACATATATAAACTTTCTTTATAGACATATATAAGTGTCTATGAAAATTTGGAAAATTGGTCATGGCCTCACCCCTACAGAACATATATTCCCCAAAAGTAGAAATTGTACAAAACATATTTTTAAACAACATGCAAACAAACCTACAAATTAATAACCTGGGTTTAAAAGAAAGTACCCAAATCACTCACAAATTCAAAAATAAATAAAAATGAAAATCATTTATCTAAAAACCTGTAGGATTAAGAGCTAAATTAAAATATACAATGGTGGATAACTTAGATGAGAATGAAAATGAGAATGCACCATTTTAAAATGCATATGTCTTAGTTAATAAGGTTATCAGACAGAAAGGCACAACTTTTAAGAAAAGGAATGACAGTAAGTTTCTAGACTAAATATTCACCTCGGATTGTGTGTGTGTGTGCATGCGTATGTGTATGCATGTGTGTGTATGTGTGTATGATCTATTTATTTATTTGCTATGATTAAAAAACAAAATTAGTCCTAGGGAAACCAGGAGAAAAGAAATAAAAGAAATATGACAGAAATTAGTTAACTGTGAAAAAAAGAAATCTATAAATGGAATCAAAAGCTGCTTCTTTTTACAAAATCAATAAAATGGACAAATCAAATTTAATTTTTAACAATCCACCATACAAAGACATAAAATTAGAAAGTTGTGATTGCGGTCAGGTGTGGTGGCTCACGCCTGTAATCCCACCACTTTGGGAGGCCGAGGCCAGCAGATCACCAGGTCAGGAGATCGAGACCATCCTGGCTAATACAGCAAAACCCTGTCTCTACTAAAAAGTGCAAAAAAAATTAGTCGGGCATGGTGGCATGCACCTGTAGTCCCAGCTACTGGGGAGGCTGAGGCAGGAGAATTGCTTGAACCTGGGAGGTGGAGGTTGCAGTGAGCCGAGATCATGCCATTGCACTCCAGCCTGGGCGACAGAGTGAGACTCCATCTCAAACAAAAAAAAAAAGAAAGAAAGAAAGTTGTAATTGTAACAAAAGGTATAATGCTATTTCCGAAAGCTATGAGTCCGTCTACTTAGCAGAATTGAAACTTGAAAATATCAATAAATGAAAACATTCTGTGGGATTTTTTTAAATAATAGAAACTTTTCCATGCTCGTAGATAAAAATAATCAATATAGTTAAAACGGCCATACTGCCCAAAGCAATTTATAGAGTCAATGCTATTTGTATCAAACTACCATTGACATTCTTCACAGAACTAGAAAATAATATTTTAAAATTTGTATGGAACCAAAAAAGAACCCAAACAGCAAAGACAATCCTAAGCAAAAGAATAAAGCTGGAAGCATCACACTACCCGACTTCAAACCATACTACAGGGCTACAGTAACCAAAACAGCATGGTACTGGTACAGAATCAGACATATAGAGCAAAGGAAGAGAATGGAGAACCAAGAAAAAAGGCCACACACCTACAACTATCTGATCTTTGACCAACATGACAAAAACAAGCAGTGGAGACAGGATTCCCTTATTCAATAAATGCTGCTGGGAAAACTGCCCAGCCATAAGCAGAAGATTGAAACTGGACTCCTTCCTTACACCATATACAAAAATCAACTCAAGATGGATTAAAGACTTAAATGTAAAACTCGAAACTATAAAAACCCTGGAAGACACCTAGGCAATACCATTCTGGACATAGGAACAGGCAAAGATTTCATGATGAAGACACCAATAGCAATTGCAACAAAAGCAAAAGTTGACAAATGGGATCTAATTAAACTAAACTTCTACACAGAAAGAAAACTATCAACAGAGTGAACACACAACCTACAGAATGGGAGAAAATTTTTGCAAGCTATGCATGTGACAAAAGTTTAATATCCAGCATCTATAAGAAACTTAAACAAATTTACAAGAAAAAAACAACCCCATTAAAAAGTGGGCAAAGGACATGAAAAGACACTTTTCAAAAGAAGACATACCTGCAGCCAAGAAGCATATGAAAAAAGTCTCAACTTCACTGTTCATTAGAGAAATGGAAATCAAAAGCATAATGAGATAGCATCTGACATCAGTCAGAATGGCTGTTATTAAAAAGCCAAAAAAAAAAAAAAAAACAACAGATGCTGGCGAGGTTGCCAAGAAAAAAGAACACTTATACCCTGTTAGTAGGAGTGTAAATTAATTTAGCCATTGTGAAAGACAATGTGGTGATTCCTCAAAGACCTAAAAACAGAAATACCATTTGACCCAGTAATCCCCTTATTGGGTATATACCCAAAGGAATATAAATTTTTCTACCATAAAGACACATGCATGTGTATGTTTATTGCCCTAGCACTATTCACAATAGCAAGGCATGAAGTCAACCTAAATGCTCATCAATGGTAGACTGGATAAATGAAATGTGGTACATATACCCCATGGAATACTATTCAGCCATAAAAAAGAATGAGATCATGTTCTTTGCAGGAACATGGATGGAGCTGGAGGCCATTATCCTTAGCAAACTAATGCAGGAACAGAAAACCAAATACCATATGTTCTCCCTTTAAGTAGAAGCTAAATGATGAGATTTCATGTGGACACACAGAGGGAACAACACACACTGGGAACTTTTAGAGGGTGAAGGGTGGGAGGAGGGAGAGAATCAGGAAAAATAACTAATGGGTACTAGGCTTAATACTTGGGTGATAAAATAATCTCTATAGCAAACCCCCATGACACAAATTTACCTATATAACAAACCCGCACGTGTACCCCAGAAAGTAAAACAAAAGTTAAATAAGAAAAGCTTTTAAACAACAGGGCCACTAATGAAAATGTATCACAGGGATTTTCAAATAATTACTCTTTAAAGGCTCTGGCTTTAGTTATCCTTTCAAGTAAGTTACATAATTTCACAGGCAATGTGTTTTTGAAATGCTAACCTAAAGCTGATTTCAACATGGATTAGCACAGCAGAGATATGACAATTGTAAATCAGTCTCATGTATAAAGATCCTAATCAAAATTTTACCACAAACCTCCATACTAAATCTGAACATACACATACACAGATATGTAGGATTTATTCCAGGATTAGGAAGATGTTATAAAATTTAAATAATGCATTAAACTGACATATGAAAAAAGAAAAAGATATAGAACCATTTCAAAAGGTGTTGACAATAATTTCAATACATTTTAGTCCCCTTTCCAGATACAACTTTTTGAAAAGTAGGACTGGAAGGATTCTTGCCTAGAAGATTAAGAATCGTTCTCTCCAAACAATGCTCATTATCACAGGAGGAATTCACTTGAGGTGCACTCAGTGAAATCAGGAGAAAATGAGAATTGTGAGTATGGCTACAATTTTTTTTTTTTTTTTTTTTTTTTTTTTTTGGGACAGAGTTTTGCTCTTGTTGCCCAGGCTGCAGTGCAATGGCAAGATCTTGGCTTACTGCGACTTCTGCCTCCCGGTTACAAGCAATTCTCCTGCCTCAGCCTCCTGAGTAGCTAGGATTACAGGAATGCACCACCATGCCCGGCTAATTGTGTATTTTTAGTAGAGACGGGGTTTCATGAGGTTGGCCAGGCTGGTCTTGAACTCCTGACCTCAGGTAATCCGCCTGCCTCGGCCTCCCAATGTGCTGGGATTACAGGCGTGAGCCACCGCACCCAGGTATGGCTACAAATTTATTCATTCACAACAACAAATATTTGTTGTAGGCCTGCTAGGTTCTGGGCATTATAGGTGTTGAGAACACCTGCAATTTAGTGTTCGGTTATCTCATGGTCATGTTATTGCTGTAACTGTTATCTCATGATTATGATTGCTATCATTATATTAGTCATTGTTAGGATGATTATATGTCCATAGTAGCAAAGCATCCTGCAATGTACCATGTCAGAAGAGAATTCATCAAAGTATATGGATAAAACCAATACCCAAAAGACCTTTCCCATATACTTTAAATCCTGAGTTAGAGAAGGCATGATAGAAAAAGAATCCTATTCACTGTAATAACATGAAAGATTCCATAAAATACCTCAAAATAATCTCAAAAACAAACATATGTGATAGAATTTAAAAGCTGCATTGAGAGCTGTAAAAGAACCATTGAGAGGAAGGAAAGAATAAACATTCCATATTTCTCAGTGGTAAGGCAGATATTGGTAAAAACGTCAATTTTCCCCAAGTTATTTTTTAAGTTTAGACAATACTACAATTTGAACGTATCCCCTTCAAAATTTAGGTGTTTACAATATGATAGTATTAAGAGGTGGGGTCTATAAGAGATGATTAGGCCATGAGGGCTCCTTCCTCAGGAAACGGATTAAGGCCCTTAGAAAAGAAGCTTCACGCAGCATTAGTTTGCCTTGCTCTCTTGCACTTCTGCCTCTGCCATGTGAGGACACAGCAACAAGGTCCTCTCCAGAGGCCAATGCCATGATCTTGGACTTCCCAGCCACCAGAATCCTGAGAAGTAAATTTGTTTTCTTTCTAACTTACTCAATCTTAAGTATTCTGTTATAGCAGCACAAAGTGGACTAAGACAGATGATTTCAACAAATAAATAGAGATTTTTTGCTTGCTTGTTTGTTTTCTAACTTAAAATCATATTCTATTTTTTTTGGTCTGGAAGAGTAAGCAGACCAAAGAAGCAAATAAACAGTTCTTAAAAGAATATGGTGGGGAAGGCTAGGTCCATGTTAAGAGACAAACACTCCGTTCAGACACCTGGCCAACATTTATTGCATCCTGGTGTGCAGCAGGCACAGTTGTAGCTACGTGTGAGGCCACAACAGTAAATGAAAGAAAATCTGCTTCTGCCCTCTTGGAACTTAGAATCCTCCACTCCATCAGGTGGTGGTAAGTGCTGTGAAGAAAAGGACACAGGGTAAGGCAGTAGACAGTAACCAAGGGCATAAGCTGGAGCTATTTTTGATTGGGTGGTTGCAGAAATATGTCTCAGGAGGTGACTGACAGAGACCTCCGTGAAGAGTAGGCCCAGTGGCTGTATGGGAGAGGAGAGTTCTGTTGGAAGAAAGAGCACAGGCTTAGGATAAGGTCTTGATAGGTTTGAGGAACAGCTAAGCCATCAGTGTGACAGGGAGACCTGTAAGAAATGAGGTACTGAGGTAGCCAGGAACCAATGCATAGCAGAGGACTTTAAAGTGGTGCGTGGTCATTGTCCAAATTTTCCCATATGGGTCTAGTTTATACCTGCTGACTGCTCCATAATTAATAGTGCTCCTTTCTTCCTTATACAGAAGAACCAGAACTTTATATACAATCCATAAGCAAAATTAAATTCAAGCAGGATTGTAGATCTAAGCATGAAAGCCTGTAGGAAAAAAAAATCACAGGAAAATAATTTCCTGAACTTGTGTTAAGTAAGCAAGGATTTTCAAGTCAAGATACCAAGCATAGTAGCCATAAATAAGGTGAACTTGTATTAAGCAAGGATTTCCTAGCCAGAGTACAAAGAGTGGTAGCCATATATTAATAAATTGAACTTGATCAAGAAATTATTAACATCAGAAGACTATGAATAAGCCTGGGATATCTTGTCCATAAATCAAGGAAGTGTTAAAAGACCACCCCCCTCCAACATGACATGTGCAAACTGGCATCAAGGACCTTCCATTGGTGAAGTTTAGGACAGTTCTGTTTCTCAAAAGAATAGAAACAAAAGTGAATAAAAACATAATGAATATAAAGTGAAAACAGGAGTCCATACTGTACTAAACATATAAATTAATGAATAAATAAAAGTAAAACATTTTTTATAGTAGAATGACAACTAGTACACATAAAAGGCATGATGAGTTGAAAATTGCCATTTTTATAACCACTATATTAATAATTACTTCAGGCAAGAATTTGGGTGAATCTTTACTGGGAAATATGATATCAACATGGTGTTAATCTCCCAATCAATTATGTATTAATTACATGGAAAGAAAATGAATCTTTTTAATGGAGAAATCTAGTTGACACCTCTCTGTCTGAATGATCAGAATGATGTCACAAGCTTTCTGAAGTGATGCATTGAGACGTGGACACAGCCTCAATTATGAAATACTCTGAGAAAATAAGTACCTTTAATTTAGTCTCAGAGAAGAAACCAGAAATAGCCAAATTAGAGCACTTTCTACAACATGAATATGCTATATTCTTAAAAAATGTCAATATCATAAAAAAACAAAAAAGGCTAAGAACCTATTTCAGATTAGAGAAGACTAAACAGATGTGAAAACTAAATGCAGCATGTGATAGCACATTACGAGAAAATGCAACATGTGATGCCACATTAGGAGAAAATGCAGCATGTGATACCACATTAGGAGAAAATGCTATTCCAGAGACATTATTGAGATAATTGCCAAATTTTTATGATAATATGTGATATAATATTAATATAAAAATGTTAAATTTCTTGGATTTGATATAGTAATTTTGAAAGAAAATGTCTTTGTATTCAAGATATACTTAAGTATTCAGCAACAAAGGGTCATGGTGTCTACAGCTTACTCTCAGTGATTCAGAAAAAAGCTGATCAGTACATAGGTAGGTAGACAGAAAAATACAACAAATGTGGCAAACATTTTACAGTAGAATGGCAACTCATAAATGTAGAAGGCAAAATAGAGTTGATTTTGCAACCACCATAGTAATAATTACTCCAGATAAGAATTTCGGTGAATATTGACTGGGGAACATGATATCAACATGATTCATTCTCAATGATTCACAAAAAAGTTAATATATAGAGAGATGGAGAGAAAAATACAACAAACATGATTAATGGTTAACAACTGATGAATCTAGATGAAAAGATCTATGAGTATTCAGTAGGAAATTCTAGCAACTTTTTTGTAGATTAACATTTTTTCAAAATTAAAAATTAAAAAAATATAAAAGACAGAAATTAAAAAATTAAGCCGAAGGAAAAAATCTAGTAGAAAAATGAACAAAAGTTATTGAATAATTGGCTGATAAGTACTTGAAAGTGGGGGTTCACATCATTAATCATGAAGGACAGAATTAACAGTATCCAGTAAATAAACTGTGGATTGTTATGAATACTATACAGCAATGAAAAGAAACAAGCAATTGCTGAACAACAATATGGATACAATGCACAAACCTAACAGCAATTAAAAAAAAAAAAAAAAACACCCAGACCAAAGAGTATATAGCATGTGATCCATTGATATAAAACTTCAGGGATGGACAAACTCATCTATGAATTTAGAAATTGGGGCCTACAGGGGCTTCTAGGGTGCTGCTAATATTTTGATTCTCTCTCTGAGTGCTGATTACACCAGTGGGTTCACATTGGGAAAATCAATCCCACTATATGCTTCTTATGTATGTTTGTTTCTTTATGTTACTATAATAAGTAAAACATTTTTTAAATAAAAAAGTAGGGTGTTTTTTGTTTTTTGTTTCTTGGTTTTTTTGAGACAAGGTCTTTATCTGTAATCCAGGCAGGAGGGCAGTGGCACAACAACAGCTCACTGCAACCTCTACCTCCTAGGCTCAAGCAATCCTCCCACCTTGGCCTCCCAAGTAGCTGGGACCACAGGCATGCGCCACCAGGCCTGGCTAATTTTTTTAAATTATTTTTTTAGAGACGGGGGCATCTCACTATATTGCCCAGGCTGATTGCAAACTCTTGGGCTCAAGTGATCCTCCCATCTTGGCCTCCCAAAGTGCTGGGCTTACAGGCACACACTGCACCCAGCCTAAGAATAATCTTATACTGGAAAAAAAACCTTTCATTTCAAACTCAAAAGAAGAGAAATAGCAGTCGTTTGCCAGCTTACTTCACTCTCGCTCATTTCCTGAAGTACAGACTGGATAGTCCCTGCTGTTTGCTCTGGAAATGGAAAAAGATGAGTCACGCTGATGAATGCAGCATAGTTTTGAGAGGAGCTTTGAGTAATTCCCACATGAAAAAGAACCCGAAATTAATCACTGGCTATTAACACAGGACAAGTGTTTGAATTAGTAGCCAACAAAATAAAACAAAACGTATTCAAACTTGTTTGGAACAGAGGATTTACACTTGAGACGTGTGTTCCAGACACAAGAAGTGTGTCTTCACACTGCATCAGCAGGAGTTCCACCAAGCACGGGCTCAAGGCTGTCAAGGCTATTTCAACTGCACAGACAGCACCAAGCTGCCACACAGACGGCACCAGGCTGCCACACACACGGATCTAGGAGTTTCAGTCTTGAGATTTGTAACTGCGATACTACGAATTGCTTTTTTAAAATTCTAGACAGGGCTCAATGGCTCACACCTGTAATCCTAGCACTTTGAGGGGCTGAGGCGGGAGGATCACTTGAGGTCAGGAGTTTGAGACTAGCCTGGCCCACAAAAGAAGACCCTGTTTCTACAAAAGATAAAAGAATTAGCCAGGCATCGTGGTGTGCACCTGTAGCTCCAGTAACCTGGGCGACTGAGGCAAGAGGATTGCTTGAACCCAGGAGTTCAAAGCTGCAGGGAGCTGTGATTGCACCACTGTATTCCAGCCTGGGTGACAGAGAAAGACCCTGTCTCAAATAAATAAATAAATAAATAAATAAATAAATAAATAAATATTCTATCAGTATCCCATAGTTTGATTTTTACCCTTAGCATTGGTAGCTAATGACAGCAGAAAGTATTAATAGATTACAAAAGCATGGTACTATTAACCTGAGAAGACAAAGTGAAATTTAAGAACACACCCTCTAAAAGCAAGACCTTCAGTCCAGTCTTACCATTGCATCCTGCAGTTGGAGGACCTGAAGTCTCGGAAATGTTGTCCAGGAAGTTCACCTCAAAGTCTTGCTGAACAGCAGTACTTGGGTGGTTTCCCATTATTTGGGGTCTCCCCCATGTCCAGAATTTTGATTGGTCAGCACACCCAGAGCTGCCCAGTCTCCTTCTAGCTAAATTCAGCAAATCCTGGAAATTGCTTGAGAATGCCAACCTACAAATTTACAATGAGAACCAAGGAATGAATTTCATAAAGTTGAATACATTTATGGTCATCCCATTAACAAGTCTATATAAGAAAACAATATATAAATGCAAGATTACTTTGTGAGCATAGAATAAAAATAGAAGCAATTAACTGGATGTTCTTAGTGGCTAAAATCAAGGCCCATAATGGCCAGGAAGATAGGGTTTAGGTAGTTATAATGTATGTCGGGCTCTTCTTTAAAGAGGGCAAAATTCAGGTTCAGGATGGGTTTGGACCTTGGTCCTGCCTGTTTCTGTTTGCATCACCCAGAGTAAATCACCAGATCTACATGAACCTGTGTCCTGATCTATACAGTGTTGATGTTTGTGCCTATTGCCAGGATGAGTGGAAGGACTGAGAGTTGAGACCTGTTAGGCTGCACACACATACTACATGACCAATCTCAGTCTGCTCTAGCCCTTGTCACTTCTCGGGTGCCAAGGCTCACATCCTTTGCAGTATGCAGTGTATACCTGTTCCAAAGGGCGGTATGATCAGAATCAGTGTTGTTCCAATGAATGAGATTCCCTCCAGGGTGCCAGGCATCCCCCAGGGCACATACAGGCCTTGAAGTATTGGTCTTCCTTCAGTGCCCACCTTGCTATTTCAGGTGATGTCACAGGCTTCCTGCATGTGGATGTCACAGACTCCTGGTTTACTCCCTGGTTTCTTTGTTGAGATGAATTCACTGATTCCTATTCCACGTGGATAGATCTTGATGGCCTTTCCATAGCTTACCAGTTTCCTCTTCCTTGGGTCCTACTGGGCTTTCTTTCTTTTACCCCAAGCCAGTATCTTGGTTTCTGCCAGTGTTGGAAATTTCTAGAAACTGATACAATTCGTGCAATAGGACTTGAAGTGCCTTGGAGGACAACATTGGCCCCACTCCAGCCCAGTTTGCTGTGTATGAGATATCTACAGCCTTCATTCAGAATACCAACCCACCACGACATGCAGCTGTAGGTGTTTAGGTAGCTCCTGGGTCTGTGGGTTGGCTGGGGTCAGCTAGCCTGGACTCAGCTTCAGTGGGGTGGCTCTGCACTGTGGGTCTGTCCTCCTCCTAACACTGGTAGGCCAGCTGGTCATACATATCCTTGGGAAGTGGCAGAAGTACACAGGTACAAGCAGAAACACATATGCACACTCGTGCCTGCTGCATCAAGTGGGCTAACAACCCCCTTGGCCAAAGCAAATCACAGGGTTCAGCCCATCATAAAGATGTGGGGAAGTTTCCCTGCCCATTGTGGGTGAGCACTGAGAAGCTACATGGTAAAGGGAGCAGATACTGGGAAGAACACCACATTCCCATTTGTTCTTACCTGTTTCCCAGCTGGTCAGAGGCTCTCATACCTTCGGTGCCTGGCACCAGTTCCCCTGAAGGTCCCTGCCAACCCTCATCCTGCCCTTATTCTGTGCTGCAATTGGCCACTTCTACTCATGCTCATGTCTCCCCTTGCTCCCCTTGCTCCTCATGCTCAGCTCCCCTCTCAGAGCTGCTGACTTCCATGGCCCCCAAATAAGTAGGGTCCCCCATTTCCTTCTTTCACACTGCTCTGAAGTTTTCCTTCCTAACACTTACTTCTGGGGCGAAAGGAAGTAAATTCTAGAATCAGAGGACCTCCACAGGCCTCTAAGGACCTGGGGATTCTCAGGTCTACATTTCTCGCTTTAGTGATGCATAGTCTGAGGCTCTGGGTGGATGGAACTCATGCTTACTTGGCTGGTGAGGAGTGGTCGAGAAAAAAATTTAATTCTGCTAACAAAGGCCGCAGGAGAAAAATGGACAGAGATCCTGACTAGCCAACTCATACAAGAAACACAAGCACTCAATGAGCACATAAAGAAAATAATATTTTACTTGCATTCATAACCAAATAAATAAAAGCAAATCATGTATATGTATATATGTAATTTTACTGGCTATAAATTTTCCGAACACTGAAATAACAAGCACATTTGGAGTTTATATAAAACATTAAATAGTACTGATGAATACTATGAATATTCAACTGGAATAGGACAACTAGAATAGTCCCTCAATGTGTTCCTTTGGTTAGTTTTTTTAGTTTATTTTGGAGGGGGGAGCATGTTAGTTTCAGCTCATCAGCAATATTTATGCCCAATGATCAGTTTGAAAAAAATGGAGCTGAGAGCCGCAGACAGAGACAATCGATCCACAGAAAACAAAGCAGGCAATCCATTGTTGCTAAGAAACGTCATCCTTAAAGGAACAGCAACTTAACTCATGCCCATCTGAAAACTTGGTCCAGATATTCCAAAGAGGAAGGGGAACCTACTCCAGGGTGAACCTGCTCCAGGGTGAACCTAACTCATGCCCATCTTCAAACTTGGTCCAGATATCCTGAAGGGGAAGGGGAACCTGCTTCAGAGTGAAGAAACCAGTTTGAAGTGGTAAGCAGGGACATGGATCCAGGTAGACACAGGCAGGAAAGATTCTGCAGGAAAGGCTTACATGCAGAATAAAATAACAAGAACTGACTTTGGAAACCTGTTGCATAAAATCAGTACAAATTCATAGACTATCTAAAGATAAACCTACCTGTCATCTTTAAGCCATGGCAACTAGAAACACTGCATTTTATAAAGTAACTGTGCAGCTTCGACTAAGACATAATTAAGCAGTAATTATCTGTTAGCCTTGGAGGACAGGGCTGGCTGGACAGATAGGTAATGGCATTATGCAGGGAGTGTAGTGGCTATCGTCATTTTCTTTTTTTTTCTTTTTTCTTTTTTTTTTTTTTTTTGAGACGGAGTCTCGCTCTGTCGCCCAGGCTGGAGTGCAGTGGCACAACCTCGGCTCACTGCAAGCTCCGCCTCCCAGGCTCACATCATTCTCCTGCCTCAGCCTCCCGAGCAGCTGGGACCACAGGCGCCTGCCACCACGCCCGGCTAATTTTTTGTATTTTTTTAGTAGAGACGGGGTTTCACCATGTTAGCCAGGATGGTCTCGATCTCCTGACCTCGTGATCCGCCCACCTTGGCCTCCCAAAATGTTGGGAGTGAGCCAACAAGCCCAAAGTGGCATGAGCCATGGTGCCCAGCCAGCTATCGTCATTTTCATTAGACACCTGGCAGAAGGCAATGGAAACCTTCCACAGAAAGGCTCCTCCTTCCCCCCAGGGAGACGAGGGTGTGAGATGCTGCAGATACAGGGCTTCCAGTTAGAAGCACAAGATTATCTGCCCTGTGGTTTGGTCCACTAAGACAAACTGGAATTTGTGACTCTTTCATATATACGAACTGATGAAGAGTCAGACCTCAAAGCTTGAGCTCTGGACAAGTGTGTAGAAAGAAACCAAGACTTAGCCAAAAGAAATCAGACCTCCTTGCACTGATAGAATGGACCAAAGCAGGATGGACCGCACAGGAGAGAATTGCAGAGCCTAGAGCTGAGGAACACAGGTCAACTGAACTGTGCTCTCAACCACACTGGCCCAGGAAGACCACCACTTCCTCAGGATGGTGGAGCTGCAGAAAGACACGTACGCGGGCTACAGGTCCTTGATGCACCCTTGCGTATGTATAGGCGTGATGAATTCTAGGTGGCTGTCTCATCAGCGTGGCTTCCATTATTCTTAAAAAAGCATTTTCTTACTTTCATAAAGATGTCCAGAATTTTCTTTTTAATTCCTTAGTGGTGTTATCTATATATAGCTGGATTAGATAGACCCTACTTGCTAATGATTATCACCATTTCCTGATGCCCAAATGTGTGAACCTAGAAAATTGCCTATAGGTGCTCTGTAAGTTTTCTGTCGGTAAGGAAGGAAGGAAAGAAGAAGAAGAGGAAGGAAAGAAGGAGAGAAGGAAAGAAGGCAAGGGAAGGGAAGGGAAAGGAAGGGAAGGGAAGGGAATGAAGGATGCAGGAAAAAGAAGGAAGGAAAGAAAGAAAGAGAGAGAGAGAAGGAAGGAAGGAAGGAAACTGCTTAAATTGCTGATTAACTTTCTCTCTCTCTCTCTCTCTCTCTCTCTCTCTGTGTGTGTGTGTGTGTGTGTGTGTGTGTGTGTGTGTGTGTGTTTGGATGTTATTTTTATAAGTGTCACTGGAGTTCCATCCCAACCATTGAACAAATTCATCCTAGGAAACACCTTTATGGCAGAGTAGGTTTGGAGAAGTACAGAAAAACTCTATTATCCTCTTTGTCTATGGAATGCTTTTGCTGTAATAAATTTCCTTCAGAAAAAATATTTCCAAAGGATTTTTGAGTGCTTTTAACTGCTCTTGACATTTGAGTGGATATATCTTTAAGAATCATCACCAAAACACTAACTTTATAAATTTAGAAAGTTAAATTCTCTAATGTGAAATCATGGCTATAGAAACACTGTGTGTGTGTGTGTGTGTCTGTGTGTCTGTGTGTGTGTATGTGTGGTCTGTGGCTTGTGTTTCTAGCCCAGAATATTCCGTGTACTCCACCTCCCCATGGTTTTTGGTCCAAGAAGCAGCCTGCTGCCATGTTCCTGTCTCCTGTCCTCCTACTCCATTCTCATCTCTCTTCCTGGTCTCCCACTGCTCCTTCTCCTGTGGGCTGCACATGTTCAGATCTCCGAGCTTCCATTGTATTTCTTTTGAAAATTCTGTACACCCTGGGCACATCCCTATGTCCAAAACACTCATGACTCTCAAATCTGTATTTTTAACCTCCTGTTTTCCTCCTGTCTCCCAACCGTGGAAGCCAAACATCCACTCCAGCATCCCAGCCTCAAGTCCCTTCCTCTTCAATCCATCCTTTTCTTCAGTGCATCCTCCTCACTGATCTCCATGTACATTTTTAAAGACTGATGTTTTGATTTAACCTGTTGCTTAAAGTCCTCCTCATCACCTAGAATATGGTTTGGCTCTGTGTCCCCACCTAAATCTCATGTTTATTTGTATTCCTCAATGTTGGAGGTGGGGACTATTGGGAGGTGATTGGATCATGGGGGTGAATCCTTCATGAATGGTCTAGCCCCAGCCCTTTGGTGTGCTCTTCTCAGGATGGAGAGTGAGTTCTTGTGAGATCTAGTTGTTTAAAAGTGTGCAGCACCTCCCGTCTCTCTCTTGCTCCTGCTCCAGCCATGTAAGAAGGCTTCCCCTGCATCTTCCACCATGATAAGTTTCCTGAGGCCTCCCCAGAAGCTAGCAGAAGCCAGTATCATGCTTCCTGTATAGCCTGAAGAACTGTGAGCCAATTAAAACTCTTTTCTTTATAAATAACCCAGTCACAGGTATTTCTCTTTTTTTGGAGACGGAGTCTCACTGTGTCACCGAGACTGGAGTGCTGTGGTGCAATCTCAGCTCACTGCAACCTCCACCTCCTGTGTTCAAGCAATTCTCCTGCCTCAGCCTCCCTGGGACTACAGGTGCATGCTGCCACACCTGGCTAATTTTTTGTATTTTAGTTGAGATGAGGTTTCACCGTGTTGCCCAGGCTGGTCTCGAACTCCTAAGCTCAGGCACTCTGCCCACCTCGGCCTCCCAAAGTGCTAGGATTACAGGCGTGAGCCACTGTGCCTGGCCTTCAGGTATTTCTTTATATCAGTGTGAGAATAAACTAATACAACCTACAAGCTGAAGTTCCTACTCCCATCTCTCCTCTTGTCTGCGATGATCTTTCCCAACTCTTCTCTTGCTGCTCCCAGACACTGTCGACTCTTCAGTCAACAGGAATGTGTGTAGGTCCTCCAATTCCAATGTTTTTCATGTCTGTGTGCCTTTACATGTGCTGACCTGGCCCTACTGCCCCTAATCCCTTCCCTTCCTGATTCCCCTCTATATTCCATCTCCTCCTCAGAGCCTCACTCAGCGCAGTCATTTCTGTTTTGGCCAGGCTTCCTCCTCTGTGCCCCTCCTATTAGCATTATTTAAATTTATTTGCTTATGTGTTTGTTCCTCTCCTGGAAGGTGAACCCCTCCATTGACTTCCTCATTAGCATAGTCCCTGGCATGTGGTATCTGCCTAATAAATGTTTACAGAGTGGATGCATGCGTGAATATCTGTGGATTTGGTTTCTTGACCATGGTTTCATGGGGAAAGCAACTGAGGGATATACGAAGTAGGTGCATTCCTAATAATTTAGGTAAGGCCAAAGGTCAATCTAATATAAAACTAAGCCAACCAAGGATACCTGTACTGAGTTGAATAGTTTTCCCCAAAATTAATGTTCTTCTTGGAACCTTGGAATGTGACCTTATTTGGAAATAGGGTGTTGTAAATGTAAGGTTCTATTGGAGTAGGGTGGGTCTTTAACTCAGTATGACCCATGTCATTATAAGAAGAGGAAAAGAGATGCAGAGACAGAGACATGTGGGGTGAACACCATGTGCCAACCAATAGAAGCAGAGATTGGAGCAACACATCTACAAGCCAAGAAATGCCAAGGGTTGCCAGAAACAGCAGAATCTAAGAGAAAGGCATGGAATAGATTCTCCACTGGAGCCTACAGAGAAAGTTTGGCCCTACTAAGAATTTTGACTTCAAACGTCTAGCCTCCAGAGTTGTAAGAGAAAAAATTCCCATTATTTCAAGCCACCCAGCTTGTGGCACTTTGCTTCAGCATTCCTGGGAAACTAATACACCACCTTTGCCTGAGTTCAGTAATCCCTAAGGAGGAGTAAGGGCATAGGATGCTGATGAATTACTGCATCTCTTTGCAAATAGGAAACAGGGTACTACACAAACCAGTTTATCAACGTGAAATGTGATATGCTGACTAACTAAAACTCTCTTCCACCTTTCTACAAATGCCTTCAATATAAGGATGATTATTGAGAACACATCTAACAGAAAAGTCACTGGTGATTGAATGAGAGGCAAAGATTGTGGGCCAAGGTCAGAGTTATTTTCTGTCTTCTCTTTCGATTGATCCCTTGAGCAATTTGGTCCTTCAAACAACCATGAGATTATGAGTGATCTGTGGAGCCACTTTAGCTTCAAATTCAGTGATTCTCAGAAAAGGGATAAGTCAGAGGACCAGAAAATGGCAAGGGGAAGGGGAAGAGCCTTAGGTCAGGGGGCAGCTGGGGGAAGGCAGGGTCTGGGGAGGGAAAGGAAGTGAATCCTGGAGTCTGGGAATGCCAGGCTTCCAGGGATCCAGAGCCCCCTTACCTCACTAGTAAGGAAATGCCCAGGAGAACGACTCCCTGCCCCCGACCAGACTTGGCCCACAATCCCGGCCGCCATGCTGGTTTTGTGTTTGTCTTTCTGAGATGCTGAGTTCTACCATTGCGTTTTCAGCCTGACTCCCTTCAATAGCCTCCCTCCATTATCTCTCCTCTTTCTTTCTAGCTCTTTCTTCATTTTACCACCAGCATTTTCCACCTCAAAAACAAATCCTATGGGGCCATTTCCTTTCTTTGAGGTGTTAGGGCTCACCTCTGTCCACAGAGGCAGCTCACACCCCTGCGTACCTCTCCAGACTCCTGTCCTACCTTTCCCTCCATCTCTACCCAGTCACGCTAAACTTCTAGTTTCCAGAATGCTTTTATAATGACCCCAGGCTTTTACCCTTTTGCAGTTATTTATCCTTTAAAATCTAGATCAAATATATGATATTTCAGTTAGTTGTGTTCACTTGTCCCCACAAAACTCCCTGAATAATGCACTCATTCATGCTTAGGGGCTTTTGAACTATTCTGTCACAAAAATTGTAAAAGTATTAATAAAAGTTTTTGTTTTAAATAATATCATTTGTTTCAATATCAGGAACTCTTATCATTATAATGGCTCTGAAATGCCTAGATTCTGTAATAAAATCTTAGCCCCATTGGGCTTGCAGATTCTTGGGAAGCTGTAATGTAGGGAGTAGGTAATAAAATATCTCAAACCCAGCTTGAAGAAGTAAATGTTGGCACATTTAAATTGTAGACAATGTCCCTTTTTACGATGTGGGATCTTTCACAGTCTTCTCTCAGATTAGCTCTCCCTGCCCCTACCATCACTATGACAATGCACACCCCGTAATGAGCAATGGACACTTTCTCAAGAGAGCTTGCAGGAGTGAGCTTGCCAGTCTAAAAGCAAAGAACGATACGTCATTACAGTGTTAACTTTCAGTTATCTGATTACTAATGATTCTGAGCCTGTCTTTGCACTCTTTGAAGTTTCTTGGGCTTTTTCTCTAACGTGCTTATTCATTATTGTCCTTTGCCCATTTTTTTTTCTACTGGGATGCTATCATTTCCTTATCGTTTTGCAGGAGTTCTGTGTGCTCTAGATAGCAATCTCCTGTTTATCATAGGTACAGCAAGAATCATCTCCTATTCTGTGATTTCTCAATGATTTCGTTTACATTGTTCTTTGATGAATGGAAATTATCAATGCTAATGTAATCAAATTAATCACATTTCACCTTCTGGCTTTGCTTTTGAAGTTTTACTGATTCAACTGGTGATGACAAAATGAGCCACTTTTATATTTGGACAGTTGATTACTTACAGATGGAAAGAAAAAGTGTTTAAGTCAAAGGTGCCGGCATCCCTCAGTCCTTGTCCCATACACCAAAAGGGTGACAAGAAAACAGAAAAGGTCCCATAAATATCTTCTTTTGAGAAGTGTCTGTTCATATCCTTTGCCCACTTTTTGATGGGATTGTTTGTTTTTTTCTTGTAAATTTGTTTGAGTTCATTGTAGATTCTGGATATTAGCCCTTTGTCAGATGAGTAGGTTGCGAAAATTTTCTCCCATTTTGTAGGTTGCCTGTTCACTCTGATGGTAGTTTCTTTTGCTGTGCAGAAGCTCTTTAGTTTAATTAGATCCCATTTGTCAATTTTGTCTTTTGTTGCCATTGCTTTTGGTGTTTTAGACATGAAGTCCTTGCCCATGCCTATGTCCTGAATCATAATGCCTAGGTTTTCTTCTAGGGTTTTTATGGTTTTAGGTCTAACGTTTAAGTCTTTAATCCATCTTGAATTAATTTTTGTATAAGGTGTAAGGAAGGGATCCAGTTTCAGCTTTCTACATATGGCCAGCCAGTTTTCCCAGCACCATTTATTAAATAGGGAATCCTCTCCCCATTGCTTGTTTTTCTCAGGTTTGTCAAAGATCAGATAGTTGTAGATATGCGGCGTTATTTCTGAGGGCTCTGTTCTGTTCCATTGATCTATATCTCTGTTTTGGTACCAGTACCATGCTGTTTTGGTTACTGTAGCCTTGTAGTATAGTTTGAAGTCAGGTAGCGTGATGCCTCCAGCTTTGCTCTTTTGGCTTAGGATTGACTTGGCGATGCGGGCTCTTTTTTGGTTCCATATGAACTTTAAAGTGGTTTTTTCCAATTCTGTGAAGAAAGATGAAAAAAATGCTCATCATCACTGGCCATCAGAGAAATGCAAATCAAAACCACAATGAGATACCATCTCACATCAGTTAGAATGGCAATCGTTAAAAAGTCAGGAAACAACAGCTGCTGGAGAGGATGTGGAGAAATAGGAACACTTTTACACTGTTGGTGGGACTGTAAACTAGTTCAACCATTGTGGAAGTCAGTGTGGCGATTCCTCAGGGATCTAGAACTTGAAATACCATTTGACCCAGCCATCCCATTACTGGGTATATACCCAAAGGACTATAAATCATGCTGCTATAAAGACACATGCACACATATGTTTATTGCGGCACTATTCACAATAGCAAAGACTTGGAACCAATCCAAATGTCCAACAATGATAGACTGGATTAAGAAAATGTGGCACATATACACCATGGAATACTATGCAGCCATAAAAAATGATGAGTTCATGTCCTTTGTAGGGACATGGATGAAATTGGAAATCATCATTCTCAGTAAACTATCGCAAGGACAAAAAACCAAACACCGCATGTTCCCACTCATAGATGAGAATTGAACAATGAGAACACATGGACACAGGAAGGGGAACATCACACTCTGGGGACTGTTGTGGGGTGGGGGGAGGGGGGAGGGATAGCATCAGGAGATATACCTAATGCTAAATGACGAGCTAATGGGTGCAGCACACCAGCATGGCACATGTATACATATGTAACTAACCTGCACATTGTGCACATGTACCCTAAAACTTAAAGTATAATAAAAAAAAAAAAAAAAGAAAACAGAAAAGGTCAATGACTGCAATGAAGTTATGGTATACCTCATTGGTGAGGAGCAAAGCCTAGACCACAGCTGAGTGGTTTATCATCTGCAGTTCTGTAGGAGGCATGGGAGGGGCAGGGGGTGAGACCAGAAGCCCCAGACCTCATTAGGACCCAGAGACCCCAGGAAACCATGAGACACTGTCTCTTGACAGCCTCCCAGGGGAGACAGGGCAGTGGGAGGGCAATGGCCTTATAGCAGCTCCTCACCAGCCTCTCATCCTCTTGTGTTCTGGGAGGAATACAAGGCATTTTGCCAAGACTCAGATTCAGCTGCAGTTCAAGCCTTTGCCTGCGTGGCCAAGTGGCTACGTGCAAGGTTGCCAGTAACGATGTTCCTTGCTCTTCCAGGTTTGCTAGAGTTGCATCTTAACAAAGGCTTTTTCAGCACATTAGAGATAATTGTGTGATTTTCCTCTTTGAATGTATGAATGTGGTGAGTTACACGGATTCATTTTCTGATTTGAAGTGTCCTTGTATCAGAGCAACCCTCTTTATCACAATGAATGAGATGTGCTGTTGGATTTGGGTAGCTGACAATTTATTTGGGCGGTTTTCTCCTACATTCAAATATATAACGGGCCTATGGTTTTCATTTCGGGAGCTATCCTTATCTAATTTTAGAATCAAGATTGTAGATGATTTACACAATGAGCAGTAGCCTATTCCTTCTACTTTCTAAAACAACTTGTGTGAAACAGAAATTAACTATTCTCTGAAAGTTTGTCAGGATTCCCGTGTGAAACCATCTAGATTTGAGTTCTGGGGAAGAGGGAAGGTCTTCACTGACAATTTCAACTTTTTAAATATTACCAGTCTATTCATGTTGTATTTTTTCTTTTTCCAGTTTGGCATTTTAATTTTTTCTGGGATTGACTCCTGCAGCTTTTCACATTAAATGTACACATGCCCACAATAAAAAGCTTATTGTTAGACTGTAGTTACTTATTTTTATTATTTATTTTGGTTATTTACCTCCTCTCCCTCCCTCTCCTTTCTCTTTCACTCTCTCTTTCTCTTTCTGTATCAGCCTTGCCAGCAACTTATTTATTTTTAATAATCATTCCAAAGAACGAGCTTTTGGTTCTATTAATTTCTCTGTTATTTTTCTGTTGTTGTTTCTCTGCTGGATTTCTGCCCTTGTCTGTATTCTACCTTTCTATCTTGTTTATTTGGATTTGCTCTATTGGTCTTTTATTAACGTGTTGAGATTAAAACTTCATCAATTTATTTTTAACGTTCTTATTTTCTGATAAATATAAATTGATGAGTGTCATCTTTGGACACAACTTTAGATATGTCTCAAAATTTTGACATGAAATGTTTTCATTATCATTCAGTTTTAAATATGTCTTAATTTACTATTTACTTCTTAACCCATAGGCTGTTTAGTAATATGTTATTTAGTTTCCAAAGATATGGGATTTAAAAACCAGCCTTTTGATGTTAATTTCTAACTTTGTTGTGTTGTAGTTGGAGAACAGAGTATGTAAATGTTCATCCCTTAGAACTCCCTTTATGCTGGACTGTGTGTAGTTTTCTGATAAGTTTTTCAGATTTAGTTGAAAAGCACATGCAGTTCTTTTGTTTATTTGATACTGAGTTCTATACATATCTAGCATCTCCAGTTTATCAATGGTATTGTGAAAGTCTTTGTATTTCTGCTTATCAGGGTTATTTCTGAAAATGTTGCTTGATTAATCTGTTTCAGGGAAAGATGAGTTAAACTGTCTCATACAGTTGATTTGCCTATTTCTCTGCCATTTCATCAATTTTTGCATCTTAGATTTTGAGGTTGTGTTGTTTGATGCCTATAAGTTTGTGAGAGAGATATACTTTTCATTCTTTTGAACCTGTTACAAACATACAAATGAAAAACATCCTTCTTTGCTCCTTATAATGTTTTTAACTTAAATCCATTTTATCAGATATTGAAGTTTTTACTTCAGCTTTGTTCTGGCTTGTAATGAACTGCTTAATTTTTTATAATTCTTTCATTTTCAAGCATTATGTATCCTTTTCACTTAAGGGTCTTTTGTAGACAACATATTGTTGCAAATACCAAAGGCCAAGCCTTCATGACCCAATCAACTTACGGAGAGATAAGGACTGACTTCAGAGTGGACAGTCCTGAGCTGCCCAGGCAGTGGCATCCTGCCTGTTGCCACCACAACGTTCGTTTTCTCTTCTGGTCAGGAAGAAGCAGCGGAAGGGGCAGTCCCTGGGGTTAAAATTGATCAAATTTGTTGACTTGGAGGAGGGTATGAAGACGGGACTGACCAAGAGAGGCTGGGCAGCTGCCACCTGTTCCAATCAGTCTCCTCAGCACCCACCCAGCAGGAATTTTGCCTTGCCCCATGGTATCCTATCCTTATACAAAATCAGCCAAAGATGGCCTCTGTGTGTTGGCCTCAAGTTTGTTTATTTCTTCACTGCAGGCTGAGACCCGTTAGCTCAAAAACTTGTTGGTGCCAAACTCAGATTTGTACACATCCAATTACTTTAAAAATAGCCCAGGCAAGCAAATTTTTAGCCATGTAGAACCTGCCTGCATGCATATCCTGTGGAACCTCACCAGAACTTGTTCTTTATTGATAGAGTTACAAGGCCATGAGCCTATACTGCTTTTCAGACGAGATCAGGCACGTTCAGGGTGTTATGGCTGTAGACCCATACTGCTTTTCAGAGTTCTCTGACCCAGAGGATCTGCTGTGCTGCTGAGCAGCATCACCTAGACATGGAGGCCCCCTCTTCCGTCCCCCTCTGGGCTAGGAGTCCCTTGCTTCCCTCCCCTTGCAAGTAGTGACTCTGCAAAATCCTGCTGTGAGGGGCATTCTCCACATGCAAAGTTGTCAAAGTATCCCCAGACAAAGCTTGTGTGTGCTACTGCCCCATGTGGTTATATCTTTTTCCTTGGTTAGCCCCTAAATCCCTCGAACCTTTATTCCGGTCAACGCTGGAAGCAATGGCCCAGGCAGTGGTTACAATGTCTGCAGTAAAGTGGCAGATAGTGACTGTGCCAAGGGTATGCTAGCAGGATTTGAGAAGCTGTTCTCTAAGCCATCCTCTTGCTGCTGCCTCTTCCTATCTTCCATGCCAGGCTAAGACTTCCACCTGCCCCAGACGTAGTTTAAGGAAGCATCTGCCCTCCTCCCCAGGGGCTTCTCTTCGTTTCACTGGTAGTGTTAAAAACATGATTTATTTCTTTGCTTGCTCTCTGGCTTTTACCAGTTAAAAGAACATTTTTTTTTCTGTTATCAAAGTAATACTCAGGTTTTTTTTAAAGTAGAGAAACTTTAAAAAGTGGAAGAAAATGCAAATATTTTTATCATCCGAGACATGCACAGTTAACAGTTGGGTGCATTTTCTTCAAATCTTTTTTCTATTCATTTTTTGTTTTAAAGTTATTATGATCATGTGGTACATTCAAAATTGTGCATAATGACATTCAAGTCTATTTTTCCCTGCTTATAAAGAAATTGCAGGCTCATCACAGAAAAGCTGCTTCTTGGTGATGTATTGACTGTTCTCATCAAAAAAATATCCAAAGATTCAGTCCCATCATTATGAGTTTTGAAGATGCAGAATCTCACCACCCTAGTTTCTGGCAGTGAAAATGGCTATTATGTTGTTCTATGCACTCATGCTTTTTTTAGAGTGAAAAGAAACAGTCTTTTTGTTTAGCTGTTCTCATGGCACAACCACATATAGCTTGGGCATTATTAGCAATGATTAGAACAGAATGGTCATTTTTTAAAATAGTCATCAAGACTGACAAGAGAGTCCATGTGAGTTGAGAAAACAAATGGAAGATGTGGAGTTTTTGTATGTTTCCTTAGACCAAGGATCAGAAGTATCCCTTCCCTCACTATGCCTTGGTAAGACCCTGTAATAGCCTTGACAAGACCCTGAGAAGGGGGATGAAGGACCCAAGTTAATGCTTCCACCAGCCAGGAAGAATGACTGTTCCATCAGAAACTGACAAAACTACAGAACACACCTGTGTGCCTGAAAGGAGAGTCACAACCACACAACACACAAGCCACCTGGAATCCTGAGTTTGTGAGACCCCAGAGGGCCTTTGCTTTTTCAGTGATGTGCTGGAGGCAACTTGTACAAGTTTATGAGACCTGATTTTGTGCAAATCTGCCTGGCTCCATGTGCAGTGAATTGGTACCTTGAAATTAGCTATGGTAGTAGTAGTAACACTACAGAAATTGGCAAATACTACAAGTCAGGTGTTTTTTCCCACTCCCAAAGCCAATTGTTAATCATTTATGAGCACAACACTACCTTTGATGTTCCGAGACAACAGAATGTAGGAAAAACAAGTCTCATATGATGCAGGACTGGCAGAGTCCTTTGCTATACTCATGTGAACTGCAACTCCCCAGGTGCAATCCACCACCAAGAAAGAGCCCACCTCCGTGTCTGCTCTGTGGTTTCCTGAATCTGGTAGAAGTGGGAAGAGAGAAGGAGATGGAGGTGGGAGGTTAGGAGTGGAACATGCTCACTGCCTTAAACAGTCACTCCCATGTACTAAAGGAAATGCTGCCAAATTATTTTGTTTGTAAAGAAAGTGGCATTTTCTTTTTTCTTTGCTCTATGTCTGAAATCTATTTTATCAATTCATATCTTAAATATTTTTGATACCTACCAGGTACCAAGCACTGTTCTCTATACCTGGGATGCAGCAATGGACCAGACAGACAAATCCCTGCCTTTACACAGCTTATGTCCCAGGGATAGAAACCGTCAATAAACATACAAATAAAAAAAACCACGAAAACAAAAGGCAGCATAAGTGCTCTGCTAAAAATAAAACCAAGTCAGGTAACTGACAGTGAGTGGAAGGGCAGCTTGGCTCAGTCAGGATGGTGGCCATGGAGATGGAGAGATGGCAACAAGTTGAGAGTAAGTGCCAAAGACACCTGCCACTCCTGTAATCAGAAAAATGTAAAAGTCAGTGTATTAGTCCATTTTCATGCTGCTGATAAAGACATATCTGAGACTGGGTAATTTAGAAAGGAAAGGGGTTTAATTGACTTACAGTTCTACATGACTGGGGAGGCCTCACAATCATGGCGGAAGGCAAGGAGGAGCCAGTCATGTCTTACATGGATGGTGGCAGGCAAAGAGAGAGAACTTGTGCAGGGGAACTCCTTTTTACAGAACCATCAGATCTCATGAGACTTATTCACTATCACGAGAACAGCATGGGAAAGACCCACCCCCATGATTCAATTACCTCCGACTGGGTCCCTCCCATGACATGTGGGAATTGTGGGAGCCACAATTCAAGATGAGACTTGGGTGGGGACACAGCCAAACCATATCAGTCAGCTTAACAAAAATATGTAGAAGAATCATCTACTTAAAATATGGAGCATGAAGAAGTAAGGAGCACTTAGATGAGCTATCAAAAAATAATAGAGATTTGTAAATCTCCTAGAAATATTACTAAAAATACAAAAAAGAGATGCTTTTAGAAAAGCCACATTTATTAATTAATAATATTATACTGTATTCTTATTTATCTTATTATATTATGTTATAAATGCCAACTTATATTATCCAGACAACCTGTGTGTGGCTGAAATTATTTAACCACAACCCATCAGCTCACTCTGGGATCACCCCGTCTGTGTTCCTTTCATGCACTCAGTTCTGGAACTCAGTTTACGCTCCAGATGGCAGTGGTGGCAAAGGTGATGTAGCCCTCTGGGGAGCCTTCCAGACCTCTCTGATCAGGTCATAGCCCTGCCGTGGACATCTGTGGCATTGCGTATCGCTCCTTAGTAGTTAATTTCACATCGTTTGTGTAATGAGATAATTGATGCCTGTCTCCTCCCTCAGTCTGCAAGCCCCATGAGGACAGGACATGTGTTTATGGAGCCTGCCCTTACAATAGGGACTCCACCAAGATATCTTGATTGAATGGCAACTATAGAAATTCTGAAGCCATGTGTATAATTTCAATTTCCTGCCAGGCAGTCTCTTAGATACAATAAATAATGGACTTTTTAAAAAGTTGTGTTAATTTATTGATTGAGCAACTATATACTGAGCATCCACTGTGCACCAGGGACAATGCTAGGGGTATACGGCTGTGACCACCATAGTCACTGTCCCTTTCTCATAGAACAAATAATCATTTTGTCATTGTATACAATTTTCTTTTCGGCAATATCTCAAGTGTCAGTTAATAATATGCCCATGCCTTCATAAACAGAGCATATTTAAAAACTCGTTAGAATTCCTTTGCCCAACTGATTATGAATTTTATGTATGTAACAACATATCTCATTTCCTCCTTCATTGGAAAGGCTAGTCACTGCATGATGTCGCCTCTGCAATTAAAATGAAACAGAAACCTTTGTTTAATTAATGTAATCTTTAATTTGGATCAACTCTTTATTATAACTCTTCCCCCCCAATATGACCATCAAGAGTTTCCTATGGTCCTTGCTTTGCCATATTGGTAAAATCTTATAGAAACCTAGGTGAACCCTGTTGTGTTTATAGTCCAGGAAAATCTATTGAAAAATATCTATATTCCTTTGTAAAAACTATATGCCTGAAATTTACATCCTGCTATTGTGAATTCCTTTGGAAGGTTGATAAACTTCATATTAGCTTAAATCTAAAACTCCCTATTTGTCAAGAACTTTGAAGAATGACTTTCCGTATGACTAGCTAAAAGAAAAACAGAGCACATGTTTCTGTATATTGTTTCTCTGGATATAAATTAGGTTTACGTGAGAGAAGGATATCTAAATTTGTATTCTAAGTAATATAGCAAAGAATTCCAAAGCTGTTGCACAGATTGGAGCAATATCCACAGCCATTTTTATTATCAATACATAAATTCCTTCAGATAAAATGTGTCTCTATTTCTTTTCTCTCTCTTTATCAGTATATCTCCTTTCCATTCCTTCCACTGCCAACCTCTCCCTTTCTCACACCTTCACATAACCACACATGCATGGACACAGGCACAGAAACATGTCACAACTTCAAGGGAAAGGAAGCCATCCTGTGAGCATTGCAATCAACATTTTCCATCTTTGTTTTCTTTGAATGCATTTTTCCAGAGCAAAAGACTCACAGAAATAAAGGACAATAGGTTCCAAATCTGCTTCCAGCTCTACAGTTCCCAATTCTAAAAATGTCCATCAAAGCACATAAATGGGACAAATCTGCATACTTATTAGAAATCAAGAATAGGTTCCTTTTCATGTTGGAAAACAGAGGGTTTCCAGACCTGTGCAGGACTCAGTCTCCCGGTTGTAGCACATGTTCATTTCCGACAGCTGCCATAACTAAGCACCACAAACTGGACTGCTGAAAACATCCAAAATGTATCCTTTCACAGTCTGGAGGCTCCAAGGGAGAATTCATTCTGTGCTTCTCTCCTGGCCTCTGGTGTTGCCGGCAGTCCTTGCTGCTCCTTGGCTTGTAGATGCATCACTCAAATCTCTGCCTCCATCGTCACATGGCATTCTCTCTGTGTGTCTGTCTCCAATTTCCTTCTTCTTGTAAGGACACCAGTCATTGGGTTAGGGCCCATCCTAATCCATTATAACCTCATTTTAACTTGATTATATGTACAAAGACCCTATTTCCAAATAAGATCATATTTATAGACATGTGATTTTTGGGGGGATGCTATACGATGTAGTACCCAACACATGGAATGAGAATTTGAGAGGTGATCCTCATGGTTGCCTCCCAAACATCCAGCCCACCACTGGGGAGGAGCCCTCTGGTTTGGGTGGTACCATTCCCACACACACCTGGTTATTTTTATTAAGACAGTTGATACAGTTTCATCCTCTTTGTCACAGTGATTGATACAGAAATCAATGTGTCATGAATCATTAATTAGTGATTAGTAACACTGATTAGTTTAGGAGTAGATGAATGACTCCAGCTGGTCTCTTAAAAGGGAAGCCAAGACTTGTATTGATGGTCCAGGAGAGAGAAGTCTTTTTCCATCTCAACTGCTAAGGCGCAATGATGCAAAGCATAGTGCTGCGGAAACTGTTCAGCCAACACCGGGGACATCAGCCTGACAGTGAACCTGATGCAAGGAGGGAAAAGTGAAGCATCAGGGAAATGCATCTGGAGCTCTGATCACACCAGGCTGAATTACCTGTATTGCTGGGCTTCGTGGTTACAGGAGGCAAGACTTTTGCCTTTGATTGTTTGTCAGTTTGAGTGGATTTTCTTTTTCTTTCTTTTTTCTTTCTTTCTTTCTTTCCTTTTTCTTTCTTTCTTTCCTTCTCTTTCTCTTTCTTTCTCTCTCTCTCCTTCCTTCCTTGCTCCCCTCCCTCCCTCTCTCCTTTCTTTCTTTTCTTTCTTTCTTTTTTCTTTTCTTTCTTTCTTTCTTTCTTTCTTTCTTTCTTTCTTTCTTTCTTTCTTTCTCTTTCTTTCTTTCTTTCTTTCCTTCTCTCTCTGTTTCTTTCCCTCTCTTTCTTCCTTCCTTTCTTTTTTCTTTCTTTCTTTCCTTTTTTTGGACAGAGTCTTGTTCTGTCACCCAGGCTGGAGTGTGGTGACACAATCTCGGCTCACTGCAACATCCGCCTCCCAGGTTCAAAGGATTCTACTGCCTAAGCCTCCCAAGTAGCTGAGATTACAGGCATGCGCCATCAAGCCTGGCTAACTTTTGTATTTTTAGTGAAGACAGGGTGTTACCCTGTTGGCCAGGCTGATCTTGAAATCCTGACCTCAAGTCATCCATCCTCCTCGGCTCCCCAAAGTGCTGAGATTACAGGCGTGAGCCACCGCACCCAGCTGATTTTATTTATAGATGAAAGCATCCTCTTTGGTAAATTCCTTCTAAGAAAGATGGAATATTCCAGTAGAAAGGAGAAGGGGCCTCCAACAGACATCCATCAACACCCTGGGGATATAGGACTGGAGGGAGGCTGGGATGAGGTCATTAGGAGTCTGCCCTGAACCCACGCTTTGTTGTTTTGTTTTGTTTTGTTTTGTTTTGTTTTGTTTTGTTTTGTTTGAGACAGAGTCTCACTCTGTCTCCCAGGCTGGAGTGCAGTGGCACAATCTCGGCTCACTGCAACCTCCACTTTTCCAGTGAACTCCCTTTTGCTTCTGCCAGCAGCATCAGAGACCATGACAGTACAGGCAAGGATTGAAATCTTATTCACATGCCAGTGGCCACACCAAGCAGATAATTGGTCAAAAAATGAGGAGAACATGGCTTCCTTCAGTAGGAAATCCTTTCAGGCAGAGACCTGGGCATGATCTTTGGGAGATCCCCAAGATTTGATTCCTCTTATCAAAGAGCAATGAGCAAAACCCAGACACATCTGGTGGTGCTAGGCTGCGGAGGTTAAGCTTACTCATTGCACATAGTGAGCACTCAATAAATGCTAGCAATTGTTAGTACTGCATGAGAAATCTCTTCAAGACATATTGTTAAATTAAAACTGCACATTATTGAACAATAAATGCACCATGATTAGTTTTATGAGGAAAAAAATGAAACCCACAATACATTTTGTATGTACAAGCATGCTATAAATTTATAAATTCCCCTAGACCAAGGGCAAGAGGAATACACAGCAAAGTCATAATAGTTGTTATCGCTCGGAAGTGAAGGTGGGATGGGGGCTGGAAAGATGAAGAAAAACTCACATTTTACTACTGTTCTATTTTAATACACACAACTATAATATTTTACAATAAAATATGTACTCGTGTACTTCCTTTGGTAATTAAAAATTATTTTAAAATGCTCAGACTCACTAAGAATAAAAAAATGCATATTGGAAAGACAGAAAGATGTTATTTTTGTCCATCAGAGTGGCTAAAGTTGCAGAGATTTGTAATCTCCAGGGTTGGTAAGCATCTGAAAAAAATGAGCATTCCAATATTCTCTGAGTAATATAATTGTTACACGGTTTTAGGAGGAAATTTGACATTATCTTTCCAAATTTAGATGTGTTTACATTGTAACTCTAAAGTGTCTATTCTGGAAATTTATTCTCCAGAAACCCTCCCCCGTGTACACAAAAGATGGATGTTCAAGGATGTTCATTGTAGCATCTATGATAGTGGAAAGTAAGGAAGAGTCTAAATGTTCTTCAGTAAAGAATGGTTGAGGAAATGTTGGCTCATGTGTAGTGCAGAGCGGTGCTGGGCAGCAGAGCTTCCACAGGTGACAGAAATGCTCCCAGTCTGCTCCGTCCCGTACAGTAGCCACTACCCACAGGTGGCTGCCTAGAACTTGAAATGTGGTCATTGCAATGGAGAAACTGAATTTTAAGCTTTATTTCATTTTAATTATTTTAAATGGAAATAGATCCACCTAGTTAAGGAATACTATATGGGGCAGCGTGGGTCTGCAGACTACAACTCAGCCAATAAAAAGGAGATAGTTATATAAAAACCGACATGCAAAGGGATTTTAAAAATTGTTAAATTTTTAAGAAGCAAGTGCTGAGCCGTTTTATACATCAGGTATGTTTTTTTGTTTTCAAATATTTGTGCAAGTACAAATATATGTAAGTAAATGCATAGAGAATGTTTTGAAATCATACACAGCTGCTAATCTCTGGGAAAAGAGTAGAAATGGGAAGTGTAGGCAAAGGAACTTTTATATTTGACTTTGCATTTTATGACGATGTAATAATGTGCTATTGATTGATTTTTAAAATAATTTTAGAAAAGCAAGAGATAAGCTACATTGAATAAATCACTGTGATGCATATGTAATATTTTGAATGTATTCACACAGTCCCTTTCAAATGCCCCAACTTCTTGACATCTTTCTTGACTCTCCAACCAAATCTACTCTCTCCCTCCTTCAAAATCACAAGCTAGGACTCTCCCCAAGGCCCTTGTCATATTCTGCCTTAGTTGATCTCAAGTCTGTTTCTCCCCCACGAGACTGTCAGTTCCTTGAGGGAAAGACAGTTTCTTCCCTGTCTTATTCATTGCACAATATCCCCTAAGCACATTGCCCTGCATGTAATGGATACTCTACTTACTTATGCATGGAACTGGATTTTGAAAGTCTTTTATGGAATCCAGTAATCATTATTCATTCTCTCCTTTTTAGCAAACATCCTTTTCTTTCCATGATTATAATCAATACCACTTTCCAGGGCAAATGTGTATTCTCTGGCTGATGAGCTCAGCTAGTTAGAATTCTGCGTTCACAAGACCATAATCCTGGTGAATATCTGTCCTCTGTTCCGTGGCCACAAATGGTACCCCTAATTCCAGCCGTTACTAAAATGCCAGTTGTATACAATAATAAATATTAGATAGGAAAGCTGGTGGAATCTGCCTAAAACTGTCATGATTATTCTGGGTAAGGAGATATATTTACATAAACATACTTTATGAGGGTGATCTCTGCTCTCATCTGCCCTTCTCACTGACTGCAGACCTCATAAGGAAAGGAGACATGACTTGTTCATCTTTGTATCTGCTTCAATGCCTTGCATTACTTGGTGCATATGTTTAATAAGGGCTTTTTGAATTGAATTTTACTAAAAATGAATTACCTTGCTGGTAGTTATTGCAATACATGATAGTTATTGCAATACATGACAGTTAGGTGGAAAAGCAGCCAGAAAACCAATGTTTTTACATGCCTTCTATGTTATAGGTCCTACAGTGGGCTTTGAATCCATACTATTTTTAACCTAATAATAGCCTGGTAAATTATTCCATCACTGCTATAAATTTTAAAAATGAGGCAAACAAAGTGTAAGTGCAGGGACACCTAGATAATAAAAGGCTGAATGATATTTAAACTCATTTAGGATCTAAGCTCATAAAAGTTATTGCTATGACATGAAAACACTTGGTTTTGTAAACCCAGATAATCCTAGTCTATAATGAGGCATCTCCATGGCCCGATATACCAAGATTGAGTCCACATAGTGTGTGCAAGTCTTAGAAGCAAGCGCATCAATCACATATGAGGTAACTGGATTTCAATTGTAGTATAATTCAGTTTGGGTTTGTTTAACCATTGCCTGAAATTGTAAGACTATAACATTGAGAGGGTTGGTATCCATAAGATAGAAAAGGCAAGTGTAAGGAGAACAGAACTATCCTTCAACAGACTTTTTTTTTTTTTTTTTTTTTTTTTTTTTTTTTTTTTTCAGAGAGAGTCTTGCTCTGTAGCTCAGGCTGGAGTGAAGTAATGTGGCCATAGCTCACTGCAGCCTTGAAATCCTGAGCTCAAACGATTCCCCTGCCTCAGCCTCCCAAGTACCTGGGACTACTGACGTGCACCACCTCATCTGGCTTGCTCTTTCTTTCTTTCTTCTTTCTTTCTTTCTTGTTTTTCTTTCTTTCTTTCTTTTTGAGACAGGATCTTGCTATGTTGCCCTGGCTGGTCTTGAACTTGTGGCTTCAAGTGATCCTCCCACTTCAGCCTTCCAAGTAGCTCACAAGACTATTTTAATGAAGTGGTATTGAAATATGGATGGCTTCCTTTATAGGATTTAGCAAAACTCAATATGGGAAGGTGAGTTATGTTTTTATTTTCCACTAGTTCCAGTGTGAGAATGTTGCATGATGTATATACAGGGAAGACCTTAAAAACCAAATTAAACATCCAGACCCAGATAACCAACAGCCCATGCCATATCTCCTCCAACTCCTGCAGACATATGGATGTGAAAATCAAACTTGCTATTTTTCCTGAAGAATCTGTTATGGGAGGCAGAATAATGGCACCCAAAGGATGTCCACATCCTAATTCCCAGAACCTGGAACCTGTGAATATGTTATGTTCCATGGCAAAAGGGACTTTGCATATGAGACTAAGTGAAAGATCATGAGATGGAGAGATTATCCTGCATTATTGGGAGGGGAGTGCAATATACTCACAAGGACCCTCATAGGAGGAAAGCAGGAGTCAGAGTAGGAGATGGTGACATGGCTGCGGAAGCAGAGATTAGAATTTTGTAAGGCCATGAGCCAGGGAATGTGGGCAGCCCAGAGGAGATGGAAACAGCAAAGAAATGGATTCTCCCCGAGCGCCTCCAGAAAGAACGCAGCCCTGCTGACCCACTGGAGGCTTCTGACCTCCAGAACTGTAAGAGAATAAATTCGTGTTGCTTTAAGCCACTGAGTTTGTGATAGTTTATTACAGCAGCGGTAGAAAACAAACACATTTGTCATCCTTCTTACAATAGTCAGAAAAGCTGTAGGAAACAAGTAGCTCATTCAAAAAGGGTACTTGAGGACAATTTTATGAGTCATTTTCAAGGTGTGGGCAAAGTTGAAGAAAATCAGCAAGGGACAGCGATGCGCCTTGGCATCAGCCACACTGGGGAGCCATTCAGGCTGGACAGTTCCTGGCGCCCAGAGTGCAGCAGGAGAGCCTGTGGCCGCTGTTTGCCTGCAGCCTGGCACAGAGGCAGCCACGGATAAGTGGCCTCATCTCTCCCTCCTCCTACTCTTTGATCCCCTGCTGGTGCTGCTGCTTGGCCAAACCCAGCCAGAAGCCACAGCATTAGGGGCCCAGTTGAAATAGTCCATAAAGATAAGCCCCGCAGGGCACAGAGTGTAAAGGGAAAGAACAGAGGACATATCTGGTCTTTCCCTATATTTGAGATCGTGCTGAATGGTTCCATCATCACCCAGCCGCTCGTCTGGCAGCCTGGAGTCGGCTTTGCCTCCTCCTTTTCCTCCTGGCTTCAACAGGAAGATTCAGCTCACACAGTGACATAGCTTCACACTGTTTCTCTTATCTCTCTGTGCCCCTATTCAATCACAATGCCTGCACTACCCCCTCTCAGAACTAACCACTGGCATGAATGGACAGTTATCATTCTTCTCACACAGTTCTTTATATCATGACTAGATTATCCCTAAACAATACAGAGCACTATTTTACATGCTTTAAACTTAACATAAAAATGATAAAAGAATAAAAATGATACATTACTGGAGATCTGGACATGATATTCAGTAATTTGTGGATTTTTTTTTTTTTTTTTTGAGACAGAGTCTCGCTCTGTTGCCGTCTGGAATGCAGTGGTGTGATCTCGACTCACTGCAACCTCCGCCTCCCGGGTTCAAGCGATTCTCCTGCCTCAGCCTCTCCAGTAGCTGGGATTACAGGCACATGCTGCCACACACAGCTAATTTTTTTTTTTTCAATTTTTAGTAGAGACCATGTTGGCCAGGATGTTCTCCATCTCCTGACCTCGTGATCTGCCCACCTCGCCCTCCCAAAGTGCTGGAATTGCAGGAGTGAGCCACCTCGCCTGGCCAATTTGTGGAATTTTTGCATACACTTTTGTTTTACGTAATTGCATAAATTATATTTATGAACCCCATCATAAATATATGGACATATATGAACATATTCCTAGGTGGCAGATCTAATTAGTCTATTGTCACTGCTGTATAGAACCTGGCTGTGAATTTTAAGAAGTGATACTTATCATGATGCCCTGAGAGGAAAGTGGCTCAACTTTTCAAAGCGAAAAAAAAAAAAAAAAAAAAAAGCCAAGGTATTTCCAAAACCTGTTGTAACCAGAAGCCAAAGAAAAAAACCAACAAACAGCAGGAGGGTGAGTTGAGTGTCGTGGCCACAAATCTCCATTTATCTCACTTTGCACAACTCAAGAGCGTTCCTAGGTTTTTACTTTTTTCACTAAAGATGTGCTGTAATTCTCCGCTTAAGAAAACTTGCACTTAGCATCACTGCTTGGCAAGTTTATGCGGTGGTGACTTTGAGATACAGAAGCATTATAAAGCAGGACATTTGCTAGTACTGTTGTCAGAATTGGGAGAACTTTCGACAACAGAGCTAAGGCCAGAAAACAATCCTATGAGGAAAATAAGTTGAATTGATAGGCTTCTCTGCTTACGTCACTCAAAAACATAGTGGTTTAAAATGACATATGTGATGCGGTTTTCCCGATTATAAAGCAATAGCATACATTGCAGAATTTTAGAAAACACGTAAAAGTATTTAAAGAAAAATACTCTTCAAAAAACAGCATGATAGAATTCTTTCCAGAATTTTTCTGTAAATACACTTACTTGAGACTGGGGCTCATTCTCTCTGTTACAATTTTGTTTCAATCAGTTCTTTTCATAAGGCATCATGATAAGTATGCCCCATGCCATCAAAACCCAAAAATCTCACCATAATTTCAAATCAATAGGGATTTTTTTTTTGAGATGGAGTCTTGCTCTGTTGCCCAGGCTGGGGTGGAGTAGCATGATCTTGGCTCACTGAAACCTCTGCCTCCTGAGTTCAAGTGATTCTCCTGCCTCAGCCTCCCAAGTAGCTGGGACTACAGTTGTGTGCCACCACGCTCAGCTAATTTTTTGTATTTTTAGTGGAGATGGGTTTTCACCATGTTGGCCAGGTTGGTCTTGACCTCCTGACCTCAGGTGATCCACCTGCCTCGGCCTCCCAAAGTGCTGGGATTACAGTCATGAGCCACGGCACTTGGCCCAATGGGGATTTTTTTAAATGGCTTAATAGGTGGTGGCAGCACAATTTATTAACCAGTAGATAGAAAAGAAAAGGCCGGGAGCAGTGGCTCACGCCTGTAATCCCAGCATTTTGGGAGGCCGAGGCGGGTGGATCACAAGCTCAGGAGATTGAGACCACCCTGGCCAACATGGTGAAACCCCGTCTCTACTAAAAATACAAAAAATTAGCCAGGCATGGTGGCACGTGCTTGTAGTCCCAGCTACTTGGGAGGCTGAGGCAGGAGAATTGCTTGAACCTGGGAGGCAGAGGTTGCAGTGAGCCAATATCATGCCACTGCACTCCAGCCTGAGTGACAGAGCGAGACTCTGTCTCAACAGCAACAACAACAAAAACTGCAATACTACCACTATTTCTCTCCTTACTCTAAAATAAACTCTAGATTATAAAAAATTTAAGTATTAAAAAATGAAACATAAAAGTACTAGAATCCAGCTTTAAATGAATATTAATGATTTTGAAGTGAGGAAGTATTTTCTAAACATGCCACAAGACCAAAACTCATAAAGGTTAAAGTTGGACCATAAAATATTAACTTCTTTGTGAAAAAAATATGAGCCAAGCTGAAAGAAAAATGACAAAAGAGGGATACAGATTTGCTGGCAATGGGTTAATATGCAAAGAATACTTACAGTCAAAATTAGTTAAACGACTTAAGGGGTCTGTTCCCAAAAGGTTAGCTACATGTTCAGTATGACCTGGTTCAGCTTTATCAAAAAAAAGAAAGCGAGCAAGAGAGAGAGAGACAACTAAAGAAATCAAAGAAAGACAAACAAGGAAATGCAAATTTGTGTTTGCTATCAGATTGCCAGATTGTCAATGGTTGGTAATATTGATCGGACCCAGTGTTGATGCGTGTGTTGGAAAATGGGCACAGTCATGGCTGCTCACATTTCACTGGCCAAAGCAAGTCACATGACCACATTGAAGTTTAAGTGGGAGGGAAAGTTCCATTTTATTATGTCCAGTGAGAGGGTCGGTGAGTTCATCAACAGCCCTAATGACTACCGTACTGAGTGCTGGAATACTTAACACGATGTTTTACTTTCACCTTTGTACCTTTCAGTACCATTAATTTAGTTCTACAATTAACACATGCCTTAAAACAAAAAAGTGAGTGGTATGGTTTGGATATGCGACCCTGCTCAAATCTCATGTTGAATTGAAATCCCCAGTATTGAAGGTGGGGCCTGGCGGAAGGTGATTAGATCATGGGGGTGGTTTTCTTAGGAATGGCTTAGCAACATCCCCTTGGTGCTGTCCTTGTCATAGTGAGTGGGTGACTTCTCAAAGGATCTGGTCATTTAAAAGTGCGTGGCACCTCCTGCTCTTTCTCTTGCTCCTTCTTTCACCATGTGATGTGCTGGGTCCCTCTTTGCATTCTGCCGTGATTGGAAGCTTCCTGGGGTCTCCCCAGAAGCTGATCCTGCCATGCTTCCTGTACAGCCTGCAGAACTGAGAGCCAATTAAACCTCTTTTCTTTATAAATTACCCAGTCTCAGATATTTCTTTATAGCAACACAAGAATGGCCTAATGCAGTTAGTAAAATAGCATTATAAAAACAATTTACCAGTTATTTGGGAGGCTGAGACAGGAGAATCGCTTGAACCCAGGAGGTAGAGGTTGCAGCGAGCTGAGATCATGCCATTGCACTCCAGCCTGAGCGACAGAGCGAGACTTCATTGCAAAAATAATAATAAATTAAAATATTTCTATAATAACTCATTGTGTGACCGAATCATAATTTAGTAACCCAGTATCCTATCTTGGGCATTTGACCTTTTCCAAAGGTTTTGCCATTATAAATAACATTATGACAAATATTTTATTGCAAAATAGCTTTACTTGCATTTCATGAAGATAGATTGCTATCAGCGGAATTAGCAGATGAAATGGCATCTGTATTTTCTGACTCTCCTTTTCTTACCTTTCATACAACAAAACATAAATTTCATGAAATAAAATGAAAGACAAGGGGAATAAGGAAACTCTGATATCTGGAAAAAATGCCTTATATTCTTCAGCAATCTGTTGATTTTTTTTTTTATTTTGCAGAGCATCGCAGTTTTACAAACTTTATGGGCAATTTTGCAAGCAGTGGGGAAAGAGACAAATGAGACACAGTTAAGTGCCCTTCATCTTAACCAAGAAATCAGAGCATACATCCGGAAGTCAGGCTACCTGACCCCCTTTTATCAGCTCCTCTACCTTGGAAACACATCCATAACTTTGGGCCCTTGCTTAAACTCCCCAAGCCTCAATTTATTGACTGCAAAAGAGAGATTAAAATGCTCACTACTCAATGATATAAAATAAATACTTTGGAGAGGTCTATTAAGGGCTCTCTGGCAGGAATTGTTCCAGCTTCTTTTTTTTTTTTTTTTTTTTTGGTAATTTAATAATGTTGGTTTCAGAAACTGTTGCCAAGAATGGAGAGGTTTGTGAGTTCCTCTGGACTGAAAAGAAAGAGAATCAATGCATCGATTAGAGCACATTACTGTGTACGTTTCAGTACAACCTCCTTCCTACTTCACACTCCCCTCCAAAGCCCATGGAGCCAACCAGTGCTGGAAAAAAGATTCTGAAAGGGACAAAGATAGATTTAAGATTTGCAAGTTTCCAAATTCATCTTTGAGCAAGGATAGACCTCCCTCTTTCTAAATCACTGGTTTTTACTCAAGGCAATTTGGACTCCCAGGAAACAGTTTTGGTTGTCACAACATGGGATGTAATGGAGGGCATGACACTAGCATCTCTTGGTGGAGACCACAGCTGCTGCTAAGTGTTCTATGATGCCCGGAACCATCCTCCCCCACACACCATGCCCAGAATCATCCAGTCCAAATTGTCGATAGTGTCGTGTTTGAGAAATCCTGTTCTACATTGATGTATTCTAAAATTTGATTCCGTTTTTCTCTATTTAGCAATCTATTTTATCTCCAAATTTATACATCCATACTAATAACTTTATAGTTTTGTTTAGATGTCAAGGTTGACCAAGGTTTTTCTTCTTTTTTTAAATTTTATGTTTTATATGTATGTATTTTTTGAGACAGAGTCTCATTCTATCGCCTAGGCTGGAGGGTAGTGGCGTGATCTCGGCTCACTGCAACCTCCACCTCATGGGTTCAAGTGATTCTCCTGCCTAAGCCCCCTGAGTAGCTGGGATTATAGGCATGCACTACCATGCCCAGCTAATTTTTGTATTTTTAGTAGAGATGGGGTTTCACCATGTTGGCCAGGCTGGTCTTGAACTCCTGACCTCAGGTGATCCACTCCCCTTGGCCTCCCAAAGTGCTGGGATTACAGGCATGAGCCACCACGCCTGGACCATAGTTTTTATTCTAATTTCTAATTGGTTCTAGCACTTAAGGCCTTTACCGGCACCGGCATTTTAAACAAAATTTTAGAAGTAAAACAAAAACCAGGTGAAAAAATTTTTAAGTGATGCTTTGATTAATGAAAGGAATTATCTTGTAGTTACAACCTATTTAGAAAACAATATCCATGGAAATTTTGCTTATACAAAACCGTAGAATTTGAACAAAGCTATCCCCAGATGAAAATTCTATTTTAAAAGCTTTTATTATGTGGCAAAAAAGAGAGAAAAATATCAATAAGCCAAGGATTTCTCTTCAGATTTAAAAAAGGAGGAAAAAGAAAAAATAGCAAAATCCCGAAGGAAAAAATAACGATGACAAAATCAGAAATTATTAATTACAAAAATTAAATAAAATTGTTAAATACATCCAAATTAATTATTCAAAAAGGCAATGATGATATGCAAGTTTCCCAAACTGAGAGTATCATAAGACAACCTCAGATGCTTGGTAAAATTAAAGTTCCAGGTCTTCCTACCACCCCAAATTAAAATCCAGAACATTTGGGGAGAGGCCCTGAAATCCGTATTCTTAGCCAACACTCCAGGTGATACTTAAAAATGGATATCCTTAGGAAACTCTGAATGTAGTCACTCTTTAGCAAGGCTAATTAAGAAAACAGGAGAGAAAGTCCAAATATGGAGCTTTACACATGCAAGGTGATTCAGAACTGCATTTATGGAACAGATTTTTAAAGTATGAGAGAATAAAATGTCATCTATTACCGGAAAACCCTTCTACGCCTGCTCTGAGCTTTGCTGCCGTTTACATTCTGATAATGGATATACTGAATCTCCTAAATTTGTTCTTCTTGTCACTTATTATCTCTACATGCCTGTCACTTGTTTATCTCTTCAGTTTTGCTTTCTTCATTAATCTCGGCAGACTTTTCCTCTGAGAATTTCAGGGCATCTCATCTAACCTTCTCTGCCTCCGCTGACTTTTCTTCTTTTAATTCACTAGTTGTACTTTTTAACAGAAGACCCTTTTTTTCTGCTCTCGTGTCATTCTCTACTCACAGATACAGTATCCATTGAAAACAGATTGAGAGCACTCCAAAGCTCTCTTCCTGCTTCCCGGAATAAGCCTATGTCACGCCCAGGAATTAGGGAGTTATGATACGGATGGTATTTGCTCTGAGTTCCTAGCCCAGTTTCTCCCAGAGCCATCATCACGGGGCTTTTCAGATGTCCTGTTGCTTTTCTTAGCTTGCTTAGCATGCAGAGGGGTTCTGATCTGTATCCAGGGAGCACCGGCGGTGAAGGTGGCTTCTGTAAGAGACGGGGCGAGATTGTGTAGGATCCTGCTGAAAGTGTCTCAACCCAGATTTACCATGCTTTTCACTTTGGCAGGTCAGAAGTTGCATTCTCTGCAAAAGACTTCATAGCTGTACTGAGGCAGGCTGGGTCACTGGCCACTTCTCTAGCGGCCGTGGAGCCTCTGGTTAGCAGCCGGTGGTGGCAGAGCCCACAGTGTCAGCGCGCCCCTGCCTGTACCTGGAGACGCTGGGATGAGGGCCTCCGTGGACCCCCTGCTCCTGCTGCCGGATCCAGGACCCTTACTGGGAGGGAGAGTGGCTCCTCCTCCCTGGCATGTCATCGGGGGCCCACATCACAACATCTCCAAGGACAGGCAGGGGCACCGTAAGGCTGTGGGCGCCGCTACCCCTGGCTGCTAACCAGGGGCCCCACAACGGCTGGAGAAGTGTCCGGTGACCCAGCCTTCCTCGGCACAGCCATGAAGCCCTGAGCAGAGAACGTGACCTTGCCTCTTATCTCTGTAGCATGGACCACAAGGTACAGATGGAGGTTGCGATTGCCTCCCCAGGTAGAGGGGGACACACACACCTCAACATGTCCCCATTCCTTTCTCTCCCTCTAATTTCCCTTACATGAAACATTTTGCAAAACTCCCTTGAAGTTCCTGGCGTGCTGTTGAAATGCACCCTCCCGGGTCTCCAGCGCTCACGTATGTTCTTCTCTTTTGGGTTACTTTCTGGATTTGACATTGGGATGGGGGAGGCATGTTAGAGGCATATGCTCCCTTCGCTATTTTAACCGAAAAGCCTATAGTGTTCTACTGAAAGGGAGTTTTCTTTTTCTTGCTGAAAGTGGAACCAGACAAGATAGACACGGCACAAACGAGTATCTAAGGTGAGAAACAGCAGATGGCAAGGAAGCCAGCTTCCAAAGGTCTTGTGGCGCCACCGCAAGGGACGGCAGAAGGAGCCCAGGACAACTCAGCCCTATCCCCTTTAAGATGGCGACCTCCCTTCTCTCCACTCCTCCAGGCGACTGCCCGCCTTTCTGAGAACAGCGCAGTGGGAGGACCACCTTTCCACAATTTGAGTCTTTAAAGCAGAAGCCTCCCTACTACGATTTCACTTTGCACGGTCGAGGTCTCATTTTCACAGGAAACTCATTTCACAGAGGCTTTCCTTTCAACCCACATCCAGTTGTTGGAAACAAAGATGTACATGTCACCTAAAAAAAAAAAAAAAAAAAAAAGGCTGGGCGCGTGGCTCACGCCTGTAATCCCAGCACTTCCGGAGGCCGAGGCGGGCGGATCACCAGGTCAGGAGATGGAGACCATCCTGGCTAACACGGTGAAACCCTGTCTCTACTAAAAATACCAAAAAATTAGCCAGGCACGGTGGCTCACGCCTGTAATCCCAGCACTTTGGGAGGCCGAGGAGGGCAGATCACCAGGTCAGGAGATGGAGACCATCCTGGCTAACACGGTGAAACCCCGTCTCTACTAAAAAATACAACAACAAAAAAAAGTTAGCCAGGCGTGGTGGCGGGTGCCTGTAGTCCCAGGTACTTGGGAGGCTGAGGCAGGAGAATGGCGTGAACCCGGGAGGGGGAGCTTGCAGTGAGCCGAGATCGCGCCACTGCCCCTCTAGCCTGGGCGACAGACCGAGACTCCGTTTCAAAAAAAAAAAAAAAAAAAAAAACAGAAAATAGTTCAAACAAAGGGACAGTAGAAAATGAAAATCTCTACCATTTGTCAAAGGGCCCATTAAGCTCATTATTTTCTGAAAAGCAATCTTTCGGCCGCCTTTTGTCAGTTCCAAGTTTAGAACTGCACATTCAGGTTGTGAACGTGGAAATTAAGCTAAGAGGGGCTTGACTGATGCTATTTTTAAGGCAGTCCACGTGTTCTCATGGGATGGGAGGAGAGACGCAAATATTCATTAGGAAAGGAGCACCTCATTGGCTGTAAGCTCCACTTCTGCTGCCTCTAGCATTGGCACAGCTTGGAACCATCCCACAGCCCTTCCAGCCCCAGAACACCTCAGTGTCCCATGGCTGGCTTCCTACTGTGGCTGCAGCTAGTTCTGAACACCTGGCAGGGCTTCCCTGGCCTTACTACCTACAGTTCCAAGGGTCCCTGTTCAATCCTCCCCTCTTCATTCTTCAGCTTTTCCAAGGTTTCCACTTTCATGACAGAGAAAAACGAAAAGTGAGCTCATTGTAACCCACAGGGCTGGGGATTCATGATCCCCTTGACTGGGCAAGCAAATCACTTTTGTTGGTTTTTCTAACCTGTTGGCCTCTGATACAAACAGCCCCTCTAGCAGTAGAGCTGGTGTTTGCAAGTGGGACCTTGGAGCTGGAGCTTCTGGCTTTGAACACCTGCCCCACAGTTTCCTGGTTGTATGACCCTAGAAAAGATAATTGGCTTCTCTAAGCCCCAGGATGATCAACATACTTACCCCAAGAGAGTAATTGTGAGGATCAGAAAATATTATTCATGGAATGCTGCCTAGAATGAATACTGTCCTCCAAAAATGCATGTGCACCTGAAATCTGTGAAGGTGACCTTATTCGGAAATAAGATATTTGCAGCTGTAATCAAGTTAAGATGAGGTCACATTGGATTAGGGTAAGAAGAGGGAAATTAGGACACAGAGGCACACAGAGGGAAGATGGCTATATGGTAACAGAGACACAGAGTGGAATGACCCTATCATAAGTAGCTATTACTTAGGACCAAGTGAAAGAATGTCAAGAATTGCTGGCAACTACCAGAAGCTGGAAAGAGGCCAGGAAGCGTATTTTCTTAGAGTCCTCAGAAGGAGCACAGCCCTACTTCCAGCCTCCAGAGCTGTGAGACAATGTCTGTCTCACCACCATGTTTGTGGAATTTGTTACAAAAGCCTTAGCAAACTAATTGTAGATCCTTTAATATAGTACCTGATGCATAGTAAGTGAACAATCAATATATAGGTGTTTTTTATTAGCCTATCAATGTGTCTAGACATAGTAGGTGTTCAATAAATGTTTACGGAATAAAATATGTAATGTTAATACATCTCTTTGAAGTGTATTTTAAAATATATTTCTGCGGGGAAAAGAAAGAGAGATCAGATTGTTACTGTGTCTGTGTAGAAAGAAGTAGACATAAGAGACTCCATTTTGCTCTGTACTAAGAGAAATTATTCTGCCTTGAGATGCTGTTAATCTATAACCTTACCCCCAACCCTATGCTCCCTGAAAACATGTGCTGTGTCAACTCAGGGTTAAATGGATTAAGGGCTGTGCAGGGTGTGCTTTGTTAAACAAATGCTTGAAGGCAGCATGCTTGTTAAGAGTCATCACCACTCCCTAATCTCAAGTACCCAGGGACACAAACACTGCGGAAGGCCGCAGGGACTTTTGCCTAGGAAAGCCAGGTATTGTCCAAGGTTTCTCCCCATGTGATAGTCTGAAATATGGCCTCGTGGGAAGGGAAAGACCTGACCGTCCCCCAGCCCCACACCTGTAAAGGGTCTGTACTGAGGAGGATTCGTATAAGAGGAAGGAATGCCTCTTTGCAGTTGAGACAAGAGGAAGGCATCTGTCTCCTGCCCGTCCCTGGGCAATGGAATGTCTCGGTATAAATCCCAACTGTATGTTCCATCTGCTGAGATAGGGAAAAACCTCCTTAGGGCTGGAGGTGGAACATGCGAGCAGCAATACTGCTCTTTAAGGCATTGAGATATTTATGTGTATGCATATCTAAAGCACAGCACTTAATTCTTTACCTTGTTCATGATGCAGAGACCTTTGTTCATGTGTTTATTTGCTGACCTTCTCTCCACTATTATCCTATGACCCTGCCACATCCCCCTCTCCGAGAAACACCCAAGAATGATCAATAAATACTAAGGGAACTCAGAGGCCGGTGGGATCCTCCATATGCTGAATGCTGGTCCCCTGGGCCCCCTTATTTCTTTCTCTATACTTTGTCTCTGCGTCTTTTTCTTTTCCAAGTCTCTCATTCCACCTAACGAGAAACACCCACAGGTGTGGAGGGGCAACCCACCCCTTCATATTTCTAAATAAGTCTTTATGCAGAAAAATGTATAATATGATGATATTTAGTGTTAACAATTTTTAAACAATTTTAAACCTAAGATAAGCACAATAAGTAAATTATGGTATCTCCATATGGCAGAATTATATATATTTTGCAATAATTAAAAAGCATTTGTGGCCAGGCATGGTGGCTCAAACCTGTAATCCCAGCACTTAGGGAAGCCAAGGCGGGTGGATCATGAGGTCAGGAGTTTGAGACCAGCCTGGTCAACATGGTGAAATCCCGTCTCTACTAAAAATACAAAAAATAGCCAGGCGTAGTGGTGTGTGCCTGTAATCCCAGCTACTCGGGAGGTTGAGACAGGAGAATTGCTTGAACCCGGGAGGCGGAGGTTGGGGTGACCTGAAATTGCGTGACTGTACTCCAGCCTGGATGACAGAGCAAGACTCCATCTTGAAAAAAAAAAGTGTAAGGATTTTAATATTATTAAATATTTTGACACAAAATATATTATTTCAATATAGAATTTTTTAGTATCATAGAAAATAAGTTACGGTGAAGTTAAATGAAATAATAATATAAACCTATTAGGTTAATCTATATTAAAATATGCATAAAAAGTTTGGAGTAGTTACCTATAAGTCATTATAAGTGATTCTTTTTCTTTTTTGTGTGCTCATTTTCATATACATTTGCCATAGTGAGTGTGTTTTACATTGATAATAAACAGAAATTTTACCTTTAAAAAAAACCAATTCAGGTAGCAAAGTATACATGTAATGTAACAGCATATACCTTCCCATCCTTCCTTACATTGTGCCATGGATTTTATAAACCAGAGTGATTTGTGCGTGTGTGTCTAAAAACAGCATTTGCAAAACGAATTACTTTGGACCAAGTTTGTATCTACAGCATGAAGAGTAATCATTTGTTGGCTTGAAATGGCATTCTATTTTGCAGAGAGCTATGTTCCTGTGAGATATTGACTGAGGCCCTGTCTCAGCTTGAAAATATAAAATGTGTGAAATCAATCAATCAATAAGTACTGTTTTAATGATCATGATGTGCCTGTGATTGTACTAGGCACTGGAGGTTGAAAAGAAATTTAACCAGAGAGTTTTAGAGTTCCAAGAAGCATCAATGATCACTCATTTCAACCTTCTACCCAGAAAATGAATGTTCTGTATTATAAAGCTAGTTGGGCATTGTGATAAAGCATAACTTTGGTGGACTCCAATGATGTATTCACGTTTTATGTGGTTCTCTCACTTTGAATTTGCTCTGGCCCAGTGACCCTGCTTCAACCAACAGAATGTTGCAGAAGTGAAGCTACGCCAGTTCTGGGCTTAAACGTCAATCAGGCCTAGCAACTTCTCTTCTGTCTGGATGAAGGTAGACACAGCATAAGAACTACCTGTGACCATGATGCTCTGAGAAGCCAGCCTAACTATGTGCAGAGGCCACATGGAGGAAAACTGAGGCCTCCAGCCCACAGCCCCAGCTGAATTTCTAGATGCAATCAGCACTAACCTGCCAGCTATGAGTGAGGCCATCTTTGAAGTGGATCCCTCAGCCCCACTCAAGCCACCCAGATGATGCCATATGAACTGCCCCTGCCGAGCCCTGCCCAGATTGCAGAATCATGAGAAAATAAATTAAAAAGGCTTTGTTTAAGTCAGTAAGTTTAGGGTTAATTTTTTTGGACAGCAACAGATAACCAAAGCAGAATTCTAGTCTCAGCTTAAACACTTTTAGGAACAGAAGACTCCATGCCTCGTAAAGTAATCCATTCTGTTTCTTAATAGCAATAGTTATTAGAACATTGTTCTCTATATTTAACAAAAATCTGCCTTCCCATCACTCACAACCTGTCTCTATGGTAAAGTCAGTCTGTGTGCCTGCCACATGGCAGCTCTTCCAGTTTTTTTCAAAGAGTCATGGTCTTTATTCACCACACCTCCAGTTCCCATTGCACCCTGCACACCCAGGGTGCACATGAACAAGTCTTTTCTTTCTAGACATAAATATCTCCAACTCCTTCATGTCCCGATTCTTTCCCTAAACAGCTCAAACTCTTATTAGTAAACCAGATGCTACCTAGAAACACATGTGGGACCCCCATCACTGTGTAATAAAGTGATACCATCTAAAAGTGTTCCAGAGCCAAGTCGAGCAATCTTCTATACACATCCAGTTTGTCTTGTGGGTGGCGTGTATGTGTGCACATACATAAGGTTATTTTTGTTCTTGTTCTAAAATATTTCTGAGAGCATGGGAAATGGAATTACTCTGGTAGAACCACAAATTGAATAACTAGACCAGAATAAGTTATGGGCCTTGCATCTATCTGAGAGAGAATGGGTGGAATGTTCAATGTGGTCTCCCACAGCTGCAGAATGTGAGCCTTTCAATGTTTTCTTTGCCTTTCAATCCATGGCTGCTCGGAAATATTTTTCTCAGATATTTACTGACTAGGCCGAGCAAGGGGGTTGGGTTGATTGGAGGCAAGTATGGAAGCAAGGAGAAGAGCTAGTGGCTTGCTACAAGGAAGGCTGAGCGAGGCTGAGAACCGGAATAACAGGCACAGGAAAGGGGAGGGCCTGGGTGTCCCCATCCAGCCCTGGGGCATCCACAGAAACAGGGCCGGTGATGGTGCCTCCTGGAGGGGAAGACAAGTGGGGATGGGGAGGGGGGGCTTGGGGGGTGGGGGGTGGGCGGGACACTGTGAGCAATGGAAGCTGAAATCTAACACAGGAACAGAAAAGCAAATGCCACATGTTCTCACTTATAAGTGCAAGCTAAGTACTGAGTACATGTGAACACAGAGAAGAGAACAACAGACACCGGGGCCTACTGGAGGGTGGAGGGTGGGCGGAGGGTGAGGACTGATCAACTGCCTGTTGGGTACTACGCTTATCACCTGGGTAATGAAATAATCTGTACACCAAGCTCCTGCTACACGAAATTTACCCATATAACAAACCTGCACATGTACCCCTAAAAACAACAAAAAGGAAAAAAAAAAGAAAGGGAACCCGAGGGATGGATGCAGCCTTGGCTGCTTCCCTATGATCTCCATGGACCCTCGGCTGCTCGCCCATGATCTCCATGGACCTCTGAGTCACCTACTTTTATCCATCAGTGCAGAGTTGGCAATGCGATTTTAAAGCCTCGCCCCCAGGCTTTTCTCAGCTCCTGGCTTTTAGGTTCCAGTTCAGCGGACCCCAAGAGTAGTCACAAGAGCAAAACAGCTGAAAAAAGAGGTGAGATAAATCTCAAAGGGGAACTGAACTTTCTTCCTCCCCCTTATATTCAATCTGTGCCTGACAGCCATCCCTTGAGACCTGGCACTGGCCTCAGAGGAAGCAGGAAACCACGTGCCAGCCATCACCCCAGTGCCCTCACGGTGCAGTCACGGCGCAGCGGCTCGTTTACCCCAGTACCAGACTCTCAGCTGAGTGCCGTTAGCCCAGTTGACAGATGAGGAGGCAAAGACTCTGAAGGGCTACATGACTTGCTCATAGTGGCAGAGCCAGTATTCAAAATCAAGCCTTTCTTTGCGCTGCACCACTGGGCTGCTCTGATGGGACAACTGCCCCTGCTGTGTGTTTCAGAAGCTAAAGGTTTTGCCCAAGGCCTGCAAGGGGTGGTCTTTCCCTCAAGTAATCAAAGCCCCAGTAGGCCTTCAAGGTGCCTTGTCTCTTTTGTGATTTAGTCACCTACATGGAGAAACTCACAAATCCTCCCCCAGGACACGGCCAAGGTCATAAGAAGGTCACCATATAGAGAGCCTCAGTGTCTTGGCATTGGTGACCCAGGTCTGGCTCACAGCTGAGTTCATCCCTAGGTGGGACCGGTGCCCACGAGACCGAAGCCTTTGCCTCCGTGGCTTCCAGTTGGATTTGGTGTTGCCCGGGCTAGTCTCCTTCAGTCTTCTCCCCCTTATTCCTGAGGCTCCAGGGCTCCCGAGTGGGTCTCCAGGTAAGGTAATCACTGTGATCCTTTGTTGTAAATGAAATAGGAGAAGAAATGGGCTCCATCAAGCAGCAGCTAGCCATTGTGGCATGCATTATTTATGCGAAAGATACGAACATTTCTGCCTCTAATCCTAATGAGATGAGTTCGAGGGAGAACCCTGGGATTCATAAATTTGTCTACGGAGCAGAATTCATAATAAAGCCAAATGTGAGTGCAGAGTCAGGCATTTCTTTTGTGTGTGCGGTTGTCATTTGAGAGACAAAAAGCTTAAGATGTCAGGGAAAAAGAAAGAGAAACTATTTAGAGATGAACAGATGCAAATGTAAATAGTTACTGGAAGATAAATGGAAATGCCAAACCCATAATGCATAGAAGGTTTCAGGGGGAAAATTACAGCTCAGATCCAAAGAGGATCAGATAAGATAGACGATATTGCATGTAATTGTATTTTACTCTAATCCTCACTGGGAAAGAGACAGAGAAAGCTTGACTTCATGTCTCCCTCCCCGGGTCTTCAGTTTCCCTCCAGCAATACTCAATCTGGAGTTACTCCTATGATGTTGATCTCCAAATTACTGTCCACTTTTCAGTCGTCCCATGAGCCTGGCCATCATGGCCCTCACCTGGACAGGTGTAGCCAGTCCTCTGGAGCTCAGCTGTTTACCCCCATCTGTTCCCGGGCTTCCAGGACCACCTGGCTGGACATGTATTATGTTCTACCTCTCTGGACTGCCTGTCTGCTTCACATTGAGCCAGGTTTACATATCTGCTTTAACTCTCTCCCCCGACAAGCAGACATATATGTGTGCACATGCCCATCCACACAACACCCAGACGCACACAACATCCATATACACACACACAACATACACACACCACACACATACACACACACACACACACACACACACACACCATCTTTTTTGGTACACTCTGGAATGGTAGCCTGATCCAGATATCTGATTTCTCCCTTTGCCTGCTTATGACCCTGGAATCTGGTATGAGCCACCCTGCCTTGCAGGTTTGCAGAAATTCTTCAACCCCTCGGGCTGTCTCACTGTGCAACTGTAAACATGTTCCTGTCTACAACTGGTGATGTAGAAAGGTTGAAGTCAAGCTCATTCTGAATAGTAGAGACATAAATCTAGAGTATTTTGAGCAGTCTGAAGAGAGACTCCTACCCAAAGACAACTCACCTAATGCTTGTCCTGGGGCCTGAAATTGCAGCATGAATAAATCACAACATTGACATTGTAATTGAAGAGTAAATCTGTGTGTGCATAAGATAAAATACGTAAAAGGGATGGTAGGGCCTTCAGCAATGTGCTCCTAGATGGTTCATCAGGGCTCTGTTGTGGCCTCCTCACTCAGTGGCTCTCCAGACCTGTTTGTTGTGGAGGGCTCCGGCAGCACATTGGTGGGAGGGGCAGGACCGGGTCGCTTCCTCATAGATGTGAGTGCATTGGTTACTCACCAGACTAGGGACTGGGAGGGCAGACTAGGGACTGGGAGGGCAATGTGCTTTTTCCTCTAAGGAGAGTTTGAAAACTCTAGATACTGGATGAGTTCAATTCGTTTCTCTCAAGGAAACAATGGCACAGTATCTAGAATATGCAGTGGCAGGAGTTAGCTTTTACTACACACACTCAGGTCATTTGTCAAGACATTCATGGGGCTCCAGAGAACACCTGGTGGCTCTCAGTAGTGTGATCAGAGTGGGGGCGCCATCCCTGTCACAACAAGAGACAAGACCGAGAATGGGATTTGGAGTCAGCAAGAACCGAGTTCAATTCACTTAGTGGTGTACAGTCTTGAACTAGTAACTTAACCTCCTGACACTCGGTTTTCTTGTCTGTAAAGTGAGGCTGATAACAGGGCCCATCTCAGTCATTCAGCCAATGAACCCAGTGAACAGAGTGCAGTCATCAGCACGGCACACAGTAAATGGGGCCACACCTTTCATCAGCAAACGTGCTCAGTCACTAAGTGTTCTGAATCATTCACAATAGCAGCTTTCTCCAAATCAATCATCTTAGGAAACCGATGAGTCCAAGGCATTAATAATATTACTAATGACAAGTCATAGACAAACACCTTGGAGAGGCTTCAGGCTCTGGGGAACGAAACAGCAGGAGGAGCACAGGCTGAGGGAGGAGGGGGTCCCCAGGGGGTTACCGACACCCTGGCACCCTGTCTCAAGCTGAGTGGTTTTCACTCCAGTCAGGGGGGATGAGAGTGGTCCTTCATATTTATTTTAAGATATTTATTCTATGGGAATTGTATTTACACTCTTTAACAGAGGACTTTCCGACCACATTTTGGAACTCCAAGGCAAATAGCCTAACTTAGAAATGTTCCGGGTGCCTGGCTTTGAATACTGATCTGCCTCTTCCTAGCTCTCTGCATTTGGCAAGAAACTGGGCCACCTCAGCACCCCATCTGTGGAAAGAGAATACCTGTCATTCCCGCCACATAGGGCCTTGTGCGAGCTGGACAAGTTCACCCCAGCAGAGTGCCTACGACAGCACCTAATGTTCAGTGAGTGCTCCATAACAGCGGCTATCATTATGATTGCTGTATTGTATTTGTTCAGACAATATTTTGGTGCATCAGGTGCTGGGCTCAGTGCTAGGGTGGTCCCCACCCTCTGCCTCCAGGGGGCTTGCACTCTTCCAGGCCAGTGCCTCCACTTCTGCTCTGGGCCTTGTCCCCACTCAGGCTACTCAACGACACTCGGGGATTCTCTCCCCTTTGCGTGCTGCATCATCCACTTTTCTCTGTCTATGAGATTACTCCCATCTGCACAAAAACACGCTATCGTGTCCTCCGTATTCATAAAAACTCCTTTGACCCACATTCTCCTCCAGCAACTAACCCATTTTGCCACTTCTGTTTGTAACATATTTCCTCAAATAATTGTCTTCATTCAAGGTTTCCCCTTCTTTCTGGAACCCTCTCCATTTAGGCTTTTACCCCCATCCTCTCTGTGGAGCTGCTCTCTTGAGGTCACCAGGGACCCTCATATTGCTAAAACCAACAATCCATCCCTTAGCCATCTTCCCTAATCTGCCAGCAGTTTTTGACCTAGTAATCACTTCCTCCTTCCTGGTGCACTTTCTGCCCTCATCCTCCAGACGCCAGGCTGCTCCCAGTTCCCTCCTGCCTCAGTAGAGCACTTCCTCGGTCACCTCAATGGTTCCGTTCAAATCCCCAACCTCTTCATTTTGGAACAGCTGAGTCCCCTCTCCTCTCTATCCACATTCACTGCCTAGAGATGTCATTCAGCCTCATGGCTTGAGGCATCCTCTGTGCTGACAGCTCCCTAATCTGTAATTCTAAACTGTTCCTCTTCCTTTAACTCCAGTCCCCTATCCAACTGCCTACTCAACGCTTTCATTCAGACGTGTAGTTAACATCTGATATGGCTTGGATATTTGCGCCCTCAAATATCACTTTGAAATGTGATCTCCAATGTTGGAGGGGGCCTGGAGGCATTTAAATCATGGGAATGGATCTCTCATGAATGGCTTGGTCCTCTCCTTGAGGTAATGAGTGAGTTCTCACTCTATGAGTTTGGACGCATTGGCTCATGCCTGTAATCCCAGCACTTTGGGAGGCCAAGGCAGGTGGACCACCTGAGGTCAGGAGTTCGAAACCTGCCTGGCCAACATGGTGAAACACAGTCTCTACTAAAAATACAAAAATTAGCTGGGTGTGGTGGCAGGCCCCTGTAATCCCAGCTACTCTGGAGACTGAGGCATGAGAATTGCTTGAACCCAGGAGGTGGAGCTTGCAGTGAGCCAAGATCATGCCACTGCACTCCAGCCTGGGCAACAGAGCAAGACTCCATCTCAAAAATAAAAAATAGGCCGGGCATGGTGGCTTATGCTTGTAATCCCAGCACTTTGGGAGGCTGAGGTGGGCAGATCACAAGGTCAGGAGATTGAGACCATCCTGGGTAACACGGTGAAACTCCGTCTCTACTAAAAATACAAAAAATTAGCCAGGTGTGGTGGTGGGCACCTGTAGTCCCAGCTATTCGGGAGGCTGAGGCAGGAGAATGGTGTGAACCCGGGAGGCGGAGCTTGCAGTGAGCGGAGACTGCACCACTGCACTCCAGCCTGGGCGACAGGGCGAGACGCCATCTCAAAAAATAATAATAAAATAAAAAATAAAAGAGTGTGGCACTGTTCCCCCCACTCCCACCATATGATATGCTCCTCCTGCTTCGCATTCTGCCATGAGTAAAAACTCCCTGAGACCTCATCAGAAACCAAGCAGATGCTGGCACCATGCTTCCTATAATATAGCCTGCATAACCATGAGACAATTAGACCTCTTTTCTTTATACATTATCCAGCCTCAGGTATTTCTTTATAGCAATGCAAAAATTGATCAACACGACCTCTTAAGTTTAACATGTCCAAAGCCAGACTCTAATGTTCCCCCACCTCAGTTTATTCCCCTTGATGGCTTTCCCGATTTTAATAAATGGCAACTTCATCTTTCTAATTGCTCAGGCTAAAGAGTTTGAATCATCTCTGAGTCTTCTTTTTCTCGTATTCCACATCTCATGCACCAGCAAATCCCATTGGCTACACCCTCAAAAGATATCCAAACATGTCTGAGTTCCAACTGTTTATCCCATTTTCACCACCACCACCCTGATCCAAGCCACCCCACCTCTGGCCTGGAGTATTGCAATAAAAGCCTCTGAGCTGTTCCTCTTGCTTCCACCCTTCCTTCCCTGTAGGTGAACCTTTTAAAACATCATCACCCCACTACATTTGGAGTGGTCTGTTCTGCAGCTATGGGTAACTGTAACACACATCTTTATATTCTTAAATAAATTTGGTTCAGGCCCCCACTCAGTAAGGCTCACTAAGGCTGTTAGGATATTCTATTTCAGCCATGCTTTGCGGGGCGGGGTTTTCATCATCCTTGGGATGTAGAACAAGAACTTGAAATAATTTTTTGTCCTAATTACTTTGTGAGTCATCCATCTTCAGCAGGAAGTCCTCTTTTCAGGCAAACCCTGGGGCTCATCATTCACAAATGTTTATTGAACCAGGCTCTGTTCAGACCCAGAGAACACAGCAGGGAACCAACCAGACCAAGTCCCTGACTGCCGGTAGCTTACCTTTTAGTGAAGCAGCCCCACAGTAAATAAATCAACAACACTGACTAAGTTTGAAACCTTCTTGTTTAGTGGGGTGGGTTTGCTGATAAATCTATTACTTGACCACACATCCTCTCATTGTGCAAACCATGGGAATTCTTCGATATGCAAAGAATTCACAAAGGCAAACCAACAAGATAGGATCATCCAACTCTTATAAACTGAGGCACGTGTGTGTGCCTTGACTTACTTTTCCTGTGTAGTGAAGCTTTGTTCTCACTTTGGGATTGGTCTTTGTTTCCTCTGACACCTGCATTAGAAGTTTGTCTGATCCTCTACCTCTCTGACAATTGGTTACAATCTGAAAACAATCAGGACTGGAAATGCAGGAAGACTTGGTATAATCTAAAGACCTATCATTAATGTGTACCTTTCTTTTTTTTGGTTAATTTCAGGCTTTAATTGCCTATATAATTATCATTTTTAATGTACTTGCAATCAAAGACACGAACAATAAAATTTAGGTCAACCATAGATTAAATTGTGGAAGAAATGAAATTTTCTAAATTTGGTCCTGTCTCTCTCTCTCTCTCTCTCTCTCTCTCTCCTTTCACCTTTGTCCCAAGTATCTGCATTTCCTCCATTCATTCCTCCCGTTCCTCCTATAGGGTTAGATGAACTCAGGGGAATCACACAGCCTGTGGTTCCCCTGAGTTCCTCCTACCCCCATATTTCTGAGATCTCCACTTCCATTCATACCATCCAAGCACCTCATAGGACACTTTCCAATTTAACAGGGAAAACAGCCCCTAGACTGTCAGTCATGGAGGGGCCTTCAGGGATGACTTGGTCCAGCCCCCTCATTTTGAAACTGAAGAGTCTGAGGACTAGAGAGATGGGGTGATTTGCCCAAGGTCAGCAGAATCTTGAAGCTGGAGTGAAACCTTAGGGAGGGGATGGGGGAGGGGCTTTTCATACACCTCTGACAGCCCGGGAGAATTATGTTTTAGCAAAGAGGCCTCAAATCACACCCTGTAGGCAGTTCTAATCAAACTGCAAACTCTAAATATAATTAGTGTGAGTGTATTTTGGAAATCCTTTTTACTTAGCTATATCTTCAATTATTAAGAATCTTTTGTTGGGGCTTGTATTTATTTTCCTTAAATCTAAAATGGTTATTTCTCAAGGGCAGAAATTTGATGATTTTTCTCTTTAACTTTTCTCTTTCAACTCTTTCTGCGCTGCTTAAATTCTAAAAAATAAGCAGACATGATTTTTACAGAAACAAAAAGGAATTTTTTTAAAAAAAATTGAATATTTTAATGATATATCTCACTTTAATTACACAGGTAATTACAGGTTTGCAGACCTGATCTTACAAAATTGGGTTAAAAACTAAATATGTGATCGAGACCATCCTGGCTAACACGGTGAAACCCCGTCTCTACTAAAAATACAAAAAAATTAGCCGGGCGTGATGGCGGGCGCCTGTAGTCCCAGCTACTCGGGAGGCTGAGGCAGGAGAATGGCGTGAACCCGGGAGGCGGAGCTTGCAGTGAGCCGAGATTGCTCCACTGCACTCCCGCCTGGGCCACAGAGCGAGACTCCGTCTCAAAAAAAAAAAAAAAAAACTAAATATGTAAGATGATAAAAGAGTAGTTTTTTTTTTTTTAATCTTAATGTAAACAGCCCTTGAAGCAATGTGAAAAGTCTACAGATATATTTTGGCCTGAGCACACCTTAGAGTAGTTGGTTCTTGAATCACTCTGGACTGACAAAAAGCCCTTTCAGAGAGCAGCGCAGGTCTGCTGGGGATTGATCTATCATTGAACTATAATTTTTAAGGACTTCTAGATTCATCTAGAAAGATGCACAGAAACTGTTTGGAATTAGAGGAAAGAATCCAGGTAATTCCCAAGAGTAAAGCAATGAAATTAATTAAGAGAAGGCCATTGCTGGAAAATAAAGATTTAATAGAAATTCCCCTAGTAATTGTTGTTAAATGCTCAATATAAGACCTAGTACATAGTCAGCACTCCGTAAACTTTGGCAAACATTGTTTTTATTATATACTCCTGTCAACCCAAAGAAAGAAACTGAGCCAAAATTAATAGAATTTATTTGGGCCAACAGCTTCCCAGCAGACACTTCTAAGTTGCTCTGGGGAGCACTCCCTTTGACCTTTGTTACAAGCAAGGTTTTAAAGGCAGAAGGGGGACAGGGAGTGGGCTGATAGAAAGTTATTGTCAAATTCTTATTGGTTTACAGAAATAACATTGATTAGTGATTGGCTGTACATTGGTGAACTATAGGGTGTATGGCACTTTATGGCTACTTGGCGTCAGTTAGTCTAGAGCCCACATAGCAGGTGGCTTCAAGAGGTAATTATTTAGCTCAAGAAGGAGTGAGACGTGACTGCTGTCACACGCTATCACATTTCATTGCCCCTCTGGGCCTGGTAATTAAGGGGGGCTCACATTCCTCAGATAAAAAGTTTCTTTTCTTTCTCACTCCTGAGGACTATAACTCCCAAAGTGCTCTGAGCCTTGTCTATCCTGCCTCCCTGACTATCCTCATCACCTTTCTCCTGTGCTGCTTATGAGCAGAGATGAGAACTGGTGGGGAAGGGAAATGCAGCCCCAAGGAGAAGAGGTGGCTGACCCACACAATTCTCTTGCTGATACAGACCCCAGGTG